>NC_000006.12:63216442-63519473 GCF_000001405.40 Homo sapiens | reverse complement strand
AGGACATAGTACAGTTTCACATCCCTTACCTGAAATTATGAAATCCAAAAAGCTATGAAAAGAGGAAGTGTTTTCAAAATTCAAAACCTGACCTGACTTGACCTGAACTCATTTAGCACTGAAACTGTACTGAACTGATATGCACCTTTGTAGTCTTTTTTTTTTTGAGACAGAGTTTCGCCTTTGTCACCCAGGCTGGAGTGCAATGGTGTGATCTCGGCTCACTGCAACCTCTGCCTCCCAGGTTTCAGTGATTCTCCCGCCACAGCCTTCTGAGTAGCTGGGATTACAGGCACCCACCATCATGCCCAGCTAATTTTTGTATTTTAGTAGAGATGGGGTTTCACCATGTTGGCCAGGCTGGTCTTGAACTTCAGGCGATCTGCCCGCCTTGGCCTCTCAAAGTGTTGGGATTACAGGCGTGAGCCACTGTGCCCGGCCTGTAGTCTTTATTTATCTCACTTAGTGTGAATATGCACATGCTTTACTACAGTGATATTAATATGGTTAAGAGGGTGCTACCCAGATCCTGCTGAAAGTATAATATATGGCATATGTATCCTGCTTTTTTTTCTAAAATCTGAAAGATACTGACTTCCAAAACAGTCTTCAAGAGTTACCTTTTCTTTGAATATAAATCTCCTAATGTGCATTTTTCAATACTGAGTTATTTTCTATCTTTTCAGCAACTTCCCAGGTACATTTATGATTATTGCATTATTATTGCAAGTATTAAAGGCAAAATTCTGCTTTTGTCCTCTCTGTTGTTAGTACACTGTGAAGGCTGAATGGCTTGCTAGAAAGAACCTTAGCTGTAAAGAGACCTAGAGTTAAATCCTGGTTGGGCTGTGTGACCTTGGACAACCTATTTAACATCACTGAGCATTACATTTCTTTTTCTGTAAAATACTGACTGATACCTACATTGCCCCCACCCTCTTTTTCAGTCTCAACCTCAAAGAAGGAATTCTGATTAGGTGGACTATGGTTGTTATCCTTTACCTCTGTTGGATTCCATTGCTACTCCTTTGTTTGCCCTGGGGATGTCCAAAATGATAATTTTTTAGTTAATCAATTATAAAATTTATTCTTGCCTTTTCTGCCAGGACCTCAAGATACCTAAGCTGTTAGTTTAGGTACAAGTAACAAGAAAAGTAAATACAAGCAAGAGAATTGATGTTATGCTTATTAGGGAAAGCAAAATAGCAATCTAAGATGTGCTCTGGCAGCAATAAAGTTATGGAAAAGGTGGCACAAATATTTTCCATAGTAAAGGGATAGTCTAGAAACCTACTGAGATTTTTTTTTTTTTTTTTTTTGGAGACGGAGTCTCACTGTGTTGCCCAGGCTGGAGTGCGATATGGTACTATCTGGGCTCACAGCAACCTCCGCCTCCCGGGTTTAAGCAATTCTCTTGCCTTAGCTTCCTGAGTAGCTGGGATTACAGGCGCCTGCCACCACACCTGGCTAATTTTGTATTTTTAGTAGAGATGGGGTTTCACCATGCTGGCCAGGCTCGTCTTGAACTCCTGACCTCAGGTGATCCACTTGCCTGGACTCCCAAAGTGTTGGGATTGCAGGCGTGAGCCACCAAGCTTGGCCCTACTGAGATTTTATGTGTCAATGGATTCTTTTAAAAACTATTGGGTTGCGCTAGTAGAGACATTTTTGACATGATTTTGGACATAGTCTGTGTTTGGAAGCAGAGGAAGGCTGCTCCTTAATTTTTAATTCTCCATCAGTGTCTGTGATACATATTGTGGAATTATAGATCATTATTGACAATTTCTGATATAAAAGTCATATATATGTGTGTGTATGTGATTGTGTGTGTGCATGTGTGTGTGTGTTGATAGATAGTGAAGGTCCTTGTTTTGAGTTTTTAGAGTGTATTTCCCTTTACAAAATTGTTTCTTTTGTTCATAGTGCTATTGTTGTTAATTGAGGTTATCATCAGGAGATCTTTCACCATTTAAATGGTTTCACTTTACGGGGCATCATGTGTGCATACCTTTATTTTCCATTTTAAATTTCTTTTTAAAATTCAGAGTCCTTCAGACTAAGAACATTAGGCAACACTTGGTGTAAGAAAATATGTGGTTACCATGGGGATTAGGAGCTATTCCAGGTCTGTTTGACCTCTTTTCTTTATTGCAGGTAATTTATTCTAATACATCAAAAATTGCTTCTCAGGAGAAACTCTATTCTTTGATAGGCACCCTTATAGTTCTTTAATGCCACTGGTCTGAAAGGTAAGACTTTCCAGATATATTTTATTTTTCTGAATAGTTAGACCATAATATTATCCTTGTTTAATAATAATATAATAGTAATAATAAGCATGATGTATTGCACACTTACTATGTAGCTAGCACATAATCTCATTTAATTCTTAAAACCTTTCTTTGTGGTAGTATTATTAATTAGAATTAGGTTTGGCAGACAGAGAAATAAATATCCCAAAACAATGGCTTCGGTCAATGGTTTATTTCTCTTGCCTATTCAAGAAATCCAGAAGAGTCAGTTTGGGGTTGATATGATACGGTGGCAGAGACTCAATCTCTTTCTGTCTAATACCTCTGGCACATATAGCTTCCAATTCCAAGGTCACCTCATCCACAGAGGAAACTGTTGGAGCTTCTGCCTTCATGTCCATATTCTAGCTGTAGGAAGAAGGAAGAGGAAGTCCTACCCCTTTCTTTAAGAATACTTCCCAGAAGTAGCACATGCCATTGCCACATATATCCCAAAACTCAGATGGCCACACCTAGTTGTAAAAGAGATTTTTTTCCACTCACCTGTGTGTCCTGCTAAGAACTAAGATTCTGTTGCTTTGAAAGATGAGAAGAATGAGTATTAAGAGACAGCCAGCAGTATGCCATGTTTGAGTGCCCTCATGCCCAACTTACAAATGGAAAAATTGAGTCATAAGAAGTTAAATGGACTTACTAAGAGCTCACAGCTGGTGGAGTCAAGATTCAAAGCTAGATCATTCAAACTTCAGAGCTCTCAAGCACTACTTTGAAGTGCTTCTACCGTAAAACAGTTGTTTGACTTTATTCATCTCTTCTGCTAAATTAGTCTAAAGAAAACATTTCTGGACTAAGTTGCCAGGTCAATCTGTTGAAACAATGGAATCCTTTATTTTCCCAAGCATTCTTGGCAAAGGGCACAGTACTGGTATCAACTTGTGCAATGAAGCCTTTACTTTTGCTGACCTTTTGGATAGGTGGATTCAAAAAATTTAGTGACAGGTTTAGAGAATTGCCTGGTGTACAGATTAAAGTCTTATTTTCAATCTTCTACTTGCTTAGGGTTGCAACAGGTTTTAACTTCATTAAAATATGCTTTGCTGTTCTATTGATGGTTTAGATTTTCAACAAGGTAATAAAGGGACACAGTTTTCAATAGAGCCAATAAGAATAAATAAAAATAAATGATTTACTGTAGGAAAAATCCAGTAAATTATGATCATTTTTCTACTGAAAATTTTTCAAGATAAATGATAGCACATCTTAGAATAAATCAGACTATGTTACTTCTAAGTTATTTGGAAAGTATTACATTTAGATGGTTAACTTGTAATTCTTTAATATCTTACTTGTGTAAAAATCTAAATCATATAACACATTATGAACTAGGCCTCCCTTCCTTTCCCTTTCCTTTCTTCCTTCCATTTCACAAAGCCTAATTTGTTGTTCTTTTCCTTAGGTTCGTTTTTGTTTAGATTCTTCTCTCTTCCTAGCTCACAAGGGTTTTTAATCATTCTCATGCCTGACTAGCTCTTTGCTTTCTAGCACCGAGGGAGAAAATGAGAATATGAATTAATAAATCAATAAAAAAGTAAATACCATGCTTTATACATGTCAACTCAAGATTGCTATGTTGCTTACAATTTTCAACATTTTAAATAACTTCTGTAAATTTATCAATATTTTTTAGAGGCCAGGTGGGGTGGCTCACGCCTATAATCTCAGCACTTTGGGAGGCTGAGGCAGGCAGGTCTCCTGAGGTCAGAAGTTTGAGACCAATCTGGCCAACATGGTGAAACCCCATCCCTACTAAAAATACAAAATTAGTTGGACATGGTGGTGGGTGCCTGTAATCCCAGCTACACGGGAAGCTGAGGCAGGAGAATTGCTTGAGCCTGGGAGGCGGAGGTTGCAGTGAGCTGAGATCTCACCATTGCACGCTAGCCTGGGTGACAAAGCGAAATTCTGTCTCAAAACAAACAAACAAACAAACAAACAAACAAAAAAACTTTTTAGAAAGGTGATTAAGATAAATGATATATATCAGTTGCTCAAGCCAGGCATGGTGATGCTTGCCTGTAGTCCTGGCTACTCAGGAGGCTGAGGCAGGAGGATGGTTTGAGGGCAGGAGTTCAAGGTTGCAGTAAGCTATGATCATGCCACTGTACTCCAGCCTTGGTGACAGAGTAATACCTTGTCTCAAAAAACAAACAAGCAAGGCTCGGCACAGTGGCTCATGCCTGTAATTCTAGCACTTTGGGAGGTCAAGGTAGGAGGTACCCTTTCATCCAGGAGTTTGAGACCAGCCTGGGCAACATGGTGAGACCCTGTCACTACATAAAATAAAAAAAAAATTAGCTTGGTGTGGTGCCTGGTGCCTGGGGTCCCAGCTACTAGGAAGGCTGAAGTGGGAGGATCACTGGAGCCCAGGAGGTTGAGGCTGTAGTGAGCTGTGATTGCACCACTGTACTCTAGGTGACTGAGCAAGACCCAGACAAACAAACAAACAAAAAGCACTTGTTCAACAGAAGTTCTTTACTTAACAAACCACAACAACACTGGGGACATAGAGTGGTTAATGACAAGGTTTAATGATTTGAGGGTTTGCTTAGAAGTCAATAGACATTTCATTGTTGTGACAACTTACAGAAAAGTCACTTCCAAATGAAAAAATATATGATAAAACGTCAAAGAGGGCTGGGTGCGGTGGCTCATGCCCGTAATTCCAGCACTTCGGGAGGCCGAGGTGGGCGGACACTTGGGGTCAGGAGTTCAAGACCAGCCTGACCAACATGGTGAAACCCCATCTCCACTAAAAATACAAAAATTAGCTTGGCATGGTGGTGCATGGCTGTAGTCCCAGCTGTTCAGGGATCTGAGGCAGGAGGATCACTTGAACCCGGGAGGCAGAGGTTGCAGTGAGCCGAGATTGTGCCACTGTATTCCAGCCTGAGTGACAAAGTGAGTCTGTGTTTCAAAACAAAACAAAACAAAAAAAAGCCAAAGGGAACAGTGATCACAGAACAGATCAAGGGTCAGAGCACAACAGAGATTTCTACTTATTTGTAGTGTGCCTTTGGTTCTTTGCAAACATTGAGCAAGAACAGGACCAGGGACCAAATGATGTGGGCAGAAGAACACAGATTATTAGTCTTTAACAGATTTTTCGCTAATTATTTTATATATTATTCATTTGTATTTATATAAGTAATATCTTAATACATATTCCTTATGAAAAATTCTAAAGCCACATTGGAATAAAGGCAAAATGTCTGTTTTCCAGTGTTTTTTTTTTTTTTTTTTTTTTTTTTGAGATGAAGTCTCGCTCTGTTGCCCAGGCTGGAGTGCAATGGTAGGATCTCAGCTCACGGACACCTCTGCCTCCTAGGTTTAAGCAATTCTCCTGCCTCAGCCCCGCGAGCAGCTGGGATTACAGGCACCCGCCTCCACACCCAGCTAATTTTTGTATTTTTAGTAGAGACGGGGTTTCACCATCTTGGTCAGGCTGGTCTCCAATTCCTGACCTCAGATGATCCACCTGCCTTGGCCTCTCAAAGTGCTGGGATTACAGGTGTGAGCTACCACACCTGGCCAATTGCTTTTCTAGTTGAATGTGCAAAAACAACATTAAGAACCACTACAAATTCCTCACACATAATTTTAAAACTAGAGTATGAAAAGTACTCCTAATTTATTATTACTTTTCCAAGAAGTGGCCAGAGAATTAATTCCAGGAAAAGGGGACTACGGCAAACATTGTAATTGGGTAACCATTATCCATGGCTCCCCTTATAAAAAAAAAAATCCCCATTTTATCTGGGGCAGCAGTGTGTGTGGCTCCATAACACTTTGTTGGATAATTACCTTCCTAGACTCCTTTGCTTTTGAGAAGACCAGTGTGGCACACAATCCTGCCAATGAGATTTCATGGCAATCTGCATAGGAGGCTTCTGGAGGTTTTTAAATCTTTGCAAAAGGGACAATAATAAGAAAAAAGTGTCCTTTACCATTTCTTTCTCGTTTGAAAGTAGATGAGGTATTTAGAACTATGACAGCTATGGAACAATGAAGTGAAAAGAATAAAGACAAAAGTCAGCACGTTAAGGACCCAGAGAAGAAAGAACCTGGACTCTTGGTTATATTTCAGAGGAGATGGACTAGGGATTGCCTCCCTCTAAATTTCTCTGGGCAAACACTGAATGTCCCTATGGTTTGGCCACTTTTAATTTCCTATTCTGTCAGTTGCTGCTGAAAGCATTCCCAATACAAATACGTATCTGTCTTGTTCTCTGCTTTAGTACGGAGAACAGTGCCCAACGTGTAATAAGTGATCAAAGAATGTTTGCTGAAAGAATAGAGTGAGTGGATTTTAGATCAGATTCTAAGCATCATACCAAAACTTGTGGGTAGTAAAGTTGTTGTATTTATTTTACACTGAATTTTTAGTTTGAGTATAATTTCCCTGAAACTATTTGCCTTACACTGCTTTTTCCATACTAACAAAATCTCAGATATGTTTATCCTTCAACATGTTATCTGAGGGAAGATAGACCCCTCTGCAGTCTCATAAAAGCCTATCTTAATTGATCTAAGCTAATCATGGTAGTCTCATACCCTTTGCACAATGAATGACTTATGCCTGGGTATGAGAGGCAACTGTGGCCAACGGAGCTAATTCTGTGGGGACTTCAGGAAAAATATTCCCCATTAAATAAAAAGTGGGGCATGGAAGATAATGATTCTAGGTCTTCATGTGATGTCAAGATATGCCCCAGCCACTTTGCAGCAATGAAGGATAAGGCTTGAGGACTAAGCCACCACGCAAAGAATGAGAGCATGAGGCTGGCTCCATGGCTCATGCCTGTAATCCCAGCACTTTGGGAGGCCGAGGCAGGTAGATCACTTAAGGCCAGGAGTTCCAGACCAGCCTGGTCAACATGGCAAAACCCTGCCTCTAATAAAAATACAAAAACTAGCTGGCAGCTGTGGCACATGCCTGTAATCCCAGCTACTCGGGAGGCTGAGGCAGGAGAATCGCTTGAACCCAGGAGGCAGAGGTTGCGGTGAGCCGAGATCACACCACTGCACTCCAGCCTGGGCAACAGAGCAAGACTTTGTCTCAAAAAGAAAAAAAAAAAGAACATGGAGCGAAGGAAAGAACTTGAGTCCTTAATGACGACTGAGCCAGTCCAGGAGCAGAACTACCTCCATACTTCTTGCCATATAGTAAAATAAGTATCCTTACAGTTTCACCACTTTTAATTTTTTCAATCTGCATCTGCTTGCTAGGGAATTATTAATTTTTTTAATTACTTGCAGCCAAGAACATCATAAATAGTATGTGGATTTAAACTGTCTTTCAAATGTGTACACATAAGTAGTAACAAATCCCAATGTGTATTTTTCATCATCTTCAGATTTGGAGAGTCATTTTCTCAGTAAGAAGCATAAGAAAAATTACACAGTAAAAATATTTTCCAATTTTGATTCTGAGGGACAATTCAAAACCATAAAATAATAAGCTCTGTTTCAGAAAAAATTTTAATACGTTAGATTTGGGGGTCTATAATCCAAAACATCTAGGTAAACTATAAACTGTCAAAATTTTAAAAATGCCCAGGTAATGATTTCAAATTCTCAAAGCTACATTTTAAGAATTCACTTGAGGCTGGGTGCGGTGGCTCATGCCTGTAATCCCAGCACTTTGGGAGGCCAAGGTGGGTGGATCACCTGAGGTCAGGAGTTCAAGACCAGCCTAACCAGCATGGTGAAACCCTGTCTCTACTAATGAAGTACAAAAATTAGCTGGGCGTGGTGGTGCATGCCTGTAATCCCAGCTACTCCGGAGGCTGAGGCAGAAGAATCGCTTGAACATAGGAGGCGGAGGTTTCAGTGAGCTGAGATTGCACCACTGCACTTCAGCCTGGGCTACAAGAGTGAAACTCCATCTCAAAAAAAAAAAAAAAAAAAAAAAAGAAATCTATTTACTTGTATAAGCTTGACCTAGAGTAGGGATCAGGATTTGTAGGGCTTCCATTGGGCTCATCTTATCATCTTATAGATATAGCGTGTTGCAGGAAGAGGTGGGAATGTAGAACCAGGCACTTGTGTTAAGTGCCCTGATTGTTACTCCTAGAGTAATAGGTGCCATGAGCATAGCACCATTGATCTCCTTATTCTACCAAGCACATTTTATTGCCATCATTAGCTTATCTGTCTAGCTGCTCCTCTAAATAATTCGCATCTTGACCGGGAGCGGTGGCTCATGCCTGTAATTCCAGCACTTTGAGAGGCAGAGGCAGGATGATCACCTGAGGTCAAGAGTTTAAGACCAGCCCTGGCCAACATAGTGAAATCCTGTCTCCACTGAAAATACAAAAATTAGCCAGGTATGGTGACATGCGCCTGTTGTCCCAGCTACTCAGGAGGCTGAGGCAGGAGAATCACTTGAATCCAGGAGGCAGAGGTTACAGTGAGCCGAGATTGTGTCACTGCACTCCAGCCTGGGTGACAGAGCGAGACTCTGTCTCAACAAAAAAAAAAAAAAAAAAAAAAAAAAAATTCGCTTCTTGAAGGAAGAGAACATGTTTTGCTTATTTCTGTATTCCTGACACTGAAGATGGTGCCTGGCACATAATAGATATTGAACGAAAGTGGGGAGAAGAGATTAACTCTGGGGGAATAGAATAAGGGGAAAAAAATCTAAATATTAAATACTGAGGAGTTATGACTTGAAGTGTTTAAAAAACTAAAAAAAAAAAAAAAAAAAGAAAGGTAGTCAAACCATAGAAAGATTAAGTGGTAACTAGAACTTACAAGGGTTAGTTTAACTTTTATGTTTTTTTTCCTTCTCCCTGGGAAAGTACCTTTGGGATCATGTGGTGTTTGTGCAAATCGCTTGGGTCTACACAGCACAGAGTGGGGCTAAAGTGCAGATGAGGTGGAACTAAGAAACAGCCTGTCCAAACAAGCATGATTTAGAGCAGTTGCCTCATATACTGGACCACTTTTTTAGTACTGAAGGCGGCAATGACATACTTTATGGCAGTCACAAGCTGCTTTTAGTATGTTAAATGAATGAATACAGGCAGTTCTTCTGGAAACTCAAGGGTTTGTTGTTGTTTCTTTCTATCTTTAAAAAATTCAAAAATAAACTTGCCCCAATATTAATTTTAACCGAAGCTTTATTAGATGGTTACATTTATAAATTTACACTTCATTTGTGATAGTCCTTAATTATAATTATCACATACTCATGTTTTGAAAAGTTAGTGAAACTTTCCCTAAAGAGCAGGGCTTTCTGTTCTACCTCCATACAAGGCACTATCAGTGTGGGAGGAAGGGCAAAACACTGTGCTAAACCTGGCCCCATCCCAGGTCTGCGACTAACCCGGGGCCTTGGCCAAGTCAGCTAGCCTATCTACTGTTTAGTTTCTGCATTTGTAAAACAGAGGCATGTGTGAAGACAATCTCTTATGATTTCCCCTAGCTCTAAAATTTTACTGTTATAACGTATTAAATGCCTATGTTTATAGGAACTGAAACGGTTAAGGTTTAATATTTACTCTATAAGCTAGGTTTATCACTTCATCCTTTATAACGAAATTTTCATCTTACACATTATTATATCATACATTTAAGAAACTATGGCAGCTATATAAAATAATACAAAAACTAAAAGGTATAATTAATATTTGATATATTTATTTTAATGTCGATTTCTACAAATATACAACATGCGCACACCTAATTGAGATTATACTGCATAGAGAGCTTTGTATCCTCGATTTCATTGAATTTTGTATTGTGAACATTTTCCCATTTTATTAAAAAAAATCCTTAAAAAATAGTATTTTTGGCCAGGCGTGGTGGCTCATGCCTGTAATCCTAGCACTTTGAGAGGCCAAGGCAGGCGGATCACCTGAGGTCAGGAGTTCGAGACCAGCCTGGCCAACATGGTGAAACCCTGTCTCTACTAAAACTGCAAAAATTAGCCAGAAGTGGTGGTGTGCGCCTGTAATCCCAGCTACTCAGGAGGCTGAACCTCAAGAATCGCTTGAACCTAGGGGGTGGAGGTTGCAGTGAGCTGAGATCGTGCCAGTGTACTCCAGCCTGGGCAACAGAGCGAGACTGACTCAAAAAAAAAAAGAAAATTTTTTTCCTTTATTACAAAATTTTATATTGTTAAATATAATATGAATACAAATAAACTATATAAATAATTATTATAAGGTGAACACCTGTAACTATCACCTCACTCAGTCACCCCAGAAATACTCTTTTTTTTTTTTTTTTCTTTTTTGAGACAGAGTTTTGCTCTTGTTGCCCAGGCTGGAGTGCAATGGCCCAATCTCGGCTCACTGCAACCTCCACCTCCTGGGTTCAAGCGATTCTCCTGCCTCAGCCTCCTGAGTAGCTGGGATTACAGGCATGCACCACCACGCCCGCCTAATTTTTTTGTTTTTTTAGTAGAGGCAGGATTTCGCCAAGTTGGTCAGGCTGGTCTCGAACTCCTGACCTCACATGATCCACCTGCCTCGGCCTCCCAAAATGCTGGGATTATAGGCGTGAGCCACCGTGCCCAGCCAGAAATACTCTTATAACATAACCATCTCCCTCCCTACTGAAGTGAATTACCCTAATGACTTTTAATCATTTATTTTTCTTT
The DNA here is from genome assembly GCF_000001405.40 of Homo sapiens. NCBI lineage: Eukaryota > Metazoa > Chordata > Mammalia > Primates > Hominidae > Homo > Homo sapiens. Next base: position 63,508,553 of record NC_000006.12, on the reverse strand, counting down.
ATAGTTTTGCTATGGTGTGTGCATCCCTATACATTATCATTTAGTGTTTCCTAAGAGTATAATTTTTAATGTATGTTTATTATTCTACTATATAAAGATACATAAATTCATACAACTTTTTAGCTTATTTTTTGGTGGTTTTAAAAAATTTTATTTTTTGGCTAGGTATCTGTTTACATAATGCAAAATTTTAAATGTTCAAAAGGGAAGGCAATCAAAAGTCTTACTACTACTTTGTTCTTCAGCCATCTGGCTATCTCTATAACCAGTTTTTAGGAAGTTGTTTTTGAGGAAAATGAGCCTAAGAATGGTATTGATATTTTTTCAGCTTTAATGTCCTAAACTAACCTCCTAAGTAGGTACAAAAATATAATTCTTAGAAAAGCATTCAAAAAGTTGATTTTTCTTTTATATGAAGTTGGCATAATTTCTGGAGTAAGATATGTGATTTTACTCTTGAACTAGTTAAATGTGTAACATTGAACAGTTAACCATGAATTGGTTGTGAAATAACCAAAGAAGGAAAATTAGGATCCAACTAGGTATAAATAGTGTGGTGGTATTTTACTTTGCTTGACTATGGAGCTGAGAGACCCAAGTTGCTTTTTTTTGTCTCTTGGGCATGATGGAAAACTCAACAGTTTCTTATGTTTTTGCTCTAGTAGATCAATAATGTCATGAAGATAACATGTTATACAAAAATGCATAATTCAGTTTGCATTAATGACAGAACTACCATCAACCTGTCTGAACAGTATACCATTTTTATGAAGCAGGGTTCTTTGGCTGTAAGAAACAAAAACAGGCTCTGCTTAACCTAAATAAAGGAAATTTACTGGGATAATTCAGGTACTCATTGTTTGGCAGAAAGGATGAAGAATCAGGCTTTGAAATGAACAGAGCCAATACAACTTATGAGGTCCAGGAACTGCTGATAACAAGAATGGTCTCATATGAAAACTGGCTTTGGATATTTTACTGGATTCTAATAGAAACTGTTCCTGATTGTGGAACACCAGGTGACTATGCAACTAGATCTACTCATCAGGATGTTATCAGATACAGTAAGTGATAAGTTTGGATGGGTGTATCATTAGACTTATGATATAAATGAAACATATGCATCCAGCTTGACCATATTCAAAAGGTATGAATGAATTATATGCACATGTATCTCAAACTTTCAGGTCATCTGTCTCTGTAGCACCAATAACCCTCCCTTAACTCACACTTGGGCCTCATGAAGGGAGGGGAGTAAGTGCCCCCTTCTGACTAAGTGATGGAATAAGAAATAACTTGGCCCAGTTTACACATGAATTCTCACAGTACATTAGCGATAGTGGAAAGTAAATTGCCACCACATTATAGTTCCACTCAAGGACGGAGGGACAGTTGTGAAAAGAAATCCTCTCTCCAGGCAGGCAATGTTATGAGTAGTGCGAATGGTCATTCACTTGGTATGGAGAGAGAAATGTACTTTGTATAGATACATGGGGACCCTGGGGAAGGTGGGAATGTCTTGGCTGGTTTGTCGGGGTAAGGCATCCTCATATTGGCTCTCCCATCTTCCCTTCCTCATTCTTCTACTCCCTCACTCCTGCTTCCCTGGGATTGCAGGGATACTAGTAAGATAGTGTCACGTGAACTTTTGTCTCAGGCTCTGTTTTGAGGGAAATCAACTTCTCTGAGATGTTCAGTGAGATATTTGTGGGCAAACCAGACTCCCTAACCAAATTACACATGCTTTACCAGAGCAACAATATATGTTCAGTGGTAGCTCAAGCTGTTTTTATGACCATTTTTCTTATTTTGGGAAGAAAATGAAGAGAAGCTTGTTCAAATTATTTTTGATAACTTTCATGTATGCCCGTTCTCTTAAAATCCTTCTACTAGGTTAACCATTTATAAAATAACTGGGTTAGCAATCAGAGATAGAAACCTGTTTGTGAACAGAATGAATAAGGAAATTGTGTCATCAACAAAACAAGAAGAGCTGGGCACAGTGGCTCATGCCTGTAATCCCAGCACTTTGGGAGGCCAAGGAGGGTGGATCACGAGGTCAGGAGTTCGAGACCAGCCTGGCCAACACAGTGAAACCTCGTCTCTGCTAAAAACACAAAAAATTAGCCGGGCGTGGTGGTGGGCACCTGTAATCCCAGCTACTTGGGAGGCTGAGGCAGGAGAATCACTTGAACCTGGGAGGTGGAGGTTGCAGAGATCCGAGATCCCACCATTGCACTCCAGCCTGGGTGACAGTGCGAGACTTGTCTCAAACAACAACAACAACAACAACAACAACACCACCACCACCAACAACAACAAGAAGAACTTATCTCCTTTCCATGAGAAAAATCAATATGTAATCAAAATTTTTATTTTATTTAAAACTACCCAAAAGATTGAATTTGACTTTTTCTAGATACCATTCACTATGTCAAAAACCTAAGCAAAGAATGTAAATAACTTTCAAAGTATTTCTTCCACTCTACTCCTGATGAGTCTAAAGTTAAACAACTGAAAACTGCCTCCCTCAGTTTAACATTTGGCACATCTCTTTTTAAGGACTTCGAAGATACCCTGTGTCCCATTACAAATAAAATATGACGGCTGGGCGCAGTGGCTCATGCCTGTAATCCCAGCACTTTGGGAGGATGAGGTGGACGGTCAGGAGTTTGAGACCAGACTGGCCACTATGGTGAAACCCTGTCTTGACTAAAAATACAAAAATTAGCCGGGCGTGGTGGTGCACACCTATAGTCCCAGCTACTTGGGAGGTTGAGGCAGAAGAATTGCTTGAACTCGGAAGGAAGAGGTTGCAGTGAGCCGAGACTGTGCCATTGCACTTTGGCCTGGGCGACAGAGCGAAACAAAAAACAAAACAAAACAAAACAAAACAAAACAAAAAAGAATGCCAGAATTTCTTTCTTTCTTTCTTTCTTTCTTTCTTTCTTTCTTTCTTTCTTTCTTTCTTTCTTTCTTTCTTTCTTTTTTTTTTTTTTTGACAGATTCTTGCTCTGTCCTGCTCTTGGCTCACTGCAACCTCCACCTCCTGGGTTCAAGAAATTTTCCTGCCTCATCCTCCCGAGTAGCTGGGACTACAGGTATGTGCCGCCACACCTGGCTAATTTTTGTATTTTTAGTAGAGACGGGGTTTCACTATGTTGACCAGGCTGGCCTTGAACTCCTGACCTCAAGGTGATCCACCCACCTCAGCCTCCCAAAGTGCTGGGATTACAGATGTGAGACACTACGCCCGGCTTTACTTTAGAATTTCTTAACTAAAGAGATGAGGAAAAGCATATAATTCCTTGGCTTCACTTTATAATGCTTGATAGAAAATGGGGGTGGATGAGGAGATATCAATAACGTTAAAAAAAAAAAAAGCAAGTTACTAACAGGAATGAGGAAGCAGAGGGAAGGTCAAAATGTAGGATGAGGTGGGCTTTCTAGCCAATATAGGACAATAAAGAAGAAAAGGAATGCCATGGTCATGGTGATAACCTTACCAGTTCCTGGTGTAGATGAGAAATGAAGCATAGCTAATCTACTAATTTTAGGTGACACCATCATGCCTTTCACTATGACTCAAAAGAATGTGTGACAAACCACTTTCTCATCAGGCCAGCTGATGGTATTGCCACTCAGAAATGGGGAGAAAATTCTTAAAGAACCACTAAGAGCTTTTCACTACTCTGAACTCTCAGCTTGAATAAAATCCACTTAGTCCTTTCTGTATTTCAGTGACTGCAATTATCAAGCATTGATAAGGAGCTTCTTGGGTTTTCAGAATGGTCATAAAAAATGATTTTCAGCTGAGTGTGGTGGCTCACACCTGTAATCCCAGCACTTTGGGACACCGAGGTGGGTGGATCACATGAGGACAGGAATTTGAGATCAGCCTCAGCAACGTGGCAAAACCCTGTCTCTATTAAAAATTCAAAAAATTAGACGGGCATGGTGGTGCACGCCTGTAATCCCAGCTACTCGGGAGGCTGAGGCACAAGAATCACTTGAGGCTGGGTGCAGTGGCTCACGCCTGTAATCCCAGCACTTTGGGAGGCCAAGGCTGGTGGATCACTAGGTCAGGAGTTCGAGACCAGCCTGGCTAACACTGTGAAATCCTGTCTCTACTAAAATACAAAAAATTAGCTGGGCGTGGTGGTGGGCACCTGTAGTCTCAGTTACTCGGGAGGCTGAGGCAGGAGAATGGTGTGAACGTGGGAGGCGGAGCTTGCAGTGAGCCGAGATTGCACCACTGCACTCCAGCCTGGGCAACAGAGCGAGACTCTGTCTCAAAAAAAAAAAAAAAGAATCGCTTGAACCAGGGAGGAAGAGGCTTCAGTGAGCCGAGATCGCCACTGCACTCCAGCCTGAGTGACAAGAACAAAACTCTGTTTCAAAAAAAAAGATTTTTATTTTATTAAATATGGGTTGAAAATAGGTGAGGTATTTATAAAAAAAATGGTTAAGGATGGTGTATTGAGCATCTTTAATGTGTGACTGTTCAGCATTCATTTCTCTTTCCTAATAACATCACATTTCTTTTAGAGGGAATTATAATTTTATTATTATTGTTGTTACTATTTGCATATAAATTTTTATATATTTGTCATTGTTGTTGTTGTTTTGGTTTTTTTGAGACAGGGTCTCACTCTGGTTGTCCAGGCTGGAGTGCAGTGGGGTGATCTTGGCTCACTGCAGCCTTGACCCCTCAGGCTCTGGTGATTCTCCCACCTCAGCCTCCTGAGTAGCTGAGACTAGAGGCAGGTGCCACTGTCCCCGGCTAATTTTTTGTATTTTTAGTAGAGGCGGGGTTTCACCATGTTGCCCAGGCTGGTCTCAAACTCCTGGGCTCAAGCAATCCACCAGCCTCGCCCTCCCAGAGTGCTGGGATTACAGGCATGAGCCGCTGTGCCTGGCCTTGTTACCATTTTGGATTCAGCCTGGTGGACTTTTACTCAGCAGACCTATACTTTCTTAGCCCAAGTCTGAATATATGGTTGAAACCAGGCCAATCAGACACCTACTCTCTGGAATTTAAATCTTGGGTAGAGGATTAAAGAGAGGATTAATCTATTCCGGGGCGAGTCCTGGATTTTGTCAACGTGAAGCCATTCTTGTGATCTCCAGATCCTGGACCACTGCGAATACCTTGGATCAGCACATTTCAAAGTCTGGTTCTCTAGCCTTACTTCCAGGCGATGAAGTCTGATATATTTCAGTAAGTTTCCTTTCCATAAATGAACTAGAGCCTCTTTCTGTTGTCTGTATCTATAGAACTCTGACTCATTCATAAGTTATATCTTACAAATTAGGCAGTTTAAAGAAAAATGGACTTTATAGCTACAAGGTAAACAGTATGAGACCATAGCTAGAAGTAATGTCATAGTTGATTATTTAAACATTTTTTTAAAGCCTGCAGAAAAAAATTTACTCATGATGAATACAATAATTTTATAGAGAAGAAAAGTGGAAACTGGAAAAAAGAAGATAACATTGAACAAAAAAATTAGAAAATATATTTTTGAGAATTTTCTTATGGCAAAAAATATAAATTAGGTGATAGGTATTTAAAAAAATATCTGACATCGATTGATTAATTAATTCATAGATTCTTACTGATGAGCATAGAGCATAGATCGTCTTCTAGCTGGAATTATTTTCTAATTACTACTTGCTCCTTATTATTCAGATCTCACAACTTTTCTGGCTAAGTCTGTAGTATTGCATGCAGAGGGATGAAATTTCAAAGCTACGAAACTTGATTTGACTTGAATCCTCCCAGAAGTGAGAATTGTACAGAGAGCTTAGTCAGATGAGATTTAATAGGATCCAAATTTCAGGATTTACTCGTTTTTCTCTTTTAGAAGGTTCAGCAACATTGATGACTTTTATGTGGGAAGAGTATCTTGATAAATCATATTAAAGAAAAAGTGAAGACCTAATTGCTTGTCACATTCCATCTGTATCATTATCCTGAACGATCATCAGGTATAACCCTCTATCAACAGACTTAATATATTATATTAACTTTCTTTTTAATGCACTTTTTTGGTGGTGAAAATGAAGGCTCATTTTTTTCCCTACCATTTTTTCCCTGTTCATTCTCACAGAAATTATGTAAAATAGAATGAGTCATAGTATATCAGGTATCTTAACCTTTATTACAGAAGCACTTTGAGAATTATTGCCCTAGCAGGTAAGCAGTTGGCATAAGGAAAAGACTGAATGGATTATGATGTGGTGATTATCCTAGACTTCACCCTCTGCTTTTTCTCAGAAGAGACAACACTTCTCTAATAGATAGTTAACTCAATCTAAGGAGAAAAGGTTCTGAAGTATTTCCAAAGTATTTCCTCTTATCTTGAGGTGGTTAAGGCTCCCTCTGAATCTGATGTCTGTGTGATTATGAATTTGCAACCCAAACTGTACTCATCATAGAAAACTTACACTGGGCCAGGCACAGGGACTCATGCCTGTAATCCCAACATTTTGGGAGGCCAAAGTGGGAAAATCACTTGAGCCCAGGAGTTCAAGACCAGCCTGGGCAACACAGCAAGACCCTGTCTTCTATACAAAACTGAAAAGAAAATAGCTGGATGTGGTGGTGTGTGCCTATAGTCCCAGTGACTTGGGAGGCTGAGGTGGGAGGATTGCTTAAACTGGGAGTTTGAGGATGCAGTTACCTGTGATCGTGCCACTGCACTCTAGCCTGGGCAACAGAATGAGACCCCATCTCTATAAAAGAAAGAACATTTACAGTAATGTTCTGTTAGTGATCTAATTCTACATATAGCCCTAGGATCTTCTTAAAAGATCCAAGAACAGCAGGATCTCCCTTAAGAAGCATTTTCTTGAAAAATATGGTCATGTCACTACTTTGTTATATTTGTTAGGAGTGCTTTTAGCTGCAAATAATGGAAAAAATCCAACAATTACTTAAACAACAAGCGCTTTTTTTTTTTCACATTAGACAGCAGCTGGTTTCAGGGCTGTTGTCTAATGACTCCGTAAGTTCATCAAGGATGCAGTTTGTTTTTATTTTTATATTCAGCCATACATAGCATATTTATTTGTTGCTTTATAGTCTCAAAATAGATGCCATAGCTCTATGCATCACTTCTATAATGAAGACAAGAAAAGGCAAGGGGTAGTGACAATGGCTTCTCCTCTAATTTTTTTTTTTTTTTTGAGACGAAGTTTTGTTCTTGTCGCCCAGGCTAGAGTGCAATGGTACAATCTCGGCTCACTGCAACCTCCGCCTCCTGGGTTCAAGCAATTCCCCTGCCTCAACATCCCCAGTAGCTGGGACTACACTACGCCTGGCTAATTTTTTGTATTTTTAATAGAGACGGGGTTTCACCATTTTGGCCAGGGTAGTCTCGAACTCCTGATCTCAGGTGATCCACCCGCCTCAGCCTCCCAAAGTGCTGGGACTATAGGCATGAGCCACCAGGCCCAGTCTTCCTCTCATTTTTTCCTTTTTTAAAAAAGCAAAGCCCTCACAGATTTGAAATAACCTGTCAGTCAGGCACAGTGGCTCACGCCTGTAATCCCAACACTTTGGGAGGCTGAGCCGGGCCAGATCACTTGGGGTCAGGAGTTTGAGACCAGCCTGGCCAACATGGCAAAATCCCTTCTCTACTAAAAATATAAAAATTAGCCAGGCCTGGTGGCACGTGCCTCTAATCCCAGTTACTCAATAGGCTAAGGCAGGAGAATCACTTGAGCCCAGGAAGCAGAGGTTGCAGTGAGTGGAGATTGCATCACTGCACTCCAGCCTGGGTGACAGAGTGAGACTCTGTCTCAAAAAAGAAAAAAAAAATAACTAATTGCCAGGTGTGATGGCTCACGCCTGTAATCCCAGCATTTTGGGAGGCCGAGGCGGGTGGATCACCTGAGGTCGGGAGTTTGAAACCAGCCTGACCAACATGGAGCAACCCTATCCCTACTAAAAATACAAAATTAGCCAGGCGTGGTGGTGCATGCCTGCAATCCCAGCTACCTGGGAGGCTGAGGCAGGAGAATCACTTGAACCCAGGAAGCAGAGGTTGCAGTGAGCTGAGATCACACCATTGCACTCCAGCCTGGGCAACAAGAGTGAAACTCCGTCTCAAAAAAAAAAATTAATTAAAAATAAAAATAAACCTGTCAGAGGTCACTCAGACATGAAGCAGAGAAGCAAGGATTCTCACCCCAGCTGTCCACTTCTTAAGCCAGTGCTCTTGACCATTGCCTTCTTTGGAGCAGTGATGGCTACTCTATGAGATTATAATCTTTTTTTTTTCCATTATACTTCTCCTTCATAACCTCAAGTTTTCAGTAAGTTCTGTTAAATGCTGTAGCTTGGCTTTAGCTCTGCTTTGTGAGTTAAGGGAGGGGCCTCTGTTAACACTTATGAGAAAAATTTGGGCAGACAATACTGGCCAGGAGAAGCTTATTAAAGTGAGCTGAGGGGATTGGAGCAGGATGGCTACCTGAGGGGATGATAACAGCAGTGTGAGCTTGAGGAATATGCCTCTTTCAGACAGAGAGATGTCTAAGAACTTGAAGCACCCTCAGAAATGTATGGAATTATGGAAACTTGAGTTGTCATTACCTGGATTGTTAAATAAGGAGCTCAGAAAGCTGGGGAATTTGACATATGGTTGCATGAGTCTCTGATATTTGGTTTCTACTCCTAGACTTAATGTAAATTGGACATATAGACCTAACCAAATCCCACCTTGCTGCTAATTCCAAATACAACCTTGCACTCTACTCTGTTCACCTCTTGAGCTCAAGAGGGGTTGGATTGTTCAGGCTGCATAGAGCCTAAAGGTATCCTACAGCAGAAGGCTTTTAACGACATAAAACACATTATCAGGTGTTCCATAGGTGATGTACAGAGAAAAACCCATATTTGGAGATTGCGCTGAACTGGAAATTGCTGCTGCAGTTATGAAGATTTTTATGCACCTGAAGCAGGAAAGAACTATCTCTTATTCAAATGCTACAAAAAGCGAGATTTTCTTCTCTATTATCCAAAGAACCTACTATGAGGAAATAAAAGGGATTGAAAAACTCTTAAAGCCCCACCCATAGCAACCGGACAACTTTTCAGGAATCTAATATATAACAATCTATGAATTAGGGATTACTCTTCCCATTTTACAGAGTTGAGCACAGTGTTGCTTATTTGAGGTAACACAGCTGCTCACTAGTAGAACTAGCAGAGCTGGCACAGAAACCAGTGACTGTACTATACTTTTTCTTGCACTCTGTTCAGCTTTTATCAAAATTTCCAAGGTTCTCTTCCAATGGGAGGCCATGTATGTCCACACATTAATGTAAAAATGATTAGGTTTGAGTGTTTAATGAAAAATTCTGTATATTATAGATGTTATACAAGGCTTAAACAGGTCACTAACCAAGCAAGCAAACCAGAACTGATTTACTTTGGAATTGGTAAAAATCATCACATAAACAATGTATACACAAAGCAGATTCACTTGACTTTTATACATTTTTCTAAATTCCTAAAGAATGTAGGATTTGGGAAACCATCAATATGATAATTTAATGTAGAGTTTTAAAAAGTACGTGCTTTAGGTGGGTGCTAATAATACATTAATAAATTCCATGTAAGCTCAGGTAAGTACCAAATGGCCTTTTGGTATACTTCCACCATCGGGTTTGCTTTCTACATCTCTTTGGTTACCCTATAGTCTTCCCTGCGTTAATCAACCCAATACCACTTTTCATTGTTGGGAAGAGTTTCCCATAAAGTTCCTCAATTAATTCCTGTTCTCTTTCATTCCCTACCCACATGAACTCCTGTAAATGAGCACTTGTCTCACCGACAGAACAATGTAACAGGGAGAAACCACATGAAAACATTGCTTCACTGTCCTGTCCTTGTTCAAGCATTGTGTCCACTACCTTTGATAACATGACAAGTTTTGGGTTTTGGGTTTCTGTCATGACTACAGCAAACCTTGACTGCCTACTACTTGCCAGACATTGTGTAGGTGAAGATCGGAGAACAAGACTGATCCCAGATTCTGCTTTCATAAAGCTTATGTTCCAATGGGAGCCAATAGAAAATGGAAGGTAGAGATAAGCTCCTGGCATGAGTGCTCTGTTACAAATGACAATAGAGATGAGATAGGGAATAATGGGTTGGGGCAGGCAAGGTTGCTCTGACCAGGTTTTTTTAAAACTGAAATCTGCCTCACAAGAAGGAGCCAGAAAATCAGGCTTCGACCTGTTTGAACATCTGATCAGGTGAGATACTTTTGGCAAATCATTAAAACTTTCAGTCTGTGTTTTCCTCTTCAAATAAGAAACATGACAAGGTGGGATGCGGTGGCTCACGTCTGTAATCCCAGCAATTTGGGAGGCCAAGACGGGTGGATCACCTGAGGTCAGGAGTTCGAGACCAGCCTGGCCAGCATAGAGAAACCCTGTCTCTACTAAAAATACAAAATTAGCCGGGTGTAGTGGTGCATGCCTGTAATCCCAGCTACTCGGGAGGCTGAGGCAAGAGAATCGCTTGAACCCGGGAGGCAGAGATTGCAGTGAGCTGAGGTTGTGTCATTGCACTCCAGCCTTGGCAGCAAGAGCAAAACTCTGTCTCAAGAAAAAAAAAAAAAAGAAACATGACAAATCTATAGAACTGTGAAGAACAAGGAAATAATTTCTCAGATAACTTCATATGTGGGAAGAGAATTAACTATGCTAGGTCAGCCATTGAACATAGAATTTATGTCAACTATCTCACTAATCATAATTCCCATAAAATATAAAGGGCTATAAAATGATTTGTTGTTGTCATTCAACTCTCCCCAGGTCAGTTTTCTGTAGTCCTCCTTTCCTAAAATGACTCCTGTGGCCACTCAAGCTGAATGTGGAAAAAATAGCGCAACTGCTTATTTTCCCTCTATGCCTTTCCTATGCCAACTTTCTCTTAGTGTTGGGCAATGTTATAACTTTCTAATATTATTTTCTTTTATTTTATGTGAGACGGAGTCTCGCTCTGCCACCCAGGCTGGAGTGCAGTGGCATGATCTCGGCTCACTGCAACCTCCACCTCGCGGGTTCAAGTGATTCTCCTGCCTCACTCAGCCTCCTGAATAGCGGGGATTACAGGTGCCTGCCACCCAGCCTGGCTAATTTTTGTATTGTTAGTAGAGACGGGCTTTCACCATGTTGGTCAGGCTGGTCTCGAACTCCTGGCCTCAGGTGATCCGCCCGCCTTGGCCTCCCAAAGTGCAGGGATTACAGGAGTGAGCTACTGCACTCAGCCCTAATATTTTAATCATGCCTGTAATCCCACCACTTTGGGAGGCTGAGGCCTCGCTTGAGGCCAGGAGTTTGAGACCATTCTGTGCAACATAACAATACCCCATCTCGACAAAAAATGTTTTAAAAAAATTAGCCAGGTGTGGAGATGTGTGCCTGTAGTCCTAGCTACTTGGGAGGCTGAGGCAGGAGGATTGCTTGAGCCCAGGAGTTTGAGATTAAATAGTGAGGACAATGGAGTGAGACCCTATCACTAAAAAATAAAAATAAAAACATATTTCAATCAAGGATTTTTGTTGTAACCTTCAAATCTTTGTTGTCTTGTACTCTTAACATCCATGTGGTTGCTCAGACTATCTTTGGATCCTATACAGGCAAGGGCAGAACAAAACTGCATGAGCTTTTGACACAACCACTTCCTGGCTGGGTGATGTTAAATTATTTATCTATTTGCATTTCATCTATAAAGTAGGGATGATAGTAGTACCTACCTCATAGGATTGTTGTTGTAAAGAGTAGGCTGGGCATGGTGACTCATGCTTGTAATCTCAGCACTTTGGGAGGCTGAGATGGGAGGATGGCTGAGCTCAGAAGTTCAAGGTTATAGTAATCTATAATTGCACCACTGCACTGTCTCAAAAAAAAAAAAAAAGGAGCAAATACCTCTAAAGTTACTTCAAATAATAAACACTTTATAACTGTTGCCTATTTTATAACCCACTTCCTGAATCTATTTCTTTTTTATCTTATCCAGGCCTTTGCTATCTCACTTAAGTTATTGCCACTCCCTTGTGTATAGCGATGCCACACAGCTATATGCAACCTTGTCTTAATTGCCTATAATTCCGTCATTCATGCACTCCACAAATATTTATAAAGCACTTATTATGTGTGTGTCATTGTCCTAGTGGCTATGGCAAACTCTTAAAATAGAAAATATAGTCTGCCATCAGTAAGGTCAAAATCTAGCTGAGGAAGGGACTAATATACATGGAAAATGCTACAGAACAATATGAGTTAAATAGCCTTATAAATTAACACAAGAGGGCTGGACACTGTGGCTCACGCCTGTAATCCCAGCACTTTGCGAGGCCAAGGCGGGCAGATCACCTGAGGTAAGGAGTTCGAGACCAGCCTGGCCAACATGTGAAATCCCATCTTTACTAAAAATACAAAATTAGCCAGGTGTGGTGGCAGTCACCTGTCATCTCAGCTACTAGGGAGGCTGAGGCAGGAGAATTGCTTGAACCCGGGAGGCAGAGGTTGCGGTAAGCCAAGATCACACCACTGCACTCCAGCCTGAGTGATAGAGTGAGACTCTGTCTTTTTTTTTTAAAAAAATTAATTAATTAATACAAGAGGAGTCTAAGACATTACATGTGAGTGTTCCATTTACAAACATTCATGTCATCCTTTATTGCTATAAGAATTAGTATGCATTTTTTCCAGGCTTATGCAGTATTTATTAAATTTTCTCTTGATCCTTATACTAATCCCCTCATTAGATTTAAGTATCTTTGAGACCAGGCATGGTGGCTCACGCCTATAATCCCGGCACTTTGGTAGGCTAAGACGGGCAGATCTCTTGAGGCCAGGAGTTCAAGACCAGCCTGGTCAACATGGTAAAATCCTGTCTCCACTAAAAATACAAAAATTAGCAAGGCATGGTGGTGCATGCCTGTAATCTCAGGTACTAGGGAGGCTGAGGCAGGAGAATTGCTTGAACCAGGGAGGCAGAGCGCTGAGATCTCACCACTGCACTCCAGCCTGTGCTACAGACTGAGACTCCATCTCAAAAAAAAAAAAAAAAAAAAGAAAAAGAAAAAAAGAAAGAAGATTTAAGTATCTTTGAGAAGAGGGACTGGATCTACAGCAGAGTATTAGTGCATAGGCTCCGGGGGCAGAAGGATCTCTTCTCTGCTACTTGCTAACTGTGAGAGGAAAAGTTGCTCAGCTTCTCTCAGCCTCATTTCCTCATCTAGAAAATGAGGAAAAAATAATACTTTTTTGGGTTAATGTGGGATTGAATGATATAATTCATGTGAACCCTTATGCAAAATCTGGCATTTGTAAGTGCTCAATAAACATAAATTATAAAAATAACTGTGTTTTATAGAACTTCTGGTATGTGAAAAATCTATAATAATCTATAAAATCTATAATTTATAGAGTATCTAGTACAGTGCTGTGTCAATAGTGGACAGTGAATTAAATGTGTTATTATATAGGTTAATAGACAATGAAAACTTTCTACCCTCACCCTCAAAGGCATAAAATGCATGGTATTTTAATATTTACTAAAGTAAGAGATTTAAACTTATAAATATAGGAATTAACACTGAAAATATTAGCCAATGTCTTTCCAGTAAGTATCTTGTTTCGGAACATTGTTCTACTGATATTATCTAATTTAGTGGAACGTCAAGTATTTGTCATCACACTCTAAATGAAATAATAAAACTTAGAATCTACGGACTGTGAAAATACAACAGAGATATAGCAAGGTAAAAGTTTTGCCTATGGCACACCATTTCTTTAGAAACAGAACAGCTGGGTTCATGGGGGAGGATTGTGTGAGCTCAAGAGTTTGAATCCAGCCTGGGCAACAGAGTAAGTCCCTGTGTCTAAAAGAATAAAAAGAAGTAGAATAGAGTGCTTTAAAATTTTCAGATGCTATTCTTCTTTAGAAATTAGATAATGTGCCTTTCAGTAATTGGTAAAATGCCAATTCTCAAAGACCTTCAAATATGAATCTGTAATTAAAATCAGAAATTTGAGCCACAAAATTATAGAGACACATATTCTTCTCATGTTTCATTATTTATCTTTATTTCTTGGCACTCTTACTCCTCTATTGCATATGTGTATATATACATATTACATGTTACATATAATATGTCTATTCTGCTTATATATTTTATATTAAGAGTGAACACATAAGACTTATAATGATAAGCTGCTATAGGCTGCTGCTTTGGAGTAAATATGGGGATCCAAGGAGCCATAGAAATAATTTCTTCTGGCTGGGCGTGGTGGTTCATGCCTGTAATCTCAGCACTTTAGGAGGCTGAGGCGGGCGGATCACCTGAGGTCAGAAATTCGAGACCAGCTTGGCCAACATGGTGAAACCTCATCTCTACTAAAAATACAAAAATTAGCCGGACACGGTGGCACATGCCTGTAATCCCAGCTACTTGGGAGGCTGAGGCAGGAGAATCACTTGAACCCGGGAGGCAGAGGTTGCAGTGAGCCAAGATTGAGCCACTGCACTCCAGCCTGGGCGACAGAGCAAGACTCCGTCTCAAAAAAAAAAAAAAAAGAAATGATTTCTTCTTTCTTTCTGTTCCAAGGGCACCTGAGATACAATGATTCACCTCCTTGATTTTTGAAAATTGAATCAACTTTTGAAAAGCAATTTTGGTTTTATAAAGTCATAGTTTATAAAGCTTCAGAAGTCATTCCCAGGGGATGCTTGAGGATGAATCATCAAAGAACTGATACCTGAATCAGAGAGTGATCATTCATGGGGCTTAGAAGTGTCAGACAAATAGGCTCATGATTTGGCTTTACATAAACGGGCCAGGAAGAGATGGTTGAGGAATCTATAGTCATGGTACTGGGAAGGTCAAGGGAGGAATATCTCCTCTCCATGCAGGTTTTGCCTTTTGTCAACAACAGAGACCCAAGATCTGATGGACACAATAACTCAGTGTTTCCTAGGATAGCCTAAAAGTTTCCAAACCTGAATTAAATTCTAGAAAATTAAATTCTTTAAACTGAACATCTGGACAGTCCTGCTGAGATGCCAACCTCAAACTGTTGGAGTTGAAATCTAAGGAACATTTCTTCCATCTGACCTGAAGAGTTTGGGAAAAGGGAAAGAAAATGGACTTTTGTCACCTATAAGCTGAGTCAGATGGCTGATTACATTTCATTAAATTTTGTTAAGAAATCTGTGCTCTGCAAATTCATTGCTTTTAACACATTTGCATTTCCTTTACTTCCTTGTAGTTTTACAATGAAAGCACTTTTCATTTTGTTTTAAACCAACCCGGGGTCTTTGTGACCTAATTCTCCTAACAGATAGAGTCCTTCATGTTGAAGCAGCTAACCAAAGCAGACATTCAGGAAAAAATAATGGGGTGACAAAATATATTTTGTCTTATCAGACCTGGAAGGGTTGAGGAAGAGATTTGGGGAGAGGAAAGAGGGGGCAATAAGACATTGGAGAAATGTTAATAAAGAGTACCAATGGTGTTCACATCTACAAACATAACCCAAAGCAGAATAGTCTGTAAAATGTGAAGTTCAAAGCCAAATCAGCACTTCAGGCAAAAATGACATTTCTTTCTCAGCTTTATGAGACAGAATCCTGTAAGCCATATAACTTCGAATATCTTTAAAAGTGCAATCATTTCTCAAAAGTACTCAGCCTGAAGTGTGATTTTAAAGTTGGATTTAGATGTAAAATTTAAGCCATTACACCTACACCTGTGTGTTTACTGAACTTTATATAGATGTGTATTTACTGGGCAACCATTGATATTGTCTTCCTCGAGTACATGCTGTTCTGTGCCTGGAAAAGCTTTGCTGTCTTTGTGTGGTTGCCTTAAATGTCAAGGCTGCTGCTGCAATCCCTCCTACCTCAGCAGGGCCGTGTGCACACCCACTAGCCTTAATAAAGATGTAAGGTCTTAGGAAACAGAGTTAAGATAGAAAAGTGTCCTTTTATGCATGAACCCAGTCAGAACTCTGCCTTGATGTTTAATTCACTCATAGCTTTAAACATGTAACAACAGTTAGGTGCACAAGTGTTGTGAAGTCACTGTATAATTACGGATGTTTTCAAAGGAATTAGCATATAGTTACTATGAACAACATGTCCTATTTTGTGGAAACCATGCAATTAATTTGTCCTAGACTAATAAATTAAAGGTAGTATAAGCTTATATAACAGCTGCAGAAAGGACAGGATGGCTGGCAACACATTTATTGAGACCACTTTGAACTTATTAGCCTTTCTACTCAGTGCATAGATAGGTGTGTCCTGATTTAAGGAAGTTATGCACATGCCTGCATTTACAAAATAGATGTTTTAGGAAGTTTGAACATATTTGGTTAGGAGAAAGAACATAAAGTAGAATGAAGAAGAAGGAAAAAGTTGTGAAAATGATGCTCGTATAATTTGAAGTAGAACCAGAATGACAGTAAAACATACGTTAATTTTTTTTTTTTTTTTTTGAGATGGAGTTTCACTCTTGTTGCCCAGGCTGGAGTGCAATGGCGTCATCTTGGCTCACTGCAACTTCCGCCTCCCGGGTTCAAGCGATTCTCCTGCCTCAGCCTCCCGAGTAGATGGGATTACAGGCACACACCACTACGCCCGGCTAATTTTTTGTATTTTTAGTAGAGACGGGGTTTCACCATGGCCAGGCTGGTCTTGAACTTCTGACCTCAGGAGATCCGCCCGCCTCGGCCTCCCAGAGTGCTGGGATTACAGGCGTGAGCCACCGCGCCCGGCCACATATGTGAATTTATAGTGAAACCACACTAGCACATGGCACTTGCAGAAATTCAGTTTATAGGCAATTTATCAGAAACTCATCTATTGCAATTAGAAAGACATCCCTGTACCATACCCAGGAAGTTATTGATTATTTATTATATGTTAAAAGACTCTTTAATCTTCTTTTGTGTCTTCTGCCCATTCATATTTCATTATAACTGGCCTAAATTTGATTGAAAAAGAGAAACAGTTCTCCAGTTTATTTTTCCATGGAGGCTTTGGGAGGATTCTCAAGGATTTTACCGATCACCTTTGGATCTCCTTTAGAATTTGGCTTTGGTGTGTTTTGAGGAAAAGACCTAGGGTCTTCCAGCTTACGCAGGAATTGCTAGAAGTGGATGGCTGACCTCATAAGTGCCCAGCCCTGAAGTGGTGATTAATGCCAATTTTGGCATTTTTGGATGTCTTCCAAGCAAAAAGCATTGCTGTAGGGCAGGGAGCACACTGACTTACACTCCAGGTTAAAGTGCTGGAAGATCTGGGGTCTTGGTGACCTCTCAGCTTTCAGTCAGGGGCACCTCATCAGCATGGTCACCATAGAGAAGAGAAAGGTGCTGGTTAACCCTACCCTGGGAAAGGGCCAGATAGTTGGTAAAACATTATTTCTGAATGTGTGTATGAGGGTAGTTTCAGAAGAGCTTAGCATTGGAATCAGTAGACTGAGTAAAGAAGATCCACCTTCACCACTGTGGGCAGGCATCATTCAACCCGTTGAGGGCCCTAATCAAAAAAAAAAAGGTTGAGGAAGGATGAATTCACTGTCTCTTCTTGAGTGGGGTGTCTGTCTTTTCCTGCCCTTGGATATCTGCACTTTTTCATACTTGAACTGGGACTTATACCATTGGCTCCCGTTGGTCCCAGGCCTTTGGGCTTGGAATGGGACTTAAGCACCAGCTTTCCTGTGCATCCAGCTTGCAGACAGATCATGAGACTTCTCAGCCTCCATAGGCATGATACCCTTTTGGTAGCCGGGCGTGGTGGCACATGCCTGTAATCCCAGCTACTTGGGAGACTGCAGGAGAATCGCTACAGCCTGGGAGACAGAGGTTGCAGTGAGCTGAAGTTGCACCACTACACTCCAGCCTGGGAAACAGAATGAGACTCTGTCTCAAAAATAATAATAATAATAAATAAAAAATAAAAATAAAATAAAATAGATACCTTTTGGATCTGTTTCTTTGGAGAACTCTGGCTAATGCACTCCATGTCATGTGGCAAAATTCCTAATTCTGGTTAGGGTAAGGTTAAGTTTAGGCTCAATATCTGGAGGAAGAAATTTATTTCCTTGTGTTTTTTGCTTGATTGGTCATCATAAGGTTGGCATCATCTGTTGGCAATCTCTCCAAGAGAGGATCCACTCACTTACGGAGGTAGGTATCATACATTCTTATTTAGAAACTAATCCTCTTAATGTTTCTGCTGTTACCCATCTATTCTCAACCTTACACGGATGACCTGAAAACAGGCAGGAAGAGATACAATTGTCATCTAACTCGAAGAAGGACAGAGGCAGTGTACTCTTCTGGCAGCAGTGTAAAGACTTCAAACCAAATAGTTTACTTTTAACTGAATCTTTTGCACATGTGTTTGAGTATTTTCTTTTCCTATGTAATAGAGTAAATTCAATGAAATGTTATTTTATTTAAAATAGATAGCATTTTCTCAATTATTTCTATATTTTAAAAATAAAATACAGGCGCCAGGTGCAGTAGCTCACATCTGTAATCAGCACTTTGGGAGGCTGAGGCAAGTGAATCACCTGATGTCAGGAGTTCGAGACCAGCCTGGCCAACATGGTAAAACCCTGTGTCTACTAAAAACACATAAATTAGCTGGTTGTGGTGGCATGCGTCTGTAATCTCAGTTACTCCTCAGGAGGCAGAGCCAGGAGAATCACTTGAACCCAGGAGACGGAGGTTGCAGTGAGCCAAGATTGTGCCATTGCACTCCAGCCTGGGTGCAGAGTGAGACTCCATCTCAAAATAATAAAGAAATAAATAAATAAGTAAATAAATAAATGAATAAATAAAATCCAGGTCGGGTGTGGCGGCTTACGCCAGCCATCCCAGCACTTTGGGAGGCCAAGGTGTGTGGATCATTTGAGGTCAGGAGTTTGAGACCAGACTGGCCAACAAGGTAAAAACCCATCTCTTCTAAAAATACAAAAATTAGCCAGGTAGTGGTGGTGCACACCTGTAATCTCAGCTACTTGAGAGGCTGAGGCATGAGAATTGCTTGAGCCTGGGAAGTGAAGGTTGTGGTGAGCTGAGATTGTGCCACTGCACTCCAGCCTGAGTAACAGAGTGAGACCCTGTCTCCAAAGAATAAATAAATAAATACAATAAAATACAGACAAGTAGCTTTTGAATTAAAAGGAAATCTTATTCCAGGCTATTTAGATATACTTCCAGCAGAAATTTAAATTGTATAATAAATGCTACTCTTATCTCTTTAGCATTGTGTATTTATTGGATAAATTACATGAAAAGCTAATTTCGTACAGCAAAAATACTCATTTAGCTTAGTTAAAGTGTTCTATGATTTTTACGGCCCATTTCCCACATCTAAAATGGTTATATTTTAAAAAGAATACAAATTAAGCATTTTTGCTTAGTAGTATATCAATTTTTTATCATGATCCTTAGCAAAAATTCAATATTATTTTACCTGCTTTGATATCTGCTATATTTATTTGTTATGGATTGCCAGTTTAAAATTGGAGGACAGAATTCATTTTCAAGTGACTTTCCAGAAAGATTCTGTGATCAATTTAAGATAAACATTATTTGGTATGTTCAAAATTTTGTTAAGATTTAATACTCTTGGAATTTCTTCTACCAATTCACTTGCTTTTTTTTTTTTGGTAAACTTTATTTTATTCTTCTCTGAGATGGAGTCTTGCTTTGTTGCCCAGGCTGGAGTGCAGTGGCGTGATCTCGGCTCACTGCAACCTCTACCTCCTCAGTTTAAGTGATTCATGTGCCTCAGCCTCCCAAGTAGCTGGGATTACAGGCACCTGCCACCATGCCCAGCTATCAGTTGCTTTTTTTAATTGCAGAAGACACTGTTTTTGAGTAATAACAATGAAAATTCACACCTCTAATTCCATATATTCTCATATTCTTCCAGACAATTATTGGGAAAAGAAAGCTGTAGGGGGCTTATTGGTCAAAGAAAATGAAGAGATGAATTTCCCTTCATGAAAAAGGCTGAAAGGAAGGCAGGAAAAGTGATGACAATGGCTTCCTGCTCATCAAGGTATGGAGCAGAGTTTTGAGGAGTCCAGGAAAGGGGATCGATCAACCTGAGCTCTGCCTCTTACTACCTGTGGGATGCTGGGCAAATTACCTAGCAGCCTGACCTTCTCTTTTCTCACTTGCAAAGGGAGAATAGTGCTTAACTAATAAAGCAGTTATGAGAATTAAGCTAAATGACATAATATATCTAGAGCACTTAACACAGTAGTAGGTATTATCATTTGTGATAAAAGGTGTATATTCTCAATATCAAGCTCCCAGACCCTTCCCTAAGGAGAAATTAGTCTCTGCTTGGGATATTTATGATTGTGAGTTTATCTTGTCAGAAAAGCAGCTGGATATTATTAATATGGAAAAACTTCCCTGATGTGCAGTATTGGTTAGCTGATCACACAATTTTAGGATTATGAAGTGTTAAGAGTTTATAAAATTAAATGCCTTCAAAGCTAGTAGATTTTTTATTTTTTTGAGATGGGGTCTTGCTCTGTTGCCCGGGCTGGAATGCAGTGGCGTGATCTCGGCTCACTGCAACCTCCATCTCTTCGGTTCAAGCAATTCTCCTGCTCAGCCTCCCAAGTAGCTGGAATTACAGGTGCCCACTACCACGCTGGGCTAATATTTGCATTTTTAATAGAGATGGGGTTTCACCACATTGGCCAGGCTGGTCTCAAAATCCTGGCCTTAGGTGATCCGCCCACCTCGGCCTCCCAAAGTGTTGGGATTACAGGCGTGAGCAACCACGCTCAGCCCTGTTTTATTTATTGTAAGGCTCCATGCAGGATTTTGAGGATTTATACCACTGAAAAACTCTGACGTCTGTGTTCATTATTATACATAGGATTGGATAGAAGGATCTGTCTCCTGAAGCCCATGCAAGAAGACAAGTTTGAGTTCTCTTAACATTCAGGTTAGCTTTTGAGTTATCAAAGCAAAAAATATTAAAGAGTAGTGTTGAAAGATAATTTTGGCATTTTTGGATGTCTTCCAAGCAAAAAGCCTTGACAACTTTGTTACAGAATATTTGCAAAGTTTGCTGTAGGGCAGGGAGCCGATTGACTTACACTCCAGGTTAATAAATCTAGTTTCCCTCCCTCCTTGGAGACAGTCCAGGTGATAAAGATAATATCTCTTTCTGTGTCAGAAGGCAGATTTGTTTCCTGATCAAGATAATAAAGACAGGCCGGGTGTGGTAGCTCATGCCTGTAATCCCAGCACTTTGGGAGGCCAAGGAGAATGGATTGCTTGAGCCCAGGAGTTCGAGACCAATCTGGGCAATATGGTGAAACCCCATCTCTATTAAAAATACAAAAACAGGCCAGGCACGGTGGCTCACACCTGTAATCCCAGCACTTTGGGAGGCCGAAACAGGTGGATCACTTGAAGTCAGGAGTTTGAGACCAGCTGGCCAACATGGTGAAACCCCATCTCTACTAAAAATACAAAAATTAGCCAGGTGTGGTGGCTCATGCCTGTAGTCCCAGCTACTCAGGAGGCTGAGGTAGGAGAATCACTGGAACCCGGGAGGTGGAGGTTACAGTGAGCTAAGATTGCACCACTGCACTCCAGCCTGGGTAACACAGCAAGATTCTTTCTCAAATAATAATAATAATAATAATAATAATAATAAAATAAACATACAAAAACTGAGGTGGGGGGATCACCGGAGCCTGGGGAGGTTGAGGCTGCAGTGAGCCATAATCACACCACTGCACTGCAGCTGTGGCAATGGAGTGAGACTCCGTCTCAAAAAAAAAAAAAAAAAAAAGAAGAAAATAAAGGCAATGTCTTTAGCTATAGAGGTGGATGAGTGGATATTACTGCAGCTCCTTTGAAAGATCGGGTTAGCTGTTACACAAACCCACTGTGTGTGCAGCATCTGCCTGGGCCTACCTCTGCATCTTTGCCCTGGGACCTGGGGGCAAGAGGGAATCAATGTGCACATGAAGATCATGCTGTTGGCTGTGCCATGTGTAATATGTGAATAAACTGAACAAATCCATTTGGGCTCATTGTCTCCCTACTGACTGAATCTGTGGAAGTTTGGCAAACTGACCTAGCAGCTGTCGTGTGACTGCTGTTCAGGATCTCTTTGGCTGCTTGACAGGTAGGATGTTCACCTCCAAAAACATGTTGATCACGAGTTCCTTACCTGAAAGGCAAATTCCCATTCTTATCTATGCTTTCAACTTTGTAGGAGAGTCCATAGTCATGTGAGAGATATTAGTAAAAGTATTAATGATATTTAGGTTAATGTGTATATGAGTACTTTAAAACTCATAAATGTCTTAAGTACAAATTTATTAGTTTTGTCAATAATTGCCTTCCTGCTATCTTAAGGAGCATTTCCCTCTCATCCATCCATCACCAAAGTTACTATTTTGATTAGGAGATCCTGATCAACTTCTACAAACAATGTTCAGCCGGGTGTGGTGGCTCACACCTGTAATCCCAGCACTTTGGGAGGCTGAAACAGGTGGATCACCTGAGGTCAGGAGTTTCAGAGCAGCCGGGCCAACATGGTGAAATCCCATCTCTACTAAAAATACAAAAAATTAGCTGGGCATGGTGGTGCGTGTCCATAGTCCCAGCTACTCAGGAGGCTGAGGCAGGAGACTCACTTGAACCCGGGAGGCAGAGGTTGCAGTGAGCCGAGATCATGCCACTGCACTCCAGCCTAGGCGACAGAGTGAGACTCTGTCTCAAAAAAAGAAAAAGAAACACAATTTTAATCTGTCCACATTCTGAAAATAACAGATGCTGGAGAGGTCATGGAGAAAAATGAATTCTTATATACTGTTGGTGGGAGTCTAAATTAGTTCAACTATTGTGGAAGGCAGTGAGGCTATTCATCAAGAATCTAGAACCAGAAATATAATTTGGCGCAGCAATACCATTACTGACTATATGCTCAAAGGAATATAAATTGCTTATTATAAAGACACATGTACGCATATATTCATTGCAACACTATTCACAATAGCAAAGACATGAAATCAATCTAAATGCCCATCGAAGATAGACTGGATAAAGAAAATGTGGGACATATCACCATGGAACACTATGCAACCATATAAAAGAATGAGATCATGTCCTTTGCAGGGACATGGATGGAGCTAGAGGCCATTATCCTTAGCAAACTAATGCAGGAACAGAAAACCAAATGCCACATGTTCTCACTTGTAAGTGGGAGCTAAATGATGGGAAGACATGAACACATAGAGGGGAACAACACACACTGGGGCCTATTGGAGGGTAGAGGGTGGGAGGAGGGAGAGGATCAGGAAAAATAACTAATGGATACTAGGCTTAATACCTGGGTGATGAAATAATCTGTACAACCCCCCATGATACAAGTTTACCTATGTAACAAACCTGCATGTAACCCTGAACTTAAAAGGTAAAAAAAAAAACAACTAAAAAAAACAAATAGTGTCTTTAAGTAACAAGACAAAGTGGATAAAATGCATAGAATAAATCTAAATCTTTCTTTTAAAACTTGCAGGTTTCACTGGGGAGAAAGATGGGGAGATACAGGGTGTCCACATTCTGACACATTAACTTAGCACTTTGGTTCTAACATACTGAAACAAATTTAGGGCTTCCTTACTAAGGACCTTGCTACTTTGATTCTCACAATAACAGTAGGTATTACTGACACAACTGGTCCAGAAGTTATTTACCTCAGAGCCAGTATAATGCTTTGGGTATATTCTCTTGCGTGGTAAATCATCTTTTAATATGTACCTTGGTCTAGAATGCAGAACTGCAGTGCCAATCTGAAACTAGATTGAACCTGTCCACTGGCAAAAGACAAAGCACTCTTGTAAAGCTCTCTAGTGTTTTTGTCTGCTACATCTTTACTTAAATGCTGTCAATTGGTCTTTACATCTGGGTAGTCTTCTGGGATTTTTTTTCTTTTTTTTTGAGACGGAGTCTGGCTCTGTTGCTTAGGCTGGAGTGTAGTGGCGCTATCTTGGCTCACTGCAACCTCCACCTCCTGGGTTCAAGTGATTCTCCTGTCTCAGTCTCCTGAGTAGCTGGGACTATAGATGTGTGTGGCACCACACTCGGTTATTTTTAAATTATTTTTGATTTTTAGTAGAGACAGGGTTTTGACAGGTTTTGCCATGTTGTTCAGGCTGGTCTTCAACTCCTGACCTCAGGTGATCTGCCCTTCTTGGCCTCCTAAAGTGCTGGGATTACAGGCGTGAGCCA
Organism: Homo sapiens; assembly: GCF_000001405.40. Taxonomy (NCBI): domain Eukaryota; kingdom Metazoa; phylum Chordata; class Mammalia; order Primates; family Hominidae; genus Homo; species Homo sapiens. The sequence goes on along the minus strand of NC_000006.12, from coordinate 63,484,232 downwards.
TTGTGCTTGCCCAGATTTTTGATGCCTATTTATTTTAGGATGGATTGGTGGTGCATGAATTAGTTTTCTGTTTTGTTTTGAGACAAAGTCTTGCTCTGTTGCCTAGGCTGGAGTGCAGTGGTGCCATCATAGCTCACTGTAACCTCGAACTCCTGGGCTCAAGCAATCCTCCCACCTCAGCCTCCTGAGTAGCTAGGACTACAGGTGCTTGCCCACATGCCTGGGTAATTTTTTATGTTTCATTTTTTAACTTGGAAACCTAGTTGATTGCATGTTATGGGCTGAACTGTACTCCCTCAAATTCATTAGTGCTAACCCCTAGTACCTCAGAATGTGACTACTGGAGATACTTCTTTAAAGATTCTCAGAGTAGATGACAGAGTGAGACCCTGTCTTAAAAAAAAAAGAAAAGAAAAAGAAAAGAAAAAAAGGAAAAAAGAAGAGAAAATTTGGAGAGAGATACAGAAGGAAGACCATGTAAAGACATAGGGAGAAGATGGCCATCTATAAGCCATGGGAAAGCCATTAGAATAAACCAACCCTGCTGACATGCCACCCATCTGTGACATTTTGTCATGGCAGCTCTAGAAGATTAATGCAGAAAACAATAAGAAAAGAGCTTCTGGCCAGGCACAGTTGCTCATGCCTGTAATCCCAGCACATGGTGAAACCCCATCTCTACTAAAAACACACAAAAAAATTAGCCGGGCGTGGTGGTGCATGCCTGTAATCCCAGCTACTCGGGAGGCTGAGGCAGGAGAATTGCTTGAACCCGGGCAGCAGAGGTTGCAGTGAGCCCAGATCAGGCCACTGCACTCCAGCCTGGGTGGCAAAGTGAAACTCTGTCTCAAAAAAAAAAAAAAAGAGCTTCCTTTTCCACTTCTCCCTAGTTTGAAATCCATGAAGTATTTAGAGCTATGACAGCCATGGAACAATGAGATGAAAAGAATAAAGACACAAGCCAGCATGCTAAGGACACAGAGAAGACAGAATCTGGACCTTTGGTTACATTTTAGAGAAGCTGAACTAAGGGTTGCCTTTCTCTAAATTTCTGCTAGGTAAACACTGAATGTCCCTATGGTTTAGCTACTTTTAATTGCCTATTCTGTTAGTGGCTGCTGAAAGCATTCCCAATAGAGATGCATATCTGGCTTGTTTAACTCTCTAGTCTTAGTAATGAGAACAGTGCCTGACATGCAGTAAGTGGTCAAAGATTATTTGTTGAAAGAATAAGTCAGGCATGGTGGCTCACGCCTGTAATCCCGGCACTTTGGGAGGCCAACGTGGGCAGATCACTTGAGGCCAGGAGTTCGAGACCAGCCTGGCCAACATGGCGAAACCCCGTCTCTACTAAAAATACAAAAGTTAGCAGGGCATGGTGGTGCGCGCCTATAGTCCCAGCTATTCGGAAGGCTAAGGCAGGAGAGTCGCTTGAATCTGGAAGGTGGAGGTTGCAGCGAGCCAAGATAATGCCACTGCACTGCAGCCTGGGTGACATAGTGAGATCCTGTCTCCAAAAAAAAGAAAGAATAGAGTGAATGGATTTTGGTGTGATTTCGGCTCATTGCAACCTCTGCCTCCTGGGTTCAAGCAATTCTCGTGCCTTCTCCTGAGAAGCTGGGACCACAGGCGTGCACCACCATGCCTGGCTGATTTTTGTATTTTTAGTAGAGATGGAGTCTTGCTATGCTGCCCAGGCTGATCTCAAACTCTTGGTCTGAAGCAATCCACCCGCCTTGGCCTCCCAAAATGTTGGGATTATAGGCGTGAGCTACTGTGCCTGGCCCATAAACCTTTTTGGATAGTACCTAAAGTTCCTCAGCCTTAGGCAACAAGATTATTAGATTTAAACTCAGTGAGTATTTTACTCTAATGAAGGGATCCAAGTGGAAAGAAGACTTGATTTACTTATTCAATAAATATTTTTTGGCTGCCTACCATGTGCCAGGAATTGCTCTATGATCTAGGTGTTGGGAAGATAGAAATTTGAACTAAAAGTTCAGGTTCTCATGAAGCTTACATCCAACATGTGTATATGTATGTGTGGGAGAGGGAGAGAAAATATACATTTAAATAAAAAAAAAGAAATAATATGTCAAGTGTAAATAGGCAAAGTGAGAGGAAAAGAAGGCTGAGAATTTAAAGGATGGAGTTCTGTTGAATTACTATATCTTATAGGAAATAAATGGCCATTATTCAGAATAAACATGCCAGAAGACAAAGATTTCGTAGATAATCAGAAATAGAAGATAACGAAAACTTTCACTTCCTTTGCCTGAGGTTGTTTTTTTACTAAATTAACTAATTAATCTTTCAAGCTTTTATTTAAGTGCAGTGATCCAGGATGGATTTAAGATCTTGTTGAACGCAGCCACATCCATGGATTGCATATAGTTCTCAAAGCAGTGATCTGCTCCTCCCGCATATCTGTTCCAACTTTATCATCTTCAACATGATCTTTGAAGTTTTAAAATTCCGTATCCCACTGTAACTAGTTGAGAGGAGCCCCAGACTAAGCGGACTGCTTGAATTCTTCTGACTCATTTCTCTAATTTTTTTTAAAAAATTTTATTTTAATAGCTTTTGGGGCTGGGTGCAGTGGCTCACGTCTGTAATCCCAGCACTTTGGGAGGCTGAGGCGGGCGGATCACGAGGTCAGGAGATTGACACCATCCTGGCTAACACAGTGAAACCCCGTCTCTACTAAAAAAAAATACAAAAAATTAGCCGGGCATGGTGGCATGCGCCTGTAGCCCCAGCTACTCGGGAGGCTGAGGCGGGAGAATCGCTTGAACCTGGGAGGTAGAGGTTGCAGTGAGCCGAGATTGCACCACTGCCCTCCAGCCTGGGCGACAGAGCCAGACCCCGTCTCAAAAAAAAAAATAGCTTTTGGGGTACAAGTGGTTTTTGTTGCATGCATGAATTAGATAGTTGTGAATTCTGAGATTTAGTGTACCCATCACTCAAGTAGCATATATTGTACTTAATATGTAGTTTTATTCCTAGCACCGCCCCTTCTGAGTCTCAAGGTCACATTATATCACTTTGTATGCCTTTGCATACTCATAGCTTAGCTTCCACTTATAAGTGAGAACACACGGTTTTTTGGTTTTTCACTCCTGAGTTACTTCACTTAGAATAATGGCCACCAGCTTCATCTAAGTTGCTGCAAAAGACATTCATTCCCTTTCATGGTTGAGTAGTATTCCATGGTATGTATGTATGTATGTATGTATGTGTGTGTGTATATATATATATATATATATATATATATATATATATATATATATATCATTTTCTTTATCCACTCATTAGTCAGTGGGCACTTAGGTTGGTTCCACATCTTTGCAGCTGTGAATTGTAATTATGTTGCTATAAAAATATGTGTGCAAGTTTTTTTTTTTTTTTTTCATATAATGACTTCTTTTCCTTTGGGTAGATACCAAGAGGTGGAATTGCTGGACCAAATGGTAAATTTACTTTCAGTTCTTTAAAGAATCTCTATACTGTTTTCCATAGAGGTTGTACTTATTTGCATTCCCACCAGCAATGTGTTAAGTGTTTCCTTTTCACCACATCCATGCCAAAATCTATTGCTTTTTGACTTTTTAATGACACTCTTCTAATTTTGTCATATCTGTCTCATTATCACAAGGTTTCACATCTAGTGAGATGAAAGATGGCAACAGGGGCAGGTTTTTTTTTTGGCTTTCTTTGATTCATACTATGCAGGGTATTCTTCCCTTTGCCTTTTTGATTCTTTGCTTTCCTCCCCCTTATCAAATCCAAATAGATAAATGTCATTGTCATCTTCACTATCTGTAGCTCCACTTCCTCTACTATCTTCCACATTAGCAGGTCCATACTTGCCCAAAGCTTTCTTCATTCCTGCTAGGCTGGCTTTTTCCTTTTCGTAAGACTTGATGTAATTATACCAATGTAGAGCATGACACAAATTACCGGACAATGGACTGGAGACTGCTTCAATTACTGCCACGTCTGCTTGTGATGGCACATACCCCTTGTTGCAGCTCTGGTCAGCCAGGTAACCATTGTGCACCTGGAGGCCAGTGGGGCTTTTCAGGTCTCTGAAACCCATGGCATCAGCTGCATCTGAGAGCTGGGTAGCAGCAAAAGGAAGGAACACAGGTTGTGAATGCCTAGCACTAAGAGAGGAAACAGGGTGCCTGGGGTTGTTGTAAAGAGTGAGTGGGAGTAATGACCTTAGAGAAAAGGCCCCCACTAAAATGTGGACTTCATGAAGGCACAGTTTTGCTTTGTTTTATTCCCTCCTGTATCTCCAGTGACTAGAGAGGTACCTGGCAAATAGTAAGTGCTTGATAAACAATTGCTGATAAATGACTGAATGATTAGGAAATAGGTGATTTAGACTTTGTAAGTATGGCCAAATCAATTAAACAGAGTCTCAGATTCTTCATCTATAAAATGAGGAGTTCAAATTGAGCACTTTTTGTTTGTTTGTTTGTTTGTTTGAGACGGAGTCTCACTCTGTCGCCCAAGCTGGAGTGCAGTGGCATGATCTCGACTCACTGCAATCTCCATCTCCCGGGTTCATGCCATTCTCCTGCCTCAGCCTCCTGAGTAGTTGGGACTACAGGTGCCCACCACCATGCTCAGCTAATTTTTTTGTGTTTTTAGTAGAGACGGGGTTTCACCATATTGGCCAGGATGGTCTCGATCTCCTGACCTCGAGATCCGCCAGCCTCGGCCTCTGAAAATGCTGGGATTATAGGCGTGACCCACTGAGCCCAGCCTTGGGTACATTTTAGGATTTCATTTAGCTCTAACATTCCATTGCTGAAAAGAAAAAAAAAAAAAGAAGTTGTTACTGTACCTCCTACTTCACTTTGTCTACTTTACTAGATATATTTTCATCGATAGGCCAGAAAAATTATAGTGAATGTTGTTTGTCTTTCCAGCATCTATTACTTCCTTTCCCCTGCCTAAGAGTACTTAAATTTTCATCTGGGTCTCCCTTGCTGATACGCTTTGAAAGCAGTTGATCACCAGAAATGGACTGTGATTGACCAAAGCCAATCTCAGTAAGCCCATCTCCCTTGATGCAGTGATTGGTTGAGGCCTGGGTTGTCTAATCTAACCAGTTAAGTTAGCATTTCTCTGTCAGAAATGGACTCCTGTCTCCAGACAGACCAGTGAGTTATGGATAAAGGGATTTTTGGGAAAAGTGTTTCTTGGCTCTTCTGAGAGTACAACTGAAAGACATGTTCTCTCTTGTCTGTATCCTTTTATACGTCTCTGTAAGCTTGGAACCATTGTAACCACTGTGGTATCATGAAGGTTGTAAACCTTGGAATAAGCTGACACTGTAGAAGGAAAAGCTGAGAGAGGAAAAATTAAGTCTTTGATAAAATCACTGAACTCTTGCATCAAACCAACCTTAAAGCACACCCTACCTTTTGAATTTCTAGTTCATAAACCAATAAACACCTTAATTATTTACTCAAGCTTGTCTTTGATATTTGCAGTTTTCTTTGAGGAAATAAGTTTAAATTCTTGAATCTTTAGAGTAGGATGAACTGATGATCGTCTATATGATTAGAATGAGCCGTACATGGGGGTGGTGAGGCAGCATTTTCAGCTAGGGATTATTTTTGGCTCTTTGTTCCTCAGAATACTTCTTTTCAGCTTACCTCTCACAACCCCACCTGGGTGATGTAACTCAACTTATTTAGGGTGGATGATGGAAATTTAGATTTTTTTTTTTCAGAACGTCCTAGGGCCCACAGGAGTATTAGGGAAAGCAATACATGAAGAGTTGTACTTAGTTACCAGAACATTTTCATCACCCCCAAAAAGAAACCATGTATCCATTAGCAGTCACTCCGCACTGTGCTTCCCCCAGTCCTTGGCAACCACTAACGTACTTTCTGTCACTGTGGATTTGTCTATTACCCATTTATACATTTTAAACATTTTTTGGCTTAATAATTTACTAACCTCTTAAAATCCTCCCTCTTTGCTCTAATAGCCTTTTTGGTTTAACTTAAATTAGACAGTCAACTAAACTGGAACTCTTCAAATTTAGGTAGGTTCAGTGAATAGCTATGTATTTGACTCCATAAATCTTTACAGTATAAGATATATAAAACTTTATGTTCAGTTATTCTTCTTTTATTTTGTTTTTTCCCTTGATATAAGTTCAGTTCAAGAATACAGAATACTAAAGAAGGAAAAAGAATATGAGAAGTAGGAGGAGGATGAGGAGAAAAAGAAGAAGATGAGTAGGGGGAGGAGGAGGAATATGACAGTATCACAGAGAAAGGAAAATTTTATTGATGAAACCAAAGAAACAGCCACTGTTGGATTCTAGAAAACATTACCCTCCTCCTCTGCAAACAAAAAGGGATGAAGGCTGGGTGTGATGACTCATACCTGTAATCTGTAATCCCAGCACTTTGAAAGGCCAAGGAAGGAGGATTTCTTGAGGCCAGGAGTTTGAGACTAGTCTGGCCAACAGAGTGAGACCCCATCTCTACAAAAAAAAAAAAAAAAAAAAAAAAAAAGAAAAAAAGAAGAAGAAGAAGAAAAAGAAAAAGAAAAAAAAAAAGGATGAAAACCAAAACTGGATCTTACGTGATTTATGTGACGAAAAACATTTTTGAAGCTTCGTAGACTAGGACGAGACCCCCATGGCATATTTCAAAGAAACTCTCCATTTCTATGTTAAACCCTATTTCCTTTCAATAAACGATCTGATTTGGATATGTGAACTTTAAATGCTTTATTAGCCACGAGAAAAGAAGATACAGCAATTTCATCATTTTGGGAAATATAAGAACATCCTTTTACTTTGTAAAGTTTAAGAGATCAGATACATGTTTTTACATAGAACAAAAGAAGAATGATTAAATGTGATATTATGAGTTTTATTTTATAAAGGTAATTTATAATTAACTAAGAATGGATGACATAAAACTAACTGTTCTAGAACAGCATGTAACAAAGCAAAATCTATTGTCTGTCTTTTCTGACTTTTAAGCTTATGAAAGTTTGTTTTGTATTATTTCTTCAAGGAAGATTAACTGAAATTCTGTATATTAAATTTTAACTCTAAAATGGCATTCCTATCACAAACTGTGATGAGAAATGCTGCTTCCAACAGTTTTGGTATCAGAAAAACAGTAGAGCAAATGTTAGAAACAAATTTAAAAAGAGAACTTATTTTCCATCTGTCTAGGCTTGACTACTAGGAAGGGTTTCAATTAAAAGCCATAGCTTCAGAGTAAAGGATGCTTATTTCCAAATTTAGATGGGAAGAGTAACATAAGAAAGGTAGAAGCAGCAGAATGATGAAAAAGTGTTTATGATGAATTAAAAACAATGGCAAATTTTATAAGACTTCTTTCCTAGACGATTGGATCTAATTTCTCTTCATTGAATCTAGGCTAGTCATAGCGATTTCCTTGATGAATAAAGTTCAGTGCCAATATCACTGAGTGACTTCCAAGGCTGGGTCTCCTTGCAGCTTATTCTTGGTCTCTTAGAATGTTTGCTTCCTGTGCTCTTTAGACTCTCCCCTCTTGAGATACTATGTTTTGGAGTCTAGCAGCTGCTGAGTGAGAAGACCCAGCCACATGGAGAAACAGCATGTAGGTGCTTGAGTTAATAGCTCCAGTTGAGCTCCCAGCTGAAAGCCAGCACCGACTGCCTTGTATCTTTGACATCCAGTCCAGCTGAGCCTTCAAATGATCGCAGTTCCAGCCAATATCTAACTGCAACTGTAGGGGGAACTCTAAAGAGAATTGCTCAATTGAGCTCTTCCTGAACTACTAACACCTCACATTGTAAGCAAAATGAAATGGTTGTTTTAAGCTATTAAATTTTGGGGTAATTTGTTATGCCACAAGAGTTAATCGAACAGTCCTGGTTTTTTCAACTGCTCTAACTTCTGTCACATCAAGCTTTGTATGCTGAGGTTGTTAGATTTGCAAGGATAGGAGAACACAATCTGAAAACTTGCAATAAACAAGTCATGTAATTATGAGGTAGCACTATCTCACCAAGGTGAACTTTTAATGATTTTGTTGCTTAGTGAAGAATCTCCTTAAGCCTCTCTCTTATGGCTTCATTACATCTATCAGTAAAAAAAACCAAAAAACAAAACAAAACAAACAAACAAAAAAACCAAACCAAAATAAAACAAAAAATCTACATAATAATGTCCTTTATCTCCACTCGGCTCTTGATCTGAATGACATTAGACAGAAGGGGTCAGTACTCTGCCTGCTTGAACTTTGCTACTAGACACCCTGCCTTTTCCCTCTTCCTCTGAAGGGCTGCCTTTGATTTTAGCACTCCTTGGGCCTGCCAGAATTTCAGCAGTCCCAGTAGGTTCCAGGGCAGACTGTTCTGAGCATGACCTGCTGGCATCAAAACTGGTGTGTGACTAAATTCTGATCTGCCCAAAACATTTTCTTACTTTAGCAACAACAGTTGTTGTTGATGTGCTGCTTCTTCTTTTTTAAACTTAGTGCTTGGGGTTGTTAACTACTATTAGCCCAGATATTAGAAACGTGTTTTTGGTATATCAGTCAGTCCCTGCCCACTATCTGGCATACTCTATATGAAGTTTGAAGCATATTTCAAGCCTTATTTCGAATACCTCTTTAATGGCCTAGGATAAGAGACAAAATTTATACCAACCTGTTTGAAATATTCAATTGTATAAATGCCTCATTCTTTGTTTCACCATTAGGTCACTGAATTTTATTAATCATCTCAAAGTACACACATATCACTTCCCCAGGATTTGTAATAACTATTAACCAGAAACATACCATGTTGGGTTGGTATGATATCTTTGGATGTCAAGTATGTTGGGTCTCTATGGGTGGTAATAGAGGGCAATTGGGTGTCTTTTTTTTTTTTTTTTTTTTGGCAGATCTATTCATTTAAAGCAGAAGTTGCAAACCCAAAAGTCACTGCAACAGCATGCCAATGGGGTTGGCATGGGGTGTTAGGGTATGGGGACTATGAAGTATATGATGAGGTATATGAATGAAGACAGTAAGTTTGTAAATGCATTTTATAGCAGCATTTCTGCATCCTAAAACAAATCCTTTTTGATACCTCAGTTCTTACACTTGTTTTGTCCTTATAGAGGTCATTGTTCTTACAGTGGTTTGTTTTATAACAATGTTTTTAGTTGAACGTCTACAATGGAGACACATTTCGTTTGCATATTAAACTTGTAGGAATAATTATTATTTCCACAAAGAAATATTCATTGTCTCATTTTGCACAAAATCTGTGGGGAAGTCAACCTTTCATTTTCTCATTTTCTTTCCTTTTTTTTTTTTTTTTGAGACGGAGTCTTCTCAAATCATCGCAACCTCCACCTCCCAGGTTCAAGCAATTCTCCTGCCTCCACCTCTCAAGTAGCTGGGATTACAGGCATCTGCCACCACGCCCAGCTAATTTTTTTTATCTTTAGTAGAGACAGGGTTTCACCATGTAGGCCAGGTTGATTTCAATCTCCTGACCTCAGGTGATCCTCCTGCCTCAGCCTCCCAAAGTGCTGGGATTACAGGCGTGAGCCACAGCGCCCAGCCTAACTTCCCACTTTCTTTTTTTTTTTTTTTTGAGATGGAGTCTTGCTCTGTGGCCCAGGCTGGAGTGCAGTGGTGTGATCTTGTCTCACTGCAAGCTCCACCTCCCAGGTTCATGCCATTCTCCTGCCTCAACCTCCTGAGTAGCTGGGACTACAGGCACCTGCCACCATGCCCAGCTAATTTTTTTGTATTTTTAGTAGAGACGGGGTTTCACCATGTTAGCCAGGATGGTCTCGATCTCCTGACCTCGTGATCCGCCCACCTTGGCCTCCCAATGTGCTGGGATTACAGGCATGAACCACTGCGCCCGTCCCGTTTTCCCACTTTCTACACAAACATGAATGCAAAGAAATATTTCTGTGTTCTAAGAAAGTCAGCTGTCCACATATAGTGATAAATGGCAATCCATACTTGGTTTGCATGTTAGAGAAAAACAGAAAGTGGTAGTTACTGGGTTGAACTGAAGAGTACAGGCAGCTTCTAAAAAGGACATTGTCACCCAGTTCTACCTATGTGTCATGTGTGAATGTCATAATATGGGCCAAGTTCTCCCATGTTACCTGATTTCCCATGGAAAGCTGGATTTGGGATAAACATCTTCTGATTCCAAATATTGGCAACCAAGTCAATTTATAAATGAATGAGTGAGTTAAACTCAGCACATTGTGAAAATAAATGGCTTGAGGGCTGCCAATGGAGCATGTATCTTTAATCTAAAGGGTTGTTATAGTTTTGGGCTTTTTAAATGATTATGATGTATATCATTATTAATAGCAAACATTGAGCAGGTATAACCAAGGACAATTTTCTAGACAGAGAATCTGGCTCAAACACAGAAGTAACATCTCAAGAAGGACATGTGTGAGACAAATCCAATGTGGAATATACAGATGCGGATAAATGGGATTAGGACTACTTGGACCCCAGTCAGGAAGAGAGAAGAGTCTTCTCTCAAGTATATCTGCCAAGGATTATTCATCTGTTTCGTAACAATGAAGGAATAAAAATTGATATAGAATCTATTAAAATACACTTCCTCCAGACAATTATTTATGTGTAGGTTGTGGACTAGGGGTGGGAGAGCAGGACTGGTGTGGCTGAGACATTGGTTAAAAACTGAATTTAAACATGAGCTAGATTTTTTTTTTTTTTTTTTTTTTTTTTTTTAGACAGAGTGTCGCTCTGTTACCCAGGCTGGAGTGCAGTGGCATGATCTCGGCTCACTGCAACCTCTGCCTCCTGGGTTCAGGCTATTCTAGTGCCTCAGCATCCCTAGTAGCTGGGATTATAGGCATGCACCACCATGCCCGGCTAATTTTTTGTGTTTTTAGTAGAGACAGGGTTTTGCCATGTTGCCCAGGCTGCTCTGGAACCCCTGAGCTCAGGCAATCAGCCCACCTCAGTCTCCCAAAGTGCTGGGATTACAGGTGTGAGCCACTGCGCCTGGCCTACTAAAAGATTTTTTAATGAAGCTATCTCCTGGGATCTGCCCTGAATTGAGTCCAGGACAGTATGTCAAACCACTTCTTTTCCTTGAGCTCAGTTAATTGGTGGACTTCTGCCCAGGCTGAACTGGGAGATCTTATTTTTCACCCCATCCTAATTTGCAGAAATTGCCAAAACTTTTAAAATGTGGCCTTGAATTGGGCAAAAAAAAATTTATTTATTTTATTTATTTTTATTTTTATTTTATTTTTTTGAGACAGAGTCTCGCTCTGTTGCCCAGGCTGGAGTGCAGTGGCATGATCTCGGCTCACTGCAAGCTCCGCCTCCTGGGTTCATGCCATTCTCCTGCCTCAGCCTCCCAAGTAGCTGGGACTACAGGTGTCTGCCACCACGCCCGGCTAATTTTTTTGTATTTTTAGTAGAGACAGGGTTTCACTGCGTTAGCCAGGATGGTTTCGATCTCCTGTCCTCATGATCTGCCCATCTCAGCCTCCCAAAGTGCTGGGATTACAGGCTTGAGCCACCGCGCCCGGCCCGAATTGGGCATAATTTTTAAGGAGGGGGCTGTCTTTCTGCCTTCAGTGTTTGGTGGAATAAGAGGATTGTCCCAAAACAGTGGTTGTAGATATCTATGTAGTATTGCACTAGCATCAGAAAGCCCAGCTATTCCAGAGATTGACTCTCTCTGGGGAGCTCATAGAGATAGTAGATTCCGTTCATACATGAGAGTGGCTTTTGAGTGCTTTTCCTAGGCACTCAATGTTGAAGCACTTCAAGAATCACTAAAATCCAGTCCACTTTGTCTTGAAGAACCTCAGAATCTTCATTTATTTATTTATCTTGCTATTTCTCCACCTTTAAAGGAATTTCGGAATCTTGATAACATTTCTTTACCCACTTCTACCCCCATTTCTAATTTTGAATAAACTTTCAACCAAGACAGGACCAGTCCCGATTCAACCAAATGTAGGCTGAAGGGCCAGAGTTTGGGATGGGGATGCTTTGGGCAGGGAAATAAAATACGCCTTCTCATTAGACACAAGAATCAGCAAGTGTGTGCACTATCAAAAAGCACAAAGGAATTTAAAGATACAAATTACAAGGAGGCAAATCAGAAAGATTGCTAAATCTGTAGCTGCAGAGGCAAGAAATAAAGTTAGGGTGAGGATTAGAGAGAAAAAAAGAAAATAATCCTGGATAAAACAGAAGTGAGATTTCTGGTGAGGGCTCTCTTCCTGCTTGTAGACAGCCACCTTCTTGCTGGATCCTCACATGGTAGAGAGAGAATGTGATTTCGATCTCTTTTTGTCTTATTGTAACGGCACTAATCCCATCCTGAGGGTCCCCACCCTCATGACCTCATCTCACCTTAATTACCCCCCAGATGCCCAACTCCAAATACCATTGCACTGGGGGTTAGGGCTTCAACATATGAATTTTGGGAGGCCATAATTCAATCTATAGCAGGTAGTAAAATGAATGTAAATCTTCATTCCATTATATTGGTCTACTGATTTTTTTTTTTTTTTGACAGAGTCTTATTCTTGTCACCCAGGCTGGAGTGCAGTGGCGGTGATCTCAGCTCACTGCAACCTCCACCTCCCCAGTTCAATCGATTCTCCTGCCTAGCGTCCCAAGTAGCTGGGATTACAGGCACCTGCCACCATACCTGGCTAATTTTTGTATTTTTAGTAGACACAGGGTTTCACCATGTTGGCCAGGCTGCTCTCGAACTGCTGACCTCAAGTGATCCACCCATCTCGGCCTCCCAAAATGCTGGGATTACAGGCATGAGCCACTGCTCCTGGCCTGGTTTACTGATATTTAGCCAACTATTGTGTAATCTTCAACAGTTCCTAAGTAGAGATCTCTTCCCAATATTATACATTGCCACCTGATTGAAAAGGCTGAATCTGGGCCAGGCATGGTGGCTCATGCCTGTAATCTCAGCACTTTGGGAGGCTGAGGCATGTGGATCACCTGAGGTCAGGAATTTGAGACCAGCTTGACTAACATGGCAAAACCCTGTCTCTACTAAAAACAAACAAACAAAAAAAAACAACCAAAAAAAAAAAATTAGCCGAGTATGGTGGCGCATGCCTGTAATCCCATGTAATCCCAGCTACTTGGGAGGCTGAGGTAGGAGAATCACTTGAACCTGGGAGGCGGAAGTTGCAGTGAGCTGAGATTGTGCCATTGCACTGCAGCCTGGGCAACAAGAGCAAAACTCTGTCTCAAAAAAAAAAAAAAAAAAAAAAAAGAAAGACTGAATCTGAGCTGCATTTAAGATTTTGGTATTCAGAGTCAATAACTTCAGATGAGTACCCTTCTCAGAGAATTTTCTCTTCACTGTACTTACACTTATTTCTGTCTTGAAGTGCTACCAGTTACAAGATCCCTTAGGAATGTTCTTTGGTGTTCTTCTTGTGCCCCTACTAAGGATGACCTCAAAGAAGACATAGACTTTATTATATGTCCATCTCTGGCGGCTCCCCAACCAAGAACAAACAAGCCCCATTTCAATTTTTAAGGTGTATTCCTTATCAGAGCAAGGAAATGGGTGCGGATAAAAATGCCCTAGTAAACCATGAAGAGTCACATGCCTCTAGAATCATTACACATTAATTTTTTCAGGTTAAAATAAAAAATATATATATTTATGTATCTCCCAGAGCATATAAATAAGTCATATTTTCTTTTCTTTCTTTTTTTTTTTTGAATTGAGACAGTCTTGCTCTGTCAACCAGGCTGGAGTGCAGTGGTGCGATCTCTGCTCACTGCAACCTCCGCCGCCTGGGTTCAAGCTATTCTCCTGCTTCAGCCTCCTGAGTAGCTGAGACTACAGGTGCACATAACCATGCCAAGCTAATTTTTGTATATTTTTTTTTAGTAGAGACGGGGTTTTGCCACGTTAGTCAGGTTGGTCTTGAACTCCTGACCTCAGGTGATCTGCCCACCTTGGCCTTCCAAAATGCTGGGATTACAGGTGTGAGCTACTGTACCCGACCATAAGTCTGAGTGCGTGCCTGCCTGCCTGCCTTCCTTCCTTCCTTCCTTTCTCTCTTTTTCTCTGTCTCCTCCCTCTCTCCCTCCCTCTGTCTCTCTTTCCTTTCTTTCACCACAAATGCTTTATTAGATGAAATTACAAATACTAATTATAAATTAAAACAATAAATGTGGCCAGGCGCAGTGGCTCACGCCTGTAATCCCAGCACTTTGGGAGGCGAAGGTAGGTGGATCACCTGAGGTTGGGAGTTCAAGACCAGCCTGACCAACATGGAGAAACCCCGTCTCTACTAAAAATACAAAATTAGCCGGGTGTGGTGGCGCATGCCTGTAATCTCAGCTCCTCAGGAGGCTGAGGCAGGAGAATCGCTTGTACCTGGGAAGTGGAGGTCAAAATTGTGCCATTGTACTCCAGCCTGGGCAATAAGATTGAAACTCCGTTTCAAAAACAAAAACAAAACAAAACAATAAATGCAACTTAAATTTTTTTTTCAGTATTGTTTTATGCTTGGAAATCAAATATAAGGAAATACTGTGTAATCAGAGCCCTAAGTTAACTTTTACATTTTCCAGTATGATAAATTCCAACAAAAGCAATAATTCTGTTTGATCTTACAAAAATTTTTATCACTATAATTAAGTCATATTTTCAATAGGCAATCTTCTTAAAATATCTTTTAACTCCCCACCCCACCATGTCTTGAATATTGGTGGTCCTGGTCCACTGACATTTTTCTAGGCCTTTGATCTTTACTTTAATTTTTAATGGTGATGCTTACAGCATTGCCTTCCAATATCTGACTTGGCTTTTAGAAAGGATTATGCAGAACATTTCCTGCCTGATTACTCCTCAGCATCAAAGCATAAAGAAGCAATCAAAATAGAAAAACAGCAGCCTTTATTTCTTACAGAGAACATTTGCACTTCTGAAGATAGTAGATTGAAGCATACCAAGTTTCTGGCTCCTGGGCTCAGCTCAGGAACATTCCTTCTGGACCCATATGTACATGTAATAAATTCATTAAAAGTACTATTGGGGCAAAGCAAACATCCTATAATAGCAGTGACTTAACGAGGGTAAATATAACATGTATAAAATATGGTCCTACTTCAGGATATTTTTTAGAATTAAAAAATAAAGGAAGGGTGCAGTGGCTCACCCTAGTAATCCCAGCACTTTGGAAGGCTGAGGTGGGTGGATCACTTGAGGTCAGGATTCGAGACTAGCCTGTCCAACATGGTGAAACCCCATCTCTACTAAAAATACAAAAATTAGCCAGGCATTGTGAAGCAAGCCTGTAATCCCAGCTACTTGGGAGGCTGAGGCAGGAGAATTGCTTGAACCCAGGAGACAGAGGTTGCTGTGAGCCGAGACCGTGCCATTGCACCCTAGCCTGGACAATAGAGCGAGACTCCATCTCAAAAAAACCCCCAAAAACTAACTAACTAACTAAAAACATGGCCGGGTGCAGTGACTCATGCCTGTAATCCTAGCACTTTGGGAGGCTGAGGCGGGCAGATCACCTGAGGTCAGAAGTTCGAGACCAGCCTGACCAACGTAATGAAACCCTGTCTCTACTAAAAATACAAAAATTAGGCAGGTGTGGTGGCACGCACCTGTAATCCCAGCTACTTGGGAGGCTGAGGCAACAGAATCGCTTGTACCCAGGAGGCAGAGGCTGCAGTGAACTGAGAGCTCGCCACTGCATTCCAGCCTGGGCAACAGAGCAAGATTCTGTCTCAAAATAAATACATAAATAGGCTGGGCGCAGTGGCTCATGCCTGTAATCCCAGCACTATGAGAAGCCAAGGCGGGTGTATCACTTGAGGTCAGGAGTTCGAGACCAGCCTGGCCAACATGGTGAAACCCTGTCTCTACTAAAAATACAAAAATTAGCTGGGTGTGGTGGTGGGGGCCTGTAATCCAGCTACTCAGGAGGCTGAGGCAGGAGAATCATTTGAACCAAGGAGGGAGGTTGCAGTAAGCCAAGATTGCACCATTCCACTCCAGCCTGGGTGACAAGAGTGAAACTCTGTCTCAAATAAATAAACAAAAATTAAAAAATAAGTAAATAACAGTATCACTGATTGTTACAGACTGAATTTTGTCTTCTCAAAAAAGTCATGTATTGAATTCTTAACTTCCAATGTGAATATATTTGGAGATAATTAAGAGATAATTAAAGAGATAATTAAGACCGGGCCCGGTGCCTCACGTCTGTAATTTCAGCACTTAGTGAGGCTGAGGCGGGTGGATCATTTGAGGTCAGGAGTTTGAAACCAGGTTGGCCAACATGGTGAGACGCCATTTCTACTAAAAATACAAAAATTAGCTGGGCATGGTGATGCGTTCCTGTAATCCCAGCTACTCAGGGGTCTGAGGCAGGAGGATCACTTGAACCCGGGAGGCTGAGGTTGCAGTGAGCCGAGATCACGCCACCGCACTGCAGCCTGGGCAACAGAGTGAGACTCCGTCTCAAAAACAAACAAACAAAAAGATTAAATGAGACCACAGGGTTAGAGTCCTAATCCAATAGGACTGGTATCCTGCTGTCCTTATAAGAAGAGGAAGAGACACCAGGCTTGTTCACACAGAGAAACGTCCATGTGCAGTCACAGGGAGAAGGTGCCCCATTGGTAAGCCAAGGAGACAGGCCTTAGGAGAAACCAAACCTGGTGACACCTTGATCTTGAAATTCTGGCCCCTAGAACTGTGAGAAAATACATCTGTTTTTTTAAGCCACCCAGACTGTGGTATTTTGTTATTGCAGCACTAGCAAATACACTGATTGTGTTTTATTTTTGCTCTGAGTTCTAGGAAACTCAGAGGCAAACGTGAAGTTTATAGTAACCATGTTGATCTTATAGTTACCATATTTTTAGTCTTCTGTGACTCAGATTTTTTTTTTGTATTTCACTTTTATTAACTTACTTTCTTTTTTATTGTTTACTGCCTCAAAGTCTTTGTAGGGAAGAAACAGATTACAAAGAAATAAAGAACAATTCAAATGAATTCCTGATACGTACAAATTCTTATCTTTTATAGGCACATCTTCTCAGTCTCCTTTTTGCTGATCTCTTTCATTTCCTGGACCCTTTAATGGTGGAGTGCTGCAGGGCTCAGTCCTCCGACCTGAATTTTTTTCTATGTCAACTTACTCCTCAGTGAGACTCAGCCAGTCTCATGGCTTTAAACACTGGTTTTATATATGCTGATTTATATATTATTTTATTCATCATTTTCTTAAGTTCTTAAGTTTTGTATGTATATATGAAACCCAAACCTTTCCCCTGAACTCCTCATACCAATATCCAACTGTCAATTCAATATCCTCATTGGATGTCTAATAGACATCTCATACTTTACATGTCTGAACTCCAAATTCTTCTCTCCTATTCTACTCTTCCCATAGTCTTGGTAAATGCCATCTTGGTCTTTTCCAGCTTGGTAGATACTAACTCTATCCTTCCAGTTGCTTGGGTCCAAAACTTTGGAGTCATACTTGACTTTACTTTCTCTTATCTCCAATTTCCACTCTGTCAACAGGCCCTGCTGGCTCTTCCAACAAAATATACTTAAAAATTGACAATTTTTAACATTTTCCTTACCACAAAGGTGGAAGCCACTATCATCACAACTCTTGGATTATTGCTGACTAAATGGTTTTTCTGGTGCTGTGTTTCTCCCCTGCAGCCTATTCTCCACAGTAGCCAGAGCATCCATTAAAATGTAAGTCATTCAGATCACTTTTCTGTTCAAAATCCCCAGGCATGGTGGCATACACCTGTAGTCCTAGCTACTTGGGAGGCTGAGGCAGGAGGATGACTTGAGCCCAGGTGTTGGAAGTTACAGTGAGTTACGATTGCACCACTGCATTCCAGCTTGAGTGACAAAGTGAGACCCTGTCTCTACAAATAAAAGTAAAAATAAAAATAAAAACTCTCTAGGGGTTTCCCCATCTCTCTCAGATGATTAAGAGGCAGTCTTGGCTGGGCATGGTGGCTAATGCCTGTAATTCCAGTGCTTTGGGAGGCCAAGGCAGAAGGATCTCTTGAGGCCAGGAGTTCAAGACTAGCCTGGGCAATCTAGCAAGGGAGGCAGAGGTGGGAGAATTGCTTAAGCCCAGGAATTTGAGTTGGCAGTAAACTATGATGGTGCTACGGCACTCCAGCCTGGGCAACAAAGTGAGACATTGTCACAGACAAACAAACAAGGCAATCCCGATAATGATTCATAGGCACAATATGATCTAGCTTGTGACCCAAATCATTTCTCATTTTTCACTTGTTTCCAGCCACACTGGCCAGAGTGCTTGCTGCTTGCTGTTTCTTCTGGGTGGAACAGAATCTCTTCTTCTCCAGAATATCCACAAATTCACTCTCTCCTTTGAGTCTCTTTTTCAGTTTACTAATCAATATAACTTTATGAAAGAGGTTTATCCTGTGGTGTGCTGGTGAAAGTTTAATAATGGGTTCTCTGAAAAAAAATATGCTAGTATATACATTGTAACACAAACTTAAATTTAATCTCCATTGTTGGCATTTTATTCATCAGTTCCTTAAGTTCAAATTGACCATCAGTAAACAATAAACTAAGGCCGGATTTTTGTATTCACTGAATTTCCTAGTAGAAAATACTCTCACCATGGCCACCTTCAAGCTACTAAAATGATGTCACTGAAGGTGGAGTTGGAAATAGATGTGCAGGCTGAGCATGGTGGCTCATGCCTGTAATCCCAGCATTTTGGGAGGCCAGGGTGGGCGTATCACTTGAGGTCAGGAGTTCGAGACCAGCCTGGTCAACATGGCGAAACTCCATCTCTACTAAAAATACAAAGATTTAGCTGGGTGTGGTGGTGGGTGCCTGTAATCCCAGCTACCGAGGAGGCTGAGACAGGAGAATCACTTGAACCCGGGAGGTGGAGGTTGCAGCGAGCCGAGATGGAGCCATTGCACTCTGGCTTGGGCAACAAGAGCGAAACTCCATCTCAAAACAAACAAAGAGCAACAACAACGAAAAGGAAATAGACGCGCAGTAGTAGCACACCATTATATAGTATTTCCACCATACAGATAGATAGGACTTGAATAACCACAAGAGCATGGGGTGGGTAATAGTAAAAGGTAGTAAAATAATTAGGAAGTTTTTTTTTTTTTTTTTGAGACAGAATCTCGCTCTTGTCACCCAGGCTATAGTGCAATGGTGTGATCTCAGCTCACTGCAACCTCCGCATCCCAGGTTCAAGCGATTCTCCTGCCTCAGTTTCTCGAGTAGCTGGGATTAGAGGCACCCACCACCATGCCTAGCTACTTTTTTGTTGTTTCAATAGATAGGGTTTCACTGTTTTGGCCAGGCTGGTCTCAAACTCCTGACCTCATGTGATCCACCTGCCTCGGCCTCCCAAAGTGCTGGGATTACAGGCATGAGCCACCGCGTTTGGCCAGGGAGTTTTAAATATTTGTATGTTTCTTTTAATAAAATTTAAAGTTTATGTAATTTAAATTTTAGTGATGATCGTGTGCATACCATTGGACACTTCTCTGATCATCCTATATAAATTAAATGTCCTCTTTTAATTTCTCTTCATTACTTCTAACCTGACATATTTTTCTCCATTAATATTTAATACATTATATACATATATATATATATATTTTTTCCATACTAGATTTTAAGCTAAGTGAGGCTAGGTACTTTATTTATTTGGTTTGTCTCTGTACTGTCAATGCTTAGAACATGACTTGCACATTATTTATTGAAGGAATGAATGAGTTGATTAATATTATATTCAAAATAGATATTAGCCTGTAATAGAGAAAGCAAACAACTGAGAATCAGAAAAATACTCCATGCAATTGCTGCATGCAACAGTTACATGCAATAGGTCATCTAATTCTCACAACTTCCCTAAGAGGGAGGGATTGTTATTACCATTTTATAGATGAGGAAACTGGGCACAGTCCTGCCCAATGACAGATGATAAAGAACACAGCCAAGATTCATAGTCTCACATTTTTTCTTTAAACTTATTTTTTTTTTTAATTAGGGAAAGTTTCAAAAATGGACTAAAGTAGAAAGAATAGAAAAATGGAACACAAATATCCATAATCCAGCTTCAGTAATGATCGGTTCATTGTCAATTTTTTTTCATTTATGCTCCCTTCCCTAACTAGATTATTTTGAAGGAAATTCAAATTACCATTTATCTGTAAAAGATAAGATAAGGGCACACTCTTATTGGAAATTCGGTACTGTCCATTTTTGGCTTAGTGTTTGTTGGTCCCTTACTAATAGTTCTGAGACAAAGTTTTCTCGTCTGCAAAATTGATACATCAGGTTTGTTCAAGTATTAAATTAGATGATATATTCAAAACACTTTGTTATACTACAAAGCACTATTAAATTTCAGGTTTTCAACACATATGTCATTAACTAAATTGTGCTATTTACACAATTAAAGACTCTACATCAAAGCCTAGTTTGGTTGAGTACCTACAAGCATGACCTGTTTTTTCCCAGCAACATGGTTTCCCAAATAATATCATGCCTCATAAATATGCCAGAGTTCTTACAGAGAATCAGCAGTCACACATAACGTACAAGGCCTTGCAAGACCATAAAGTATTAAAAGCAAATAAATAAAGTATTACTTTTATATTGTAGTAAAGAGGAACTTGAACATCATATGTATTTATAACAATCTATAGGAATTTGCTTCTCAAATACGAATATTTTAGCATTCCTAGATATATGTAGCAATGTACAAGAGTGGCAGATGAGACAAAATGAGGTGACAAGATTTCTGTGGCACACCTTACTGGAGCCTCAGTTGTATTCTGCCATAAATATAAAACATTCTTTTAAATAATAATAATGAATAAAGATAATAATATCAGCATATACTTAGATAGTTCTTTATACATGTCAGGTACTATCCTAGATGCTTAACATATATTCACTCATTTAATCCTCACAACAACTCTATGAGGTAGGCACAATTTTTATGTCCCTCTGAAAGATGGGAAAACAGAGATACAGAGAGGTTAAGATATTTGCCAACGTTACACAACTAGCAGTGGAGGATCCATAATTTAAACTCAAGTGTCTAGCTTCAGTCTGTGTTTCTACCACTCATGCTGTCTCTCCTATCAGAAGAGAAAGAAATCATTACAGTAATGTTTTCCAAATATCTAGCTATTCAAGTTTTCCCTTTATAATTCTTATTTGTGAAAAAATATCCATGAAATCAATAGTTTGGTCAACTGGTCATATTTTCTCCTAAGACACACCTGAACATAAATCCATATTTATTAAAACAAGAAATGTATTTATCTGCATTCTGTTCCGGTTTATCCTATCTACCATGATCTTGGACACATTGGATTATGTAGACGAAGCAAGATTGAGATAAATAATTAAGGTATCAAATTTGAACTTATGGCAAGTACGCTGTAGAGGTAGGCCTTGTGACACTCTGGAAACACTCCTTGGTTGTTAGAGGCATGTGAGTGAAAAGTTTGAAGTAAACTTCTTAGGTAATAAGGCTTAGAGAACAAAAACCAAAATCTAGGAATATATTTGTTTTGTGCAGTGGTGCGATCTCAGCTCACTGCAACCTCTGTCTCAGTTTCAAGTGATTCTCCTGCCTCAGCCTCCCAAGTAGCTGGGACTACAGGCATGCATCACCATGTCCAACTGATTTTTTTTTGTATTTTTAGTAGAGATAGGGTTTCATCATGTTGCCCAGGCTGGTCTCGAACTCCTGACTTCAGGTGATCCACCTGCCTTGGCCTCCCAAAGTGCTGGGATTACAGGTGTGAGCCACCACATCCAGCCATATGTTTGTAAACAGTGAGTACTAGTCATGGGTTTTCCTAGTAGTTCTTATTATTTCCTGACACTAGGTATCAGATACCCGAATCAGATACAATCCTTGTTCTCAAGTATTTCACAGTCCACTGGGAAAGACAGGCCTGTAATATTCTAAAGCAGTGTGATATGTGGGTTGAGAGAAGTTTTTATAAGATGATAAGTTTATAGAGTAAGAGAGTTCAGGCTTTGCCTCGGAGAATCAGAGAACACTTATTTATGACTTTTGGAAAAGACCTGGAAGAGAAAGAATTCTGAAGCTTGCAGAAGAAACGAAGGAAAAGTCCTAGTAGTACCAGATTCTTTCCCACCCTAGAAAATAATTATTAGCCAATTGCATACAGGAGAAAAAAAATGAAGCTCAGGGGACTATACTAGTATATGCAGAATCTATGTTCATACTTAGATGATAAGAATTAGAGTTGGAGCCAGAACTGTGTTTATACTAGAATTCAAAAAGGTCTGGGCATGTCTTTTAGAGCAAGCTTCTGGTTTCCTGACATTGATGCAGTATAATATGATGTTTAGGAAGCAACACATTTGGAATACAAATTAATAGAAAGTAGAGAAGCTATAATTCAGGGCCGTGGGGTATGAAGACCAGATTGATTTGGGATCTGTCCTTTGCCAACTGTCCAATGTAGAGTAGTTAATGTAATTTCTTGATGCCTTTGTTTTTCCATCTGTAAAACTGCAGCATATCTCTTCTGGAGGTGGTCATCAGAATTAAACTAGATCATGTAAATGTAGAACACATTCTGGAAACAAGAAAGTTCACAGGAAATAACTTGTCATGTGGGAAGAAAAAGTTCACAATGTTGATGTGCAAGGGCTTGGTTTGAAGACAGTCAGCCAGTATTTGAGGGAGAAATTATCCTTTAGCTCAGGCTCCTTGGATTCAGGACTAAATCTCAGGATGAGGGAGTACAAATGGAGAACAAGAGAAAACCAAAAGAGCACAGACAAGGCTGGGCATGATGGCTTATGCCTGTAATCCCAGCACCGTGGAAGGCTGAGGTGGGTGGATCACTTGAGATCAGGATTTTGAGACCAGCATGGCCAACACGGTGAAACCCCCATCTCTACTAGTAATACAAAAATTAGCCCAGTATGGTGGTGCATGCTTGTAATCGCAGCTACTCGGGAGGCTTGAGCCCGGGAGGCAGAGGTTGCAGTGAGCTGAGATTGCACCACTGTACTCCAGCCCGGGCGACAGAGTAAGACTCCGTCTTGGGGGAAAAAACCCAAAAAACCCAGCAGCAGAGACATTTACGATACAAGATGGCATGGCAGTGGCCCCAGTAGCTACAGAAGATAGAAGCCCTCCTGAGGGACGCTTGGCCCCCTCATGCCAGACATTCAGTGTAGACTTTGATGCCTGTGGTACTATACACATTTTGATATGTGGGAGACTTCCTCAGTAGATGTTGTCTATTGGCTACTGTTTTGGGTGTCAAGGGCAACAGGAGTCATCACCTTAGTGAACTAGAACAGAAGAGAACAGCCAAAAGTATATTCAGAAGAACACACTCCTAATTTTTGGGAGGTTCAGTTTTCCACCGGGCATGCTGGGACAGAAAAGGAAAAATCCGCAAGCCTGATTGTCATTGTGATTATTATTTTTTCCCCTGGGCTGGTTTGTTCTGGGAAACATAGTTTTCACTTAAGTAATAGTAGGAGGGAAGGAACTAAGAAAATTCCTCCTAATAATAGAAATGAACAAGGAAGTGGCAAATAATATTCAGCATGGGCAAATGCAGTGGTCAGCATCCAGTTATGAATGATAGAAAGTATGATTTCAAGGTAAAAGAGTAAAGGACGTCAATTTAAATTCAAAGATAGAAATTTTCTTTTAGTTTTTCAATGTATTAATTTAGTACAAGACAAGTGAAATATTGGCTACTGTTAGGAAAGTTATTAGACTCATGAAAGAAAGCACAGTTATCTTTCACTCAGAAAACTGTGGTGTGTTTTTGGGCATCACACTCAAGGAAGACAATAAAGCTAAAAATAAGTGAATGAAGGTCAGAAGTAGAAGGGTAATAAAAGCTAGGGAATGGGGCCGGGTGTGGTGGCTCATGCCTGTAATCCCAGGACTTTGGGAGGCTGAGGCAGGTGAATCACGAGGTCAGGAGTTCGAGACCAGGCTGGCCAGCATGTTGAAACTCCGTCTCTACTAAAAATACAAAAAAAAAAAAAAAAAAAAAAAAAAAAAAAGGGAATGAAATCTTCCATTTAAGGCAGATTTGAAAGACTAGGATTTTGATGTGGAAAAGGCCCAGAAGGAGATATGAGCAAAGTTTGTTGCACAATGAAGGGTGTGGACATGGAGCACGTGAAGTTGGTCATCAAATTCCTAGGAAACTTTAGCATTATTAGGTGATCAGAAAAGGTTCTTTTTAAAATTTATTTTTATTTTTTGAGATGGAGTTTTGCTCTTGTCACCCAGGCTGGAGTGTAATGGCATGATGCACCTCCTGGGTTCAAGCGATTCTCCTTCCTCAGCCTCCTGAGTAGCTGGAATTACAGGAACCCACAACCACGCCTGGCTAATTTTTGTATTTTTAGTAGAGACAGGGTTTCATCATGTTGGTCAGGCTGTTCTCGAACTCCTGACCTCCAGTGATCTGCCTGCCTAGGCCTCCAGTAAAGCTTAAAAAAGATTACTACTGAATAAGTGAAAGGAAGTTCTACTTCAAAACATGGGCAATATACATATAGACTTCATCCTGAAAGAATGAATAGATTTGTTGGGGGCGGCGGGGGTGGGTATGGTGGCTCACACCTTTAATTCTAGCATTTTGGGAGGCGGAGGTTGGAGGATTGCTTGAGGGCAGGAGTTCAAGACCAACTTAGTCAACATAGTGAGATCCTATAATGAATAGATTGAAAATTTAAACAGAAAATTTAAAATTCAAAAAAGTACAATAATTAATTTATAATATACTTCAGTAGACATGTAAGCTTGTGGCGTATTTTCCAAAGCTTTTTGTATTAATGCATGGAAAACCATTAATATGGTCTCTCCTAGTTCATAGACAGAATTGGAGTATTCAGTTAAACGGCATAAAAAAAATCTTTTGAGAGAACCAAAATGGTTTGACATTTTACCTTCAAACCCTGATTTCTGACTTCCATTTTAGGCCAGCTTTAAGGAACAATGCCTATAATTAATGGAAACATTGTTGACATTTTGAATTATAATTGTTAATAATACAACAATAGACTTGGTCTTTCAGGTAAAATCTTATGTAAAGGAAAACACTCTAAAGCAAGTCATAAGCATCTTAGTCTGAGAGCAACTTGCTGAATAATTCTCGACATGGTATTTTCATCTATGAATAAACAAAGGGTTTCACATAGCATTATTACAAACTTTACATAATGGTAACAAAAAACTGAGCCTAATTTGTCTCTTCCAGTAAAAGTATTTGAGAAATTTTCCATTGCCCAATACCTTCCCATGATGGAAAATACACTGCATGGAAGGTATGTGTAAATATTTGATTCGTGTTTTACTGATTTCAGTGTCACAACCTAGCAATCATTAACACTTCGAAAAACATACACCTGGTTAGTTGTTTCCAAAGTACATTCTCTCTCTGAAGGCTTTTCAGACTCCTAGAATTAGAGAGGTCCCTAGCGAGAACCCAGTCTAATCTTTTAATGTCATAGGCAATGAAACCAAGACCGAGAATGTTTGGGTAACTTTCACACAGTCCTCCAACCTTAGCTGGGTCCTAGGACCGAGATCTTCAGGCTTTCAACTCAGTTCTTTTTTTAACATAAGTGCAGAATTACTGTTTACCCTTTGTTCTGAAGGAAGGTATATATAAACACGGTAACAATGTCATAGTTGTAGAAACTGAAGTGAAAAAAATCTAGAAAATTATAGGCACAGCATTTGTTTCCAACGCTAATATATATGGTCACTTTATAAAATGAAAGGCTAGCCGGGCCCGATGGCTTATGCCTGCAATTCCAGCACTTTGGGAGGCCGAGGTGGGTGGATCACCTGAGGTCGGGAATTCGAGACCAGCCTGACTAACATGGAGAGACCCCGTCTATACTAAAAATACAAAATTAGCCGGGCGTGGGGGCACATGCCTGTAATCCCAGCTACTCGGGAGGCTGAGGCAGGAGAATCGCTTGAACCCCAGAGGTGGAGGCTGCAGTGAGCTGAGATAGTGCCATTGCACTCCAGCCTGGGTAACAAGAGGGAAACTCTGTCTAAAAATAAATAAATAAATAAATAAAAATAAAAATAAATGAAATTATAATCACTGGAGAAAGAATTGTGAAAATAATAGCTTGACCTTGTGCTACTATGACATTAAATAAAGGTTTCCAACCTAGTGCCTTGTAGATGGTAAATATGTGAAAGTATTAGTTAAATCTGATTTGAATTTATTTTAATTAATTAATTAATTTATTTATTTGAAATGGAGTCTCACTTTGTAGCCCAGGCTCGAGTGCAGTGGTGCAATCTCAGCTCACTGCAACCTGTGCCTCTTGGCTTCAAGTGATTCTCCTGCCTCAGCCTCCTGAGTAACTGGGATTACAGGCACCCACTACCATGTCTGGCTAATTTTTTGTATTTTTAGGAGAGACGGGCTTTCACCACATTGGCCACGCTGGTCTTGGACTCCTGACTTCAAGTAATCTGCCTGCCTCGGCCTCCCAAAGTTCTGGAATTACAGGCGTAAGCCACCATGCCCGGCCTGATTTGAATTTAAAAACCTAAATTCCAGATAGAAAAATACCTGGATTATTGGATTGCCAGACTATATTTTAATTTAATTTATTATTTTTTGAGACAGGGTCTGGTTTTGTTGCCCAGGCTGGAGTGCAGTGGTGCAATCTTGGCTCACTGCAGCCTCCACCTCCTGGGTTAAAGTGATTCTTGTGCCTCAGCCTCCCGAGTAGCTGGGACTACAGGCATGTGCCACCACGACTGGCTAAATTTTGTATTTTTATTAGAGATGGGGTTTCACCATGTTGGCCAGGCTGGTCTCGAACTCCTGACCTCAAGTGATCCACCCGCCTCGGACTCCCAAAGTGGTGGATTACGGGTGTGAGCCACCACGCCCGGTCCAAACTATATTTTTAGAAAGTAGAAATATATCTACAAGATGACAAAATAACAGTATGAAAGAAAATCAGTCAAACCAATATTTGGTGTAGTGTGGACTAAGCAACCACTTGTTAGGCATTTAAAATATCAATGGTCTCTAAATGATGAGGGTGAGAATGAGGGGAATGCTCCAGGTGAGCAGCATTCCTTAATGAGGTCAAGCATTTTGACTTTTGAATAAGGTTGTTTTCTCCATATTAAGGTGGAGAAGCAGTACAATGAAATGGGTAGAGGTTCAGGAACTCTGAACTGTTTTGTTGGAAACTTTTGCTCAGGGTAAAGCCTACAGAATTCCTTGAGTAACTCATTCAGAGAAGCCTGCAACAATGTGCTTGGAGCCTGATCTAGTGGCAAAGAATTTCTTCCCTTCTCTGCTTTCTTCCCTTCTCTGCTTTGATGAAGGGGGTGCTATAAAATGGCTCCTAAGCCTCTTGTTCTTTGGCCAGTGCCAGAATTTTCAGTCTGTTAGGAACAGAGGCTACGTCTGGTGACAGACCCATAGCCCAAGCTCTAAGGAGCTGCTGCAGAATGAGGAGGCTCTATTGAGTATGAGGGGCAGTGTGGTATATTCCAGGGAGCACAACTTACAGGTTTACTCTCTTCTGTGACATGAACTAATAACTGTCAACCTGAACAAAAAAACTGAGGCAAACAAGAAGATCGTTTGTGTGGTGGCTCATGGCTGTAATCCCAGTACTTTGGGAGGCTGAGGGGCGCTTGAGTCTAGGAGTTTGAGACCAGTCTGGGCAACATAGGCAGACCCTCGTCTCTACCAAAAAAAAAAAAAAAGTATATATATATATATATATATATATATATATATATATATATGTATATTTCTGCCAAGTTTGAGGTCTGCAACCTGGGAGTATAGACTCAAGGTGCCCTGAAGATATGCTCCAATTAGCAGAAGTTACAAGTGAGTTTTAATTTTTTAACTTTTACTTTTTTTTTTAGATGGAGTCTCCCACTGTCCCCAGGGCTGGAGTACAGTGGCGTGATCTTGGCTCACTGCAACCTTTACCTCCCGGATTCAAGGGATTCTCCTGCCTCAGCCTCCCAGGTAGCTGGGATTACAGGTGCCCACCATCAGACCTGGCTAATTTTTTTGTATTTTTAGTAGAGACGGGGTTTCACTATGTTGGCCAGGCTGGTCCCGAACTCCTGATCTTGTGATCCACCCACCTTAGCCTCCCAAAGTGCTGGGATTACAGGCGTGAGCCACTGCACCTGGCTCTTGTTTTTAATAATCAAAAGTTAATTTTTTTTCTTTTTGAGACAGGGTCTCGCTGTGTTGCCCAGTGTGGTCTTGAACTCCTGGGCTCTAGTGATCCTCCTGCCTCAGCCTCCCAAAGTGCTGGGATGATAATCCTGAGCCACTGTGCCTCTGGGCCACAGATGAGTTTTTATTTATTTTTATTTTTATTTTGAGACGGAGTTTCACTCTTGTTGCCCAGGCTGGAGTGCAATGATGCGATCTCAGCTCACTACAACCTCTGCCTCCCGGGTTCTAGTGATTCTCCTGACTCAGCCTCCCAAGTAGCTGGGATTACAGGCACATGCCACTGTGCCCACCTAATTTTGTATTTATAGTAGAGACGGGGTTTCATCATGTTGGTCAGGCTGGTCTTGAACTCCTGACCCCAGGTGATCCATCCGCCTCGGCCTCCCAAAGTGCTAGGATTACAGGAGTGAGCCACCTCGCCCCACTCACAAATGAGTTTTTAAATGAAAAAAGAAGAGGGGATTTCTAAGTTGTTTTACGAGAATTTATATTAAAATAGCTTAAGCTATTGATTGGCTATGCATTGTTCTTTGTATCACAAATGCCAGGTACCTGAAGATAATGGGTGAGGCAGTTTGGTCAGAAACAAAATCCCTTTCAGAAATTGCCCTTGGGCATGGGTGCTGGTGTGGGAGGATAGGGAGAGTGAAGTCCCATATTCCTGTCTTTCTGAACTGGATAAAGTTTGCATGTCTCACATAGCTCAGAATGCGCTGAGCTATTTGTTTTTTCCTTGTAACTGAGATCCAGTTGGTTCTATTGGTGGGATGTTGTGGCTAACTTCCTTATAGAAAATGTAAAAACTTGGCCAGGCGTGGTGGCTCACGCCTGTAATCCCAGCACTTTGGGAGGCCAAGGTGGCTGGATCACCTGAGGTCACAAGTTCAAGACCAGCCTGGCCAACGTGGTGAAACCCTGTCTCTACCAAAAATACAAAAATTAGCCGGGCGTGGTGGCAGGTGCCTGTAATCCCAGCTACTTGGGAGGCTGAGGCAGGAGAAACACTTGAACTCAGGACGTGGAGGTTGCAGCGAGCAGAGATTGCCATTACACTCCAGCCTGGGTGACAGACAAAGACTCCGTCTCAAAAAAAAAAAAAAAAAAAGAAAAAGAAAAAAAGAAAACGTAGGGCCAGGCGCGGTGGCTCACGCCTGTAATCCCAGCACTTCGGGAGGCTGAGGCAGATGGATCACGAGGTCAAGAGTTCAAGAACAGCTTGGCCAAAATGGTGAAACCCCATCTCTACTGAAAATACAAAAATTAGCCGGGGATGGTGGCGGGCGCCTGTAATCTCAGCTACTTGGGAAGCTGAGGCAGAGAACTGCTTGAACCCGGGAGGCGGAGGTTGCAGTGAGCTGAGATCACGCCACTGCACTCCAGCCCTTGTGACAGAACAGGACTCTGTCTCAAAAAAAAAAAAAAAAAAAAGAAAATGTAAAAACTTCTAGTATAGAGCTGGCCTCAAGCCTCTTATCTGTTAACGACTAAATTACTAGTTTACTTAAGCTGAAATTAGTCAACTGGGAATCAAAAAAGAACTGGGGTTTAATATTGATGTCCATAGAAATGTGGTAAGAATTTATTTTTTCTCCAGTACCTATCCAAGGAAATTAAAAGTGTTTCAATCTGTATTTAAACTTCCCTCATGCAAAATGCTAATAGCCTTACTGTGGTCCCATAACGGTGACAGGAAAAAACACACATTATTTTGAGTATTTAATTTACATTAGATGGTAAATGAATAAAAAAGACACTAAAAATATTAAAATCTGAACATATTTGAGAAGTAGCATCAGGAGAACACTAAAAGCTCTGGAAACAGGCTGAATGGAGAGGCAGCAAGGGGCAGTATTGAATGCTCTGTATCAGTTTTCCTACATGTAAATTGGGGATAATAACTGTACCTAGTTTATTGAATTGTTTTGAGGATTAATTATAATGACGGCCGGGCGCGGTGGCTCACGCCTGTAATCCTAGCACTTTGGGAGGCCGAGGCAGGTGGATCACGAGGTCAGGAGACCGAGACCATCTTGGCTGACACAGTGAAACCCTGTCTCTACTAAACAAAATACAAAAAATTAGCCGGGCGTGGTGGCGGGCGCCTGTAGTTCCAGCTACTTGGGAGGCTGAGGCAGGAGAATGGTGTGAACCCGGGAGGCGGAGCTTGCAGTGAGCCGAGATCCCGCCACTGCACTCCAGCCTGGGCAACAGAGCGAGACTCTGTCTCAAAAAAAGAAAAAATTATAATGACAGATGTTTGTTCAAAGTAAAAGAACAGAAAACAATATACCATGCAAACAAAAAAAAAAGCAGGGTGGTTCTATTAAAATCAGAGTTGACATTATGATAAAAAATATTACCAGGGGTAATGAAGAACATTACATTACAATAAAGGGATCAGTTGAAGAAGACCTGGCAATCCTAAGTGTATATGCACTAAAAACAGAGCTCCTAAATACCTGAAGTAAAACACTTAGAGAACTGAAAGGAGAAATATATAAATCTACAATTGTAGTTGTATATATCAACTCTTTTTTTTAGTAACTAATAGAACACATAGAGAGAAAATTAGAAAGGACATAGAAGACAACCAACATGATCTGTTTATTTATAGAAAACTCCATGTAACAGCAGCAGAGTACATATTCTTTTCAAGTGCAAATGTAACATTCACCAAGATAGACCATATTCCAGGCCATACAAATCTCATTAAACTTAACTGAATTGAGATAAAATAATACAATGTATGTTCTCTGGCCAAAAGAAAATAGAAATAGAAATTAATTACAGAAAGATATATTAAAAATCTCCAAATATTAAAAAACTAAACACTATGCTTTTAATAAAATACGAGTCAAAGAAGATACCATAGTTAAAATTATAAAATATTTTGAATGAAACCAAATGAAAACAAAACCTATTAGGATTTGTTAGTGTGACCCAAACAGCACTTGGTTGGAAAGTTATAACATTAAATGCATATATTCAAAAAGAAGAAAGTTCTCACATTAATGATCCAAGCTTCAATCTTAACATACTAGAAAAAAAGGGGCAAATTAAGGCTAAAGTAGGCATAAAGAAGAAAGTAATAAAAATAAGAGATGAAATCAATAAGATAGAAAGCAGAAAAAAGAAGAAAAAAAATGGAATGCAACACTACTTCTTTGCAAAGATCAATACAACTGATAAACTTGTAGCCAGACTGACAGAAAAGAGAGAGACAGAGAGAGAGAGAGAGAGAGAGAAAGATAACATACCAATATTAGGAATAAAATCGGGGACATCATTACATTTCCTACAAATACTTAAAAAAAATAAATATATTATGAATTTTTTTCAATATATTTGAAAACAGATGAGCTTTGCAAATTCCTTTGAAGTCACAAACTACCAGAGTTTACTCAAGAAGAGACAGAAAATCTGAATAGCCTAATAAAATCCATAAAAGTCACAGTGAAAAATTTTTCTGCAAAGAAACCCCAGGTTGCTGGGTGTGGTGGCTCATGCCTGTAATCCCAGCAACTCCAGAGGCTGAGGCAGGAGTATTGCTTCAGCCCACGAGCTTGAGGTTGCAGTGAGCTATGATTGCGCCACTGTACTCCAGTCTAGGTGACAGAGGACAATCCTGTCTCTAAAATAAAGAATAATAAACAAACAAACGAAAAACCAACAAAGAAAACTCCAGGCTCAGACAGTTTGGTGAAACCTACCAAACATTTGATTTAAAGAAAAAATACTAATTCTCCACAAACTCTTCCGGAAAATAAAAAAGGAGAGATCATGTCCCAACTCACTTTATGGGACCAGCATTACTCTAATGAAGACCTTAAAAAAAAAAAAAAAAGACAAGAAAACAAAATTCTAATATTTCTCATAAACAAAGATGCAAAAATTCTTAACAGAGTATTTTTTTCCTTCTAATCAATGGAATCCAAACTATTACAGAATTAAATTCAGTGATATATAAAAAGTAATAGATCATGTCCAAGTGAGTTTATTCTAGGAATTTAAATTTAGTTTAAAAATTTTAAATCCATCAAAATAATACACATCAACAGACGAAAAATTGTGTGACCATCTCAATTGATGCATAAGATATATGTATGCATTTTTTATGTTACTTTTTTCTTTTTTTTTAATTAATTTTTATTTTACATTCAGAGGTACATATGCAGGTTTGTTACATAGGTAAACTTGTGTCATGGGGGTTTGTTGTACAGATTATTTCATCACCCAGTTATTAAGCCTTGTACCCATTAGTTATTTTTCCTGATCCTCTCCCTCCTCCTACCCTCCACCCTCTAATAGGCCCCAGTTTGTGTTGTTCCCCTCTGTGTTTCCATGTGTTCTCATCATTTAACTCCCACTTACAAGTGAGAGCTACAACTATGTGGTATTTGGTTTTCTGTTCCTGCATTAGTTTGCTAAGGATAATGGCCTCTAGCTCCACCCATGCCCCTGCAAAGGACATGATCTCATTCTTTTATACAGCTGCATAGTGTTCCATGTTGTATATGTACCACATTTTCTCTACCCAGTCTATCTTTGATGGGCATTTATGTTGAATTAATGTCTTCTTTGCTATTGTGAATAGTGCTGCAATGAATATACACATGTATGTGTCTTTATAATAGAATGATTTATATTCCTTTGAGTGTATATCCAGTAATGGAATTGCTGGGTCCAATGGTATTTCTATTTTTAGATCTTTGAGGAATCATCACACTGTCTTCCACAATGGTTGAACTAATTTACACTCCCACCAACAGTGTATGATTTTTTTCATTTAGCTGTCTTTTTTTCATTTAGCTGTTTTTTAATCTTAAATTTATTTTAATCAATGAAAACATTTAAAATAGTATTACTAGACATAAAAAAGGAGTGCCCTGTCCCTTTTGATTTTTGCTTTCTTGAAAACCATTACAGCCGGGTGTGGTGGCTCACACCTGTAATCCTAGCACTTTGGGAGGCCAAGGCCAGGGGGATTGTCTGAGCTCAGGAATTCGAGACCAGCCTGGGCAACATGGCGAAACCTTATCTCTACCAAAAATACAAAAAATTGGCCAGGTGTGATGGCGTGCACCTGCAGTCCCAGCTACTCAGGTGGCTGAGACAAGAGAATCACTTGAACCCAGGAGGTGGAGGTTGCAGTGAGTCAAGACTGCCCTGCTACACTCCAGTCTGGGCCACAGAGCAAGACTCAGTCTAAAAAAAAAAAACCATTATAATCTTTTTCAATTTTTAGCTGTTTTGTTCTTGTTTTTTGCTTTTTTATTTACCTTTATGTTCATAGATAACATGTTTACTAACGTTTTTTAAAAAATTATTTTTCTTTTCTTTTTTTTTTTGAGGTGGAGTTTAGTTTTGCTCTTGTTGCCCAGGCTTGAGTTCAGTGGCACAGTCTTGGCTCACTGCAACCTCTGCCTCCGGATTCAAGAGATTCTCCTGACTCAGACTCCTGAGTAGCTGGGATTACAGGGCCTGCCACCACACCTTGCTTATTTTTAAATTTTATTTATTTATTTATTATTTATTTTTGAGATGGAGTCTCACTCTGTCGCCCAGGCTGGAGTGCAGTGTGCAATCTCTGCTCACTGCAACCTTTGCCTCCCAGGTTCAAGCGATTCTCCTGCCTCAGCCTCCTGAGTAGCTGGGATTACAGGTGCTCACCACCATGCCTGGCTAATTTTTTTTTTTTTTTTTTTGCATTTTTTAGTAGAGATGGGGTTTCACCATGTTGGCCAGGCTGGTCTAGAACTCCTGACCTCATGTGATCCACCCGCCTCAGCCTCCCAAAGTGCTGGGGTTACAGGCGTGAGCCACCATGCCTGGCCATTTTTCAATTTTAGACATTATTAATTGGTTTTCTACTAAGGAAGATGAGGGCTTTGTTCTTTTTCTCAGACTCTCTCTCTCACACACACATTCAGATACATGCTTCTCCATGTCTCACACATTCCCTAAAAAGGGTATGTTTTCATTTGATAAATAATTGTGTTTATGTTATTATGTGACAGCTCATTATTTTCAGCTAAGCCACATAGTGGCTTACATTACTTGTTCAACTAGTTGTATATTCTATTTAGTATTGTTCAGTGTTAGTGTTTTGTTTCTGTTGTTTCTTAGGATCCAACCACTATTTTATCCTGAAACTACCTACGACTGAAAAATCTTTTCTGAATAGCCTCAAACATCAGATACTCATTTTTGTTTTCTTTCTCTGGGGGGATACCCTTTCTTTTATCTTCTTGATCCAGTTTGGACTGGTTGTTTTCTAGGAATTTTGAACAATTGCCATTTTGAATTTCTAGTCACCATTATCCCAGATTATTTCTTTCTTTTCTTTTTTTTTTTTTTGACGGAGTCTCGCTCTGTTGCCAGGCTGGAGGGCAGTGGTGTGATCTCGGCTCACTGCAACCTCTGCCTCCTAGGTTCAAGTGATTCTCCTGCCTCAGCCTCCTGAGTAGCTGGGACTACAGGCACCCACCACCACGCCCGGCTAGTTTTTGTATTTTTAGTAGAGACAGGGTTTTACCACGTTGGCCTTGATGGTCTTGATCTCTTGACCTTGTGATCCGCCCGCCTCGGCCTCCCAAAGTGCAGGAGCCACCGCGCCCAGCCTGTCTTTTTCTTTTCTTTTATGCTTTTCCTCCTTTGCTTTTATGTTGGCTCTCTCTTTCTCTGCTGTCCTGGTGGGTTTATTTATTTAAAATTTCATAACTGTCATTTTATAGGTACAGTTGTCTCTCTGTGTCTGCAGGGCATTGGTTCCAGGACCTATCCGCAATCCTGCCGCTGGCAGATACCAAAATCCCCAGAACTCAAGTTCCTTATATAAAATGGCGTAGTATTTGCATGTAACCCAGTTACATCCTTCCAATATACTTTAACTCATCTCTAAATTACTTATAATATCAAATACAGTGTAAAATGCTATACAAATAGTTGTTATACTGTACTTAAAAATTTGTATTTTTTGTTGTTATGTTGTTATTTTTTCTCTTCTATTTTATCTTGTTAAACACACTTTTAACCTCTGAGTTATTTATTTTTTTTCTGAGTATTTTTGGTCCATGATTGGTTGAATCTGCAAATGTGAAATCCATGACACAGAAGGCAGACTCTATTTGGGGTAGAAGTCAAGATAAAAATGTGAATTTTAACAAAAATGAAAAAAAAGAAGAAAAAAGAAACAAAAAGAATAAGAAGAAAACTACAAAAACAACAATAACAAAAAATAAAAAAATGTGGATTTAATATGCCATGTAACTGGACCAAATTTGTTAACTTTTTTTTTTTAATGATCGAGGGTGTATAATACTTAGGGGTTGGGCCTGCCTGTCTTCTCTCCCTACCTCCCTTTCCAGAGACAGGGAGGGGCAGAGTAGGATCCCTGAGACACCCTCCGTGATAGCTTGTTAATTTTTCATAGATTTCGTTTGAAATGCCCTAGAAAGTTGTCCCTATGACTCATGCTTAAAATACTTAACCTTTCATATGACGTTTAGTAAATAAGGATGAACTCATGGGAGATTTAGGCATAAGCTAAATTTTAGCTTTTCAAACCAATCTGAATAGCTGATTCTCTGATATAAAAGTATAAGATGTCCAGTTGTCCTTTTTGTACATGGTGAGCCTTTTTTGTTTTATATTTTCCTCGTATCACAAAAATTTACTTAGGACATTGTAAAATAACATAGTGAGATAGTAATGTTCTATATTAGCATGGTGTCTTTTATCCAGAAGGTTTGCCAAGTACTTTGTAACTTGAAGGAGAGATTGTTTTGTTCTTAATTTAAAAGCACCTCATTCTGAGATGAAATATTATTATTTTATGAGGCACAACTATACAAAATAATATTTTAATGAAAGAATCATTCTTTTATGGAACTATGAGAATCAGATGAGTATTGCTGACAAATATAATTCACTAGGCTCTTTGAGTTTCTTGTAGGATGGCATCTAAATTTTGTTGGACAACTTATTGGATTTCCTACTTTGAGTTATGGAGAAGTGCCATCATTTAATTATCAATAACATGTTTCATAGCATTCCATACCTGAAATTAGCATCTACAAACTAACTCAAATAGGGAGTTTCATGAAGACTGCCCAAAGGTTAGAGGCACAAATAAATGAAAGATTTTGACATAAAAGTTATTGTAATATTTATTATATTTATAGTTTCCAAAGTAATAGAAATTCCAAGATTGTGACAAGAATATTCTGAAAAATGAATAGGATGCTAACAGTTATTTTGACTCCTTATAGTCATTAGGATAGATTAACAGGGAAATAGATTTAAGAACACTATAAAGATTGTATTTACCTGGACAGTAAATCTTGCTAGACATAACTTTTCATCTTTACTAAGATATTCAAAATAGTTATTTCATATACATATTACTAACTTTTAAAAATCCCAAGTTAATCCCAGTAACATAGAGCCAAGTAAGGTAGCAACACCAGATATTCTATTTTGTAGACTACTATTTCATTTCTAAATATAGCAACACTGCTTATTTGGCAGTCAGACTTCTGGCAACCCAACCTAAACATGCAGCTGTGACTCCAAACATAAATTAAAAAGGCCCCTGAGTGGTCACAATAGATGTCAAAAAAGCCAGAACTTTATTGAGGTAGAGACATGCCAGCCCTCACATTTAGCAGATATTCCATTCCACAACTGTTTATAAAAACAGAAAGGCTGCTATCATTAAGCACACCGACAGCAGAGTCTGCATTAGTTTAGCAAGATTTCCAAAACGAACCAACAAACTTGTTTTGCTGTTAACTGCTATCCAATGCTAAAGTGATTCTTGTTGAGCTTAACTTTTTTTTAATTTTTTTGAGACGGAGTTTCACTCCTTTTGCCCAGGCTGGAGTGCAACGGCACGATCTCGGCTCACTGCAACCTCCGCCTCCTGGGTTCAAGTGATTCTCCCGCCTCAGCCTCCTGAGTAGCTGGGATTACAGGCTCCCGCTGCCACACCTGGCTAATTTTGTATTTTTAGTAGAGACAGGATTTCTCCAAGTTGGGCAGGCTGGTCTCAAACTCCCAACCTCAGGTGATCCACCTGCCTCAGCCTCCCAAAGTGCTGGGATTACAGGCATGAGCCACTGCTCCCGGCCGTACTTACTTTTTTCAACTATACTGTATTTTTCTTGGGTCAAGTAAGACCACCAACTCACATCAACTTAACAGCCAGCATGAACTGAAAAGCTCAAGGTCATGTTAGAAATCTTTCAAAACTCATAGGTTAGGAAATAGAATGATAATGCCTTACATAATTGATGGCAAATTTATTCACTCAACAAACATTGTATTGGGTGCATACTATGTGCTCGTTGCTGTTCTACTGAAGAGGTTACCTTAGTAAACAAAATCCTTGACCTCGTGAAACTTATATTCTAGCAGAAGGAGGCAGAAAATAAGCATAATAAATTAATAAATGATATCGGGTGTGAAGTTCTTAAATATTATGACAGGGTAGAGGGAGATAGATTAAGCTCTGGGGGTGGGAATGTGCTTGGTATGTTTGAGAAACTGTGAGAAGGCCCATTTCCTGGGCAGAGTGATGGGGAGGCAATCCAGTCAGTGAGGTGAGAGGGCATGCCATCATGTACACTGTTCGTTTTTTTTTTTTTTTTTTTTTGAGACACAGTCTCGTCGCCCAGGCTGGAGTGCAGTGGCCGATCTCTGCTCATTGCAAAATCTGCCTCCCAGGTTCAAATGATTCTCCTGCCTCAGCCTCCTGAGTAGTTGGGACTACAGGAATGTGCCACCATGGCCCGGCTAATTTTTGTATTTTTAGTAGAGATGGGGTTTCACCGTATTGGCTGGGCTGGTCTCGAACTCCTGACCTCGAGTGACCTGCCTGCCTCAGCCTTCCAAAGTGCTGGGATTACAGGCGTGAGCCACGACACCCGGCTGATCATGTACACTTTGTAGGCCATTGTCAAGATGCTTTTACTTGGAGTGTGATGATGGAGAGGTCATGGGGCGGTGGGGGTTGAGATGTCTGAGATACTTCAGAAGGATCACTATGGCTGTGTTATGAATGGAGAATAGATGATAAGGAACCTAGGGTGGAAAGAAGAACACAGTTGGCAGGCAATTGTAGTAATTCAGATGAGAGTTTATAAAGCTTCCAAACATATTAAGTATTTTATTATAAACAAAAGTCTCTAAATCTATGCTGATATTGAAGGTAATGACCACACATTCTTAATTCTTATACAAGGCATGAGATTCTTCTTTTTTATTTTTATTAT
The DNA here is from genome assembly GCF_000001405.40 of Homo sapiens. NCBI lineage: Eukaryota > Metazoa > Chordata > Mammalia > Primates > Hominidae > Homo > Homo sapiens. The sequence goes on along the minus strand of NC_000006.12, from coordinate 63,445,624 downwards.
TTTTTTTGAGACAGGGTCTTGTTCTGTCACCCAGGCTGGAGTGCAGTGGCAGGATCTCTGCTCACTGCAACCTCCACCTTCCAGGTTCAAGCGATTCTTGTGCCTCAGCCTCCCAAGTAGCTGGGACTACAAGCGCCTGCCACCACACTGGCTATTTTTTTGTATTTTCATTAGAGATGGGGTTTCACCATGTTGGCCAGGCTGGTCGCGAGCTCCTGACCTCAAGTGATCTGCCCGCCTTGGCCTCCCAAAGTGCTGAGATTACAGGCGTGAGCCACCGTGCCTGACCAGCATGAGATTATTTTTATTTTTTTGAGACGGAGTCTCCCTCTGTCACCCTGGATGGAGTGCAATGACGCGATCTCTGCTCATTGCAACCTCTACCTCCCAGCTTCAAGTGATTCTCCTGCCTCAGCCTCCTGAGTAGCTGGGATTACAGGCACCTGCCACCACACCCAGCTAATTTTTGCATTTTTTGTAGAGATGGAGTTTCACCACGTTGGTCAGGCTGGTCTCGAACTCCTGACCTCAGGTGATCCGCCCACCTCGGCCTTCCAAAGTGCTGGGATTCAGGCAAAAGCCACCGCGCCAGGCTATGAGATTCTTATACAAGAGTGTCTGCCCTGCAAATGGCACTTTTCCATGGAAGCTACCCATGCCCAGACCTTGCATCAGCTCAACTGTTTTGGACAAAGTGACCTTGTCCTTTCCCTCCTTCCAGCCTTTCGTTGGTTGGCTACAGAGGGAATTGGACTCAAGCACAGTCAGCCATGGCATGCTAGTTCTTCAGGAGTGGGCCTGGGAAAAAAGGCTCCATCTAAGTATTTTTGTGCTGATTCAACCAGATTCTTCTCAGGGATTTAACTGAGAAGAATGAAAAGAAAACCAGTTGATAACAGTAAAAGAAGGGGTCAGACAGGAGCAGATATGTTAACGGTGGAATGTTAGAGTAAGAAAAATTCATAAAGTCCTGCTTCTCAGGTCCCTAGGGAAGTTTAAAAATCTGAATGGCCTTCTAGTTTCTGGCTCTATGAGGCAGATTCTAAGTGATTCCTGCTTTCCCTGAGTTCCGTGTATGTGTTAACTTATATTGCTATCCTTCCTCATGTTACACTACTTTGAATAAACAGAATACATCTCTATTCCTTACATATAAAGAGCCCAACAGAAATTACAACCACTTGTGTAACAGTCTTCTTGCATTAGTAATCATCTATCAATGATTTTAGTCTATCACACATTGGGAAAGATTTTCACTGTCTACATCATTAATGTGTAGTGGAGAACACAGAATTTGAAGCTAGCCTCCCTGAGTTCAAATGCCAGCTCCATCCCTTGCCAGTTTTGTTATCTTGGGCAAAGAATTTAACTCATCTTTCTGTTTCCATATCTATTTTTTTTTTGAAAAAGAGATAACATACTACTTAGAGTTGTTGAGAAGATTAAATGAGTGAATACTGAAAGCTCTCAGACAGTGCCTGGTGCATAATAAAGACTCGAGAGGCATCATCATCCAGTAATGAAACAAGCCATTACTTCTAGATGATAAAAAATTCTCTGGGTGACTCCTATTATGAGTTGGTTAACTGCTATTAGTTAGGACAGTGGCATTTTTTGTTTAATTACTTAGATTCCTTCAAAATAGTTAGATAATTCCCATACCCTATTGGCATGTTTCATAAAGGTCTCATGACACTTTTTTTTTTTTTTGGTGACAGCTGACCATTTAGTAGAAATGAGCCTTTACACAGCTTTGTGTAACAACTAGAAATGGCTATGTTTTCTTTCTCCCCACCCCCAAGCCTATTCCTTTAGGCATGCAGGTAACTGTCCCCCACCACCTCCCATTTCTCCTCATTCCACCAGGAAACCCTGACTAAGGAATGAAGAAGTCCTACAAAGAGGAGGTCTCAAGTACCAATCAGCAGCCATTTGATGATGGCAGGTAGGTCTGATGCTAAAAAGAGTTTGTGTCCAGCAGAGCCCAATTCCATAGGAATCCAAGCTCCAAGGCTGGGAGGCAGCAGGTGCTGGGGACAAGCTCACTGCTGAGAGTCGGTCTGGAGGATCTCATGGTGGTGCAGACCCTGGACCACATTGTCACAGATGGTGTTCACGCTGGTGCAAAGGTGAGAGGTGACAATGTGCTAGCAGCCCTCACTTGCTCTTGGTGCCTCCTCGGCCTTGGCATCTGCTCTGGCCGCACTTGAGGAGCCCTTCAGCCCACCGCTGCACTGTGGGAACCCCTCTCTGGGCTGGCAGAAGCTGGAGCTGGCTCCCTTTGCGTGCAGGGAGGTGTGGAAGGAGAGGCGCGGGTGGCAACCAGGGCTGCGTGCTCGCGGGCCAGCACCAGTTCCAGGTGGGCGCGGGCTCGGCAGGCCCCGCACTCAGAGCAGCCTGCCAGCGCCACTGGCGCTGGGCAATGAGGGGCTTAGCATCCGGGCCAGTAGCTGTGGAGGGGGCACCGGGTCCCCCAGCACTGCTGGCTTGTCCGCACCCGGCTTGAATTCTTACCAGGCCTCAGCCACCTCCCCATGGGGCAGGGCTCAGGACCTGCAGCCTGCCATGCCTGAGCCCCCACGCGGTGGGCTCCCACATGGTCCGAGCCTCCCTGACGGGCACCGCCGCCTGCTCCACAGTGCCTGGTCCCATCGCCAAGGGTTGAGGAGTGTGGGTGGGTGACTGGTGGGCAGCTCCACCCGTGGTCCTGGCGTGGGATCCACTAGGCGAAGCCAGCTGGGCTCCTGAGTTGGGTGGGGATTTGGAGAACTTTTATGTCTAGCTGGAGGATTGTATATGCACCAATCAGCACTCTGTGTCTAGCTCGGGGTTTGTGGATGCACCAATCAGCACTCTGTATCTAGCTAATCTGGTGGGGACTTGGAGAACTTTTATGGCTAGCTAAAGGATTGTAAATGCAGCAATCAGCACTCTGTGTCTAGCTCAAGGTTTGTAAATGCAGCAATCAGCACTCTGTGTCTAGCTCAAGGTTTGTAAACGTACCAGTCAGCACTCTGTGTCTAGCTCAAGGTTTGTAAACACACCAATCAGTGCTCTGTGTCTAGCTAATCTAGTGGGGACTTGGAGAACTTTTATGTCTAGCTAGAGGATTGTAAGTATACCAATCAGCACTCTGTGTCTAGGTCAGGGATTGTAAATGCACCAATCAGGACCCTGTCAAAACGGACCAATCAGCTCTCTGTAAAATGGACGAATCATCAGGATGTGGGTGGGGCCAGATAAGGGAATAAAAGCAGGCTGCCCGAGCTAGCAGCAGCAACCCGGTCAGGTCCCCTTTTGTGCTGTGGAAGCTTTGTTCTTTCTCTGTTTGCAATAAATCTTACTGCTGCTCACTCTTTGGGTCTACGCCGCCTTTATGAGCTATAACACTCACCGTGAAGGTCTGCATCTTCACTCCTGAAGCCAGTGAGACTACGAACAAACGCATTGGGAGGGACGAACAAACGCATTGGGAGGGACCAACAACTCCGGACATGAGGAACAAACAACTCCAGATGCGCTGTCTTTAAGAGCTGTAACACTCACAGCAAAGGTCTGCGCCTCACTTCTTAAGTCAGTGAGACCACAAACCCACCAGAAGGAAGAAACTCCGGACGCATCTGAACATCTGAAAGCACAAACTCTGGACACACCATCTTTAAGAACTGTAACACTCACCGCGAGGGTCCGCAGCTTCATTCTGGAAGTCAGCAAGACCAAGAACCCATTATTCCGGACACAAAGGGGCAGCTGCTGTAGCTGTGTCACCTGACAAGCAACCAGCGCCCCCGCTGCACAAAGCAGCAGCAGCAGCAGTTTCAGCACAGCCCAGAAACGAGTGTGCTTCCGGGGGAGTGGCTTGCAGGGGCAGGATTCGGACTTAGATTTGGGGGCCTAATTTGTTTCCTTGGTAGGTATGATCTGCTCCCGCTTGGCTGCTTTGAGGGCATCATACTCCTTTCTCTGGCACTCTTTCTCCTCTGCCTTCTCCCGCTTCCGCATTTCCTCTCCTGAGCTTCCTTAGCTCGCTGCTTTGCCTCATACTTCTCTGCCTCTCGTTCTACTTCCAACCCTGCTGCCTCTCCCACTTGTGGTCTGTCTGTACAGCCTTCATGTGTTGTGATGCCTTGTTTGCATGCTGTTTCCATGGCTTCTCACCCAAGCAATCACCTGCCACCTTGGCCAGGCCGGGATCCAGAGGTTATTCTTCAGGTCCAGCCACTTCAGGTTCTTCAGCTGAGCAAAGCTGACGACAAGGTGACCAGCCTGTTGTTGAGGAGAGCCAGGTGCTGGAGGTTGACCAAACGGCCCAAGTCTGCTGGTGGGTGCTGCGGCTTGTTCTTTCTAAGGTCTAGCTTCGCCAGGTGTGTGAGGCCACAGAAATCCGACGGGAGAATAGTCATTATTTATTTTTTTGAGATGGAGTTTCACTCTTGTTGCCCAGGCTGGAGTGCAATGCGCAATCTCGGCTCACTGCAACCTCGGCCTCCCAGGTTAGAGCGATTCTCCTGCCTCAGCCTCCCGAGTAGCTGGAATTACAGGCATGCACCACCACGCCTGGCAAATTTTTTTTGTATTTTAGTAGAGACAGGGTTTCTCCGTGTTGGTCAGGCTGGTCTTGAACTTCTGACCTCAGGTGATCCGTCCTCCTCGGCCTCTCAAAGTGTTGGGATTACAGGCGTGAGCCACCGTGCCCGGCACAATAGTCATTTATTACAAGACAGATCCAGTGTGGTAGTCTTTGGAAGGGCAGCCAGCTCCTTGACCGGGTCTTCATCCAGGTTGCTGAGGCTCAGGTCCTGTTTGTTGCTGTCCAGCTGGTGGCGGAGGTTTCCGCCCTCGCTATCTGCGTTGGTCATGGTGACGGTCGGCTGAACGGACCTGGCTCCAGGGTTTTGATGGGTGGGGGTAAATGAGCTGAAATGCCGCTGGTCAGTTCAGCGGGCCCCCACCCAACCCACCACACCTGAGCCCTCTGTCGCCTCTGGTGCCTACACCTTGTTAATTTTAGACAAATGGATATCTAGGGAAAGGAGAAACAGGCAGTCATAGCTGTAGAGTGCCTGCTCTATACAGGAAGGAAATTGTTTGGTACTGGGGAAGGTGATACTATTGTAGAAAAACCGGGTTCTCAATACACGATCAGGAAAATTTAGGCAGACAGACACATTATAGGGTTTATTCGGTGAAGAGAAAAAAAGGAAAGAGGAATTCTCAGCAAAGTGAGAAAGAGTCCTGATAGCAGGTTTCCTGCCTCACAGATTGAATGCCAAGTCACCACACAGGAACTGAGGAGGCCAGGCTCCTCCACCTACAAACGGCCTGAACTTCGCGAGGCTCCACCCCGTCCTCCCAGGGCGTAGGTGGGCATTATGCAGGGAGAATCAGTCAGGAAAGGGCAGCCTTCATCCGGGACCAGCAGTCTGGTTTTAGGCTTGAAGGCAGCCAGGGTTTCCCCAGGGTCCCTTGGCTGTCTGCTGTCCCTATCAATACTGACATACAAAAAACTCAGAACTTACAAGTAGAATCTGAACTCCATGAGGACTTAGAAGACTGTTTTAGTGGTGGAGGAACCTATGTTTGTCTTTTTAAAACAGATACCAGCACCTGGAATATAGTAGACAATAAATATTTTTTGAATGAATGTTGAATAAATGAAAAATAAGCACAATGAACAAAAAGGCAGAGATTTCAAAGCTAGAAGAGATGTATAAATGAAGGGCTATAGAAACATAAAAGAATGGATAATAAATTCTGACCACATTGGAGTATGTGTATATAGAGAGAAGGTTCGATATCTGAATTGGACCTTAAAGAAGAGTAGAGCTTTGACAAATGATGCAGTGGGGTGGGACTTAAAGGGAGAGCTTTTCTACCAGAGGGAATTCCAAAGAACTAGAGAAGTGAACATGCATATTTAGTCTGGGAAAGAAAATAGATGGGGGGAATTAGAATTGAGAAGAGGTGGAGGACAAGAGTGGTTGGAAGGCAGTGGCAGGAGATGTGCCTGGAAAGACTGTTTGGAACAAGAATGTAAAATGACCTCCTGTCCCATACTTCAGACTTTATTTTACAGGCATGAAATTTAAAAAAATTTTTTTTTTTTTAATGAGACAGAATCACACTCTGTCGCCCAGGCCGGAGTGCAGTGGCACGATCTGGGATCACTGCAACCTCCACCTCCCGGTAGCTGGGATTATGGGCTCACGCCACCACGCCTGGCTAATTTTTGTGTTTTTTTAATTATTATTATTTTTAATTGTATTATTATTATACTTTAAGTTTTAGGGTACATGTGCACAATATGCAGGTTAGTTAACATATGTATACACGTGCCATGCTGGTGTGCTGCACCCATTAACTCGTCATTTAGCTATAGGTATATCTCCTAATGCTATCCCTCCCCACTGCCCCCACCCCACAACAGTCCCCAGAGTGTGATGTTCCCCTTCCTGTGTCCATGTGTTCTCATTGTTCAATTCCCACCTATGAGTGAGAATATGCGGTGTTTGGTTTTTTGTTCTTGCGATAGTTTACTGAGAATGATGATTTCCAATTTCATCCATGTCCCTACAAAGGATATGAACTCATCATTTTTGATGGCTGCATAGTATTCCATGGTGTATATGTGCCACATTTTCTTAATCCAGTCTATCATTGTTGGACATTTGTGTTGGTCCCAAGTCTTTGCTATTGTGAATAATGCCACAATAAACATACGTGTGCATGTGTCTTTATAGCAGCATGATTTATAGTCCTTTGGGTATATACCCAGTAATGGGATGGCTAGGTCAAATGGTATTTCTAGTTCTAGATCCCTGAGGAATTGCTACACTGAATTCCACAAGGGTTGAACTAGTTTACAGTCCCACCAACAGTGTAAAGTGTTCCTATTTCTCCACATCCTCTCCAGCACCTGTTGTTTCCTGACTTTTTAATGATTGGCATTCTAACTGGTGTGAGATGGTATCTCATTGTGGTTTTGATTTGCATTTCTCTGATGGCCAGTGATGATGAGCATTTTTTCATGTGTTTTTTGGCTGCATAAATGTCTTCTTTTGAGAAGTGTCTGTTCATGTCCTTCGCCCACTTTTTGATGGGGTTGTTTGTTTTTTTCTTGTAAATTTGTTTGAGTTCATTGTAGATTCTGGATATTAGCCCTTAGTCAGATGAGTAGGTTGCAAAAATTTTCTCCCATTCTGTAGGTTGCCTGTTCACTCTGATGGTAGTTTCTTTTACTGTGCAGAAGCTCTTTAGTTTAATTAGATCCCATTTGTCAATTTTGGCTTTTGTTGCCATTGCTTTTGGTGTTTTAGACATGAAGTCCTTACCCATGCCTATGTCCTGAATGGTAATGCCTAGATTTTTGTGTTTTTTGTAGAGACAGTTTCACCGTGTAGGTCAGGCTGGTCTCAAACTCTTGACCTCAAGTGATCCACCCACCTTGGCCTCCCAAAGTGTGGGGATTACAGGCATGAGCCACCGCACCTGGCCAAAAATAGTTTCTTTTGAATTATATACATATATACTCATACCGTGTAAGAAATGCCAAATAGTCTTTAGTACAATGTAGACCTAATGAACTGTGAGATTTCAAAAAGTAATTTTCATGGCAGTGTGGACAGAGATTAGAGTACGGAGAGAGACTAAATTTGGGAGAGATAAGTAGGTTATTGTACTATATATATATATTTTTTGAGATAGTCTCACTCTGTCACCAAGGCTGGAATGCAGTGGCGTGATCTCGACTCACTGCAACCTCCGCCTCCGGAGCTCAAGGGATTCTCCTGCCTCAGCCTCCCAAGTAGCTGGGATTACAGGTGCCCACCACCACACCTGGCTCATTTTTGTATTTTCAGTAGAGACAGGGTTTCACTATGTTGGCTAGGCTGGTCTCGAACTCCTGACCTCAAATCCGCCCGCCTCAGCCTCCCAAAGTGCTGGGATTACAGGCGTGAACCACTGTGCCCAGCCTGTACTAATTCTTATGAGAGGAAAAATGCTTTTAGGATTTCTGGAATTTCAGCAAATACATTTTGACTCCAGCAATCATTATAGAATCCTGCTATGGCTTCTACAATTAACAGGGCTTTGAGTTCCTTTTCTTCACTAGAGTCAATTCAAGAAACATTTATTAAGGCCGGCACAGTGGCCCATCCTGGGCGAGAGAGTGAGACTCTGTCTCAAAAAAACAAAAACAAAACAAAAAACAATAAAACCAGAAAGAAAGAAATAGTACTGTGGGGAGTGCAAAGCAATAGAGAGCAAGAAGCGCCAGTCTGCAGGGAGACAGGTATCAGGTTCAGTCATGAATAATGAGGTAGCAAATGTTTAGATCTCCGACAATTTGGCGAAAAAAAAAATGGTATTTTGGTGCAGTTCCTTTCCTTTCATTCCCTTTCCCTTTCCCTTTCCTCTCTTTCTGTCTCCCTCCCTCCCTCCTTCCCTCCTTCCCTCCCTCCCTCCCTTCTCTCTCTTTCTTTCTCCTTTCTTTCTTTTCCTTCTCCCTTTCTTTTCCTTCTCCCTTCCCTCCCTTCCCTTCCCCTCCCCTCCCCTTCCCTTCCCCTCCCTTCCCTTTTCTTTCTTTTTTGACAGAGCCTTGCTCTGTTGCCCAGGCTGGAGTGCAGTGGTGTGATCTTGGCTCACTGCAACCTACACCTCCTGGGTTCAAGTGATTCTCCTGCCTCAGCCTCCCGAGTAGCTGGGATTACAGGTGCATACCACCATGCCCAGCTATTTTTTTGTATTTTTGGTAGAGATGGGGTTTCACCATTTCGCTCAGGCTGGTCTCAAACTTCTGAGCTAAAGCAATCCACCTGCCTCAGCCTCCCAAAGTGTTGGGATTACAGGCATGAGCCACTCTGCCCAGCCTCTAAGAATATCTTTCTTTTCTTCAAAACTGTGGAATTCTTGGGTGTCCAAACCCAATGAGTGTGTTCTTAATCTGGGACAATTCACTCTCTGCCTTTGTGTTAATTCTGAGCCTTGCTGTCTGGGGAATGGTGGCAATTGCCTTCTCGTTTTCAAGGACAGGCAGGGTTCTATGAAGGCAATGTAGGAGGGTAAACATGTAGCAAAGCTGGGGGTGGAGGGTTCCTGGTCACCACAGCCACAGTACTTGCAAATGAAGTGAACCCATTCATTTATTTTGAAAACAGTTGATTTTGAGGTAATGTCTTGTTAATAACCAATGCTATATGATTGTTTTAGAAAAGAAACATTTTGGCCAGGCGCAGTGGCTCATGCCTATAATCCCAGCACTTTAAGAGGTGAGGTGGGTGGATCACCTGAGGTCAGGAGATTGAAACCAGGCTGGCCAACATGGTGAAAACCCGTCTCTATAAAAATACAAAAATTAGCCGGGCTGCTCTCATAAAGTTTACAGTTTAGTAGAGAGACAGAAGTACATAGTATTTCATTTGCTAATAAAAGTTCTGAAGAAAAATAAAGTGATATAAGGAAAAAAGAGAATGAAGATGGTGGTAGGGCTACTTTACATGAGGTGGTCAGCAATGTTCTTCCAGGGAATATGACATTTGAACTTAAAGAAAGTAAGGTGTGAACTTTGTGGGTTTTGGAGGAAAATGTTCCAGTCAAGGATTTAAAAAAACACAAAAAAGAGCAGTATGGCTGGAGCAGAGTGAGCCAGAGGACAGAGATTAGTGATGAAGTTAGGAAGTGGGAATAGTGGTTTTTCTTTTTTTTTTTTTTTTTTTAATTTGGATGATGACTCAAATACTTTATACTATAATCACATACATATTCTTAAAACTGAAAGAAAACTTTCGTGAAACATTTACCATTTTTATTTGCTATGCATTCTAATATTTTTTATTCAATTCAATATTAAATATTCAATTCGATTTTATTTTTAAGAAGATACTGAGTGCGACCCACTAAATTAATTTCATGACCCATAAATGAGCCATGATTCATGGTTTGGAAAATTCTGATAAGGCTTTGTTGACCTGGTAGGATTTGGATTTTATTGAAAATAAAATAAGGAATTATTAGATATTTTTAAGCAGAGAAGTCACACGATCTGACATATTTTAAAAGAATTATTTCATCTGTTTTATGGATAGCAGACCTTGTGGGTGGGTGGGTGAGGGGCAAAGGTGGAAGCTGAGAGATGCGACCATTCAGTTCTTTCTATAACTTTACTTAGCACCATTAGTATTCATCAAACATCTTTTATCACATGTGCTAAGGATACAAAAATAACAACTAGCTTTTATATAGAAGTTTTATAGTTTGTATTAAAATGGATTAACACATGCAAAACTTGACAGAATTGGTGCTCAGTAAACTTCAATTTTCTCTGTCCTTAAGCCTTAATGGAATCTTCTCTTTGGCTGAACAAGGTTGATCTGAAAAGAGTTAAGTTTCTCTATAAATCTCATTTTGTTGTCTAATCTTGGCTGGCCTCAGGCTGTGTTCCTTTGATGCCACACTTATCTTCTTGTATCTGCACCTGCACAGCCAATGTCCTCTGACTCAGATGGCATCTCCGTGGTGGGTCAGGGCTTTCTGTCCTTGATAAAATGGCTCGAGGCACATGATAATTTTGTTATTGCTGCTGATAGCAGAGAAACCCTTAATTGCGTACATATTGCTCCTGAATACATGTAGCTAATGAATGTGAAAACTGCTTTTTTAAGGAGAAAAGTTTCTTTGGCAAAGAAGAGAGAACAGGGAAAAGCTCCTATGGAACTCTTTTAACCCAGAGGGTGCTTGATATTTTCTGTTTCTCATGATGTACCTTTCCTCTTTCTTCACTGTGCGCTGTTTTCCTGAGAGGCTGACTTCTATAAACTTTCCCAAAGGCTGTCTTCCCCTCTGGTTTCAGGTTGGGCTTGGCCAATGGGAGGCACCTGTGGAGATCTGATCATGAGAGGGGAATGGGTTTTGGGTATTTACTGCTCCAGCTTCCTTTTTGTTGGGTTGCCACTCATTAGTTTTGTCTCTCTGCTAAAGGTCATAACTTCTTTCTTTCTTTCTTTTTTTTTTTTTTTTTTTTGAATTTTTAGTAGAGACAGGGTTTCACCATGTTGGCCAGGCTGTTCTCGAACTCCTGACCTCAGGTGATATGACAGCTTTGGCCTCACAAAGTGCTGGGATTACAGACGTGAGCCACGGCACCTGGCCCAAAGGTCACAACTTCTTCTTTTTTTTTTTTTTTTTTGAGATGGAGTCTTGCTCTGTTGCTTAGGCTAGAGTGCAGTGGTGCGATCTCGGCTCACTGCAACCTCCACCTCCTGGGTTCAAGTAAGTCTCCTGCCTCAGCCTCCAGAGTAGCTGGGATCACAGGCGCCCACCACCATGTCTGGCTAATTTTTTGTATTTTTAGTAGGGACGGAGTTTCACCATGTTGGCCAGGCTGGGCTCGGACTCCTGACCTCAGGTCATCTGCCCACATCAGCCTCCCAAAATGCTGGGATTACAGACGTGAGCCACTGCGCCCAGCCAGGTCACAACTTCTGAGGGGGCAGCCCTCTGTGACAACTACAGCTTTTCTTGGTGGATTCTAGTAACTCTCTCTGACCTTTCAGACTAAAGTGTGGTAATGGTTCCTAGTTGTTCTTGGTCCCAGGGAGATGCACCAGCCTTTGTTTCTCTTAACACTGCCTACTCCTTTGTAAAAAAATGTTTTATTGAACTCTGCTCAGTTGTTCCATTTGGTACCTGCTAGTCCCATGACTGGATACACAGAGGTTCCTCCACAGGGAGAGCTGGATGGGAAAGTATACAACTTTTTTACTCAAAATACTTAAAACTGTTTAAATATTAGAGACAATTTTGTCTTAAAGTAGCAGAAAAGGGGATTCTCAAATTAGTCTATCCGTTCGTCTATGGCCATCAACACATGAATACTCATGGCCTATATGCACTTATTCTAAGCAGAACTGGTAGAATTACTTTGAAGAGAGAGTGTTTTATATTAAGCCTTAAATGTCTGTGTGTATATCTACAACCAGGCAGAAGTTCCTTATAAAATTATTTCAATTGGCAAAAGTAGTAGTTGGATGTGATTGAATAAGATACTTCTAGTTATGAGACACATTGAATACTAGTTCACTGTGAATCACAGATATTCAATGAGAAAGATTACTGGTTACAGGCAGCATGCAATCATATTTAGAGCACAGATTTTGGAGTGAGACTTCCTGGGTTCAAATCCTGCCTCTGCTATTTATTAGTTGGGAGACTTTAGGCAACTTGGTATCTCTGTGCTTCAGTGTCCCTGTCTTAAAAGAAGAAAAATAGAAGTAATTAACATAGTATAGCTATAAGAAATAAATGAGTTAATTCATCTAAAGCCCTTAAGATATTGTCTGTTGCTAAGTATTTGATTACTCTATTTGTATTATCCTGAAAGTAGACAGGAAGTTTCTGGGACAGAGGCTGATTATTATTATTTAGAGCAATAATTTTATTTGTTATTTACCACCCCCCCAACTTTCCCCCTTCTGCGATGATAAAAGAGCCAGATGGACAGGCTTATACATGGGGGTGTTTGGATTTTACCATAGGAGAGAAGCCCTAGAAGTACGAATCTTGGAGCTTATAAAGGAAAGAGATGTCCCTTCATTATTTGAGAAAGGGAGAGATACTTTTGCTCCTTACAATAAAGAAGTTCTCTTTGGAATAGAAGGGTAAAGAGCATAGATTTTTATCTTTTCAAATGTAAGTACCTGTCTCCAAGGGAAGATAAGACAAATGTCTTTAGGTTTACAACTCCTGGAATGTCATTATGGCTTTGGGTCTCATCTTTTCCTAGAAGTGTAAACATGTACCTCTGGGGAGGTAAATCTTTTACTATCTATTCAGTAATCTTTTGGGTTTAAGGCTGTTCTTTAACCTAAGTCCCAGTAAAATTTTTCTAGAAAACTCTGTGGAGAAAAATTTATTTCTTTTTCTTTTTTTTTTTTCGAGACAGAGTTTTGCTCTGTTGCCCAGGCTCCAGTGCAGTGGTGCGATCTCGGCTCACTGCAAGCTCTGCCTCCCGGGTTCATGCCATTCTCCTGCCTCAGCCTCCCGAGTAGCTGGGACTACAGGCGCCCACCACCACGCCTGGCTAATTTTTTTGTATTTTTAGTAGAGTCGGGGTTTCACTATGTTAGCCAGGATGGTCTCGATCTCCTGATCTGGTGATCCACCTGCCTCTGCCTCCCGAAGTGCTGGGATTACAGGCATGAGCCACCACGCTCAGCCTAGAAAAATTTATTTCTGACACCTGACACATAGCAGCCCTATCTATATAAATGTCAGTTACCAGGATCTTGTGAATGAACAGAAGGCATGGAAATTGGAAATTGCAGGTAACTTTTGAGGTTTATTTCTATCTGGGAGTTGTTTGATAAACTTACTGGCATTCTGTGTGCTACATTAATGCTGTTTCTTTTCTTTTCTTTTCTTTTCTTTTCTTTTCTTTTCTTTTCTTTCTTTCCTTTTCTTTCTTTCTTTCTTTCTTTCTTTCTTTCTTTCTTTCTTTCTTTCTTTCTTTCTTTCTTTCTTTCTTTCTTTCTTTCTTTCCTTCTTTTTCTTTCGAGATGGAGTCTTACTCTGTCACCCAGGCTGAGTGCAGTGGCATGATCTTTGCTCACTGCAACCTCCCCCTCCTGGGTTCAAGTGATTCTCCTGCCTCAGCCTCCCGAGTAGCTGGGACCATAGGTGCCCACCACCACGCCCAACTAATTTTTGCATTTTTTTTTTTTTCAGTAGAGTCGGGTTTATAACATGTTGGGCTGGCTGGTCTTGAAATCCTGACCTCAAGTGATTCGCCTGCCTCAGCCTCCCAAAGTGTTGGGATTACAGGCATGAGCCACTGCACCCGGCCAATGCTGTTTCTTAATGAAATTCAAAACTTCTGAAAGTTTGTTGCAGAATCCAAGATAATTTACAGTCATAATAATCAGGAATGTAAGATGTTACATTTAGTTAAAACTAATCACTTAACATAAATGATCTAATTTAAAAATTTTGGCAATTTCATAAGAAAGATACTTAATATCTATATTTTACAGAATGGAAAAATAAAGCTCATGGGGATTAAGTAATTTGCCAAGGTCATACAACTAGTAAGTGGTAAGGCTAGAATTCCACTTCATATTTATATGACTTCAAAACTCATGCTCTTAACTGCTGCAGTTGGAAGCAGAATTTGTTTCTTCAATGGGAAACACGTAGAAGTCCTCCATTCTCTCTGCTGATAGATGTCAACATCTGGGGATCAGAGGTACTGTGAAATACAATGCTCTTTCTCTTCTGCCTGGCCCCAACCAACACTCAGGTTTTGGCTTTGTGTACTGAACCCAGTCAGGTACATTGGCCAAGGCTTGGCTTTGAACGGCCTGAATGTGGAGTCAGAAAACCTGGCTTTACTTTCTAGTTCTACTACTTAATAATTTGGTGACTCAAGGCAAGGTAGTTATTGTCTCTCAACTTCTGATTATGAATCTGTAAAATGGGGATGAAAATGCTGGTGTTGCCTTACTCATAGGGCTCACAGGGTTATTTGTGAAGATCAAATGGGATAATGTATATCAAAGCACTTTGTAGACTACAAAGTTTTAGAAGAGTAAGGTATTATTTACTCACTAGTAGACATATTTTGCCAGGCACTGAGTTAGTTGAAGGCAATAACAAAATGAATAATACATGATCATTCAGGTTGCTTTTTAAACAGCTCTTAATTATAAATCATATGTGGTAGACAAGGCACCCACCAAATACCCATATCTTTAACTTAATCATACATTTGTTCAGGATGGCAATGTGTCTGACCTCGGGCAGTGGATCATAGTTTGTTCACATTGACATGGCTCCCCTGTTGTCTGATTTTCTAACTCCTTTGCATTTAAAATTCTATATGTATTTGTTGGACTCTTGGCAGGGAACACGATTTCACTCCGATGATAAATTTAAACGATTTTAGGCTGGATGCAGTGGTTCATGCCTGTAATCCCAACACTTTCAGAGGCCGTGGCAAGCGAATCACTTGAGGCCAGGAGTTTGAGACCAGCCTAGCCACATGGTGAAATCCCATCTCTACTAAAAATACAACAATTGACCAGGTGTGGTGGTGCATGCCTGTAATCCCAGCCACTCAGGAGTCTGAGGCAGAAGAATTGCTTGAACCTACGAGACGGAGGTTGCAGTGAGCCAAGATTGTACCACTTCACTTCAGCTTGAGAGACAGAGCAAGACTCTGTCTAAAATAAATAAAATAAAATAAAAGATTTTAATGATGAATCCACTTATGGAGATGTGGCAGGGTTAAAGATATCAATGAAGCACCCAGAGACCAGCTGTTCTCACCCCAAGGCCTGACAAAGCAAGAGATGGAATGTTACCAGAGCCCAGAGAGGCTGGAGCTTTGGAGAAGGGTGTCTAGAAGAAGCTGTAGTGATGGAGGACATAACCAGTCCCAGAATTCTGCTGAAATGGGACAATGGGAAGGAACAAGGAAGAAATTCCCTGATTTCACTCAACACACACCCTCCAATCTTTTTTCACATCTCTTGTTTGACCTGACCAGAAGCCATAAGGCAAAGAAGCTCACCATCTGACATCATTCTGATCAATAAGATGTAGGGAGAAGTCTGTTATAGGCATTTCCGGGAAATTTTGGCTTTCCTGTTGAAAGCTGTCAGGTATGGATGAACAGTTCCCTTTATTCCTCCTTTCCTTCCGTCCATGAATGAGGATGTGATGACCTGAACAGCAACTATATTGCAATCATGAGGCAATAGGCATGAAGGCAAAGGACAACATGCCAAGTGTGTTGGAGCAGAATGATAGGAGGAGCTTGGGTCTCTAGTGGCCTTGTTGAGCAGTTGAGTCAGCTCCTGTAATCCCTGTCTTCAGACTTTTTTTTTTTTTTTTTGAGATGGAGTCTTGCTCTGTCCATGGAGTTCAGTGGCACAATCTCAGCTCACTGCAACCACTAACTCTA
The DNA here is from genome assembly GCF_000001405.40 of Homo sapiens. NCBI lineage: Eukaryota > Metazoa > Chordata > Mammalia > Primates > Hominidae > Homo > Homo sapiens. Next base: position 63,429,666 of record NC_000006.12, on the reverse strand, counting down.
CCTACTGGGTTCAAGCGATTCTCCTGCCTCAGCTGCCTGAGTAGCTGGAATTACAGGCGCCCGCGACCACACTCGGCTAATTTTTGTGATTTTAGTAGAGATGGGGTTTCACCGTGCTGGCCAGGCTCGTCTCGAACTCCTGACCTCAAGTGATTTGCCTGCCTCAGCCTCCCAAAGTGCTGGGATTACAGGCGTGAGCCACCACACCTGGCCCAGATTTCTTGATTTTTAAGAAATGTTTGAGTCTGTATACTTTCGGCTGGTCCAATTCATATATAATATAGCATAGTTCTTTCATAGATTTTGTTTATATTTGTTCTGAGGAGATACAATAAAATCTCTTATTAAAAAATAGCCAAAATAGTGAGAGGAAAGGATTTTATCAATGAAGGAAGTAAAAATATGGCATCTGGGTTCATATAGTCCCAATATTTAAAAAAGTGAGACTTACATCCAAATACCTTATTGTTACTAATTTTGTCACACTTTTCCCACTTGTAATACCTGCTTGTTAATTGTCTTCAGTTAGACTGCAGACTTTGTGCTAATGGGACCATGCTTTTCTCTGACTGCTTAACTGCTGAAGCCTCATGTAATGTCTAGCAAAGACTTGGTTTTGAGGTCAAGAATTTGCTGTAATTTTTTCTTTTTAAGAGATGGGGTCTTGCTATGCTGCCCAGGCTGGCCTCAAACTCCTGGGTAGCTCAGGAATACCTCAGCCTCCTGAGTAGCTGGGACTATAGGTGTGCACCACCATGCCCAGCTGCTATAATTTTCTTAATGAACAATTTTCTCCATCATAGTTTCTTAGAGAAAATTTCATCTTATGAGAGCTGAAACATCAGGGATCCTGACTTCTCTATGAGCCATGAATCTTTGAGGACATTTCTTTGGATGTGAATGAAGAAATGGGAGCACCTAATTTGCAAGCTAGTTCTGGGTCACAAGATTGTCTATCTAGAAGTTGTTGTGAAGGCTGTGCTGGAATGTCCTGCTCATTTAAAAGAATTATGCCTGGTCGGGTGCGGTGGCTCATGCCTGTTATCCCAACATGTTGGGAGGCCAAGGCGGGTGGATCACTTGAGGTCAGGAGTTCGAGACCAGCCTGGTCAACATGGTGAAACCCCGTCTCTACTAAAAATACAAAATTAGCTGGGCATGGTGGTGCACGTCTGTAGTCCCAGCTACTCGGGAGGCTGAGGCAGGAGAGTTGCTTGAACCTAGGAGGCGGAGGTTGCTGTGAGCCAAGATCGCGCCATGGCACTCCAGCCTGGGTGACAGAGTGAGACCCCATCTCAAAAATAAATAAATAAATAATAAATAATTATGCCTGTATTCATTCATTTGTCCAGTTCTGAAAATAAATACCTTATATTCCAGCCACAAAACTAAAAGTAGCTTTACTTAAATAAGGAGGAGGATGCAAACTGGAACACAAGCAGCATTTTAGTAGGGAAGAAGGTAGGTTGGGGAACCTGCTTTATTGTGCAAACGTTTTATTTTTATGAGGTGTTATTAATAGTAGTGTTTGGTTAGAAGAAAATAAACACCTACAGCAACTGGAATGTTGCTCTCAGCATGAGGAAAATCACAAATATAGCTGTTTTATTTTTAATGACAATTTACTTTTGTGATAAAAACAGCGTAATTTAATTATATATTGAATTAAAATAATTATGCTAGATTTATTGTGTTATTTTTTTGAATACTGGGATATATAGATAATTAGGTGCCTATTAATAGATTTTTTTTTAAATCAATAACTTGAAGAAAATGGGTTTCTAGTGTTGGCTACAATTTTATGTAAACTGATTATCTTAGATTGATTCTTAGATGTGAGCAGAGTTTTGAGGGAGCCAGAGTATATTTAACATTTTGGTAATTTGATTATGATAATAGTTCTCTGGTCACAAGAAGACAGCGTCCCTGTTCATAATCTTATTTTAACTAAACTACCCACAAGGAGAAAACAGATTTATAATAATTTAGTCACCATAAAACCTCTGAATTGCTGGGAAAAGGCTTAGAGAGTATAAACTGAAGAGAACTGATTTGACTGGCAAACTACTGTGAACTATTTTTATGCTGTGTATTTGTTTTCCAAACATTTCAAATTAGCACATTAAAAAATTGAGAATCTGTACTGAGACACTTTATATTGTGAGGGCAGATCAGGAATAGCCTATTTTTTCTCCTATAATCTGCCTCGGCTTATATTTTTAGTTTTCCAGCACCTGAGTAAGGAAAAATACGAGTTTGAGGTATAGCAATGACCATGATGTTTATTATCTCGGGTGGAAAAAGTAACTATGAAAAAGAGGGAGGCCGGGCATGGGGGCTTATGCCTGTAATCCCAGCACTTTGGGAGGACGATGTGGGTGGATCACCTGAGGTCAAGAGTTCAAGACCAGCCTGGCCAACATGGTGTAACCCCATCTCTACTAAAAATACAAAATTAGCCAGGTGTGGTGGCACATGGCTGTACTCCCAGCTACTTGGGAGGCTGAGGCAGGAGAATTGCTGAACCTGGGAGGTGGTGGTTGCAGTGAGCCGAGATTGCGCCATTGTACTCCTGGGTAACAAGAACAGAAACTCTGTCTCAGGAGAAAAAAAAAAAAAAAGGGAAAGGTCTGTAAATTTCCGGGTGTCAGTCATTAGTTAATTATTTATTTGATTGTCCTGAATTGCCATATGAATATAAAAGGACATTAGTTGTGTCCAAGATATCAAGGATGAAAAGACAGGACACATTGATTTTATGAGCTGTTTTATGCCACAGTCATTCAGAATGTCAAGAAAATAGTTTGTTCTTGACATACACTTAATAAAGGAAAATTTAAAACCAATACCTGGGCCAAGTGTGGTGGCTCACACCTGTAATCCCAGTGCTTTAGGAGGCCAAGGCAGGTTGATTACTTGAGGCTAAGAGTTCAAGACCAGCCTGGCCAACATGGCAAAATCCTGTCTCTACTGAAATACAAAAATTAGCCAGGCATATTGGCACCACACCTGTAGTCCCAGTTACTCAGGAGGCTGAGACATGAGAATTACTTGAACCTGGGAGGTGGAGGTTGCAGTGAGCTGGGATTGTGCCATTGCACTCTAGCCTGGGCAACAGAGCGAGACTCTGTCTCAAAAATAAATAAATAAATAAATAAATAAATCTAAATAACTTTATGCAGCCTACAGTTACCTGGGTTACACTCAGGCACAAGGAAAAATGGCAAACACTTCGTTTGTGTGTGTATATGAAGTTGGTAGAGGGCGGGAAGTAGTTGAGGGTTGCATAGTTCTAATATCAATTTTATAGCATCTCTTTAGACTATAATTGCGTTTATGGAGTTTAGCAACTCCCAGTTGGATCAGCTTAAATTTAATTTATATTAGAATTGCAGAATTCCAAAGGGAAAAGCAAATCTCTAAGGATCATAAAACTTGGATGCTAGGAAGTTAATATCTTTTATGAAATACAGTGTGAAACAACCACCACTCTTCATAATTTGGAAAAATGTGTGCTATCACAGTCAATGACCTGAAGGCACTGCCACCTTTTCAAGTATTTTCTTATCATGTCAAGTTTCTGAGAATTGTGGTCCTTTCCCTTGCATTAAAAAAAAAGTTTTTAAATTCCATTTTTAATATTGAGTAATTTTAGATTTACCTGCAGTTGTAAGGAATAATACAGAGACAGATCTTGTGTACCCTTTACCGAGTTTCCTCCAATGGTAGTGCCTTGCAAAACTATAATATAACTGAGTATATACACATATATAATATAACTATTTATATAATACAACTGAGATATTGGAATTAATATAGTCAAGATACAGTATATTTCTTTTTATTGTTTTTATTTTTATACAGGTGGGGTCTCACTATGTTGCCCAGGCTTGTCTTGAATTTTTGGACTGAAGCAATCCTCCTGCCCCAGCCTCCCAAAGTGCTGGGTTTACAGCCATCAGCCACCCACCAAGATCCAGTATATTTCTGTCACCACCAGGATCTCTTGTGTTGCCTTTTATGTATACCTACTTCCCTTCTCCCTTCCCCCGCTCCCTAACTTCGACAACTGATTTATTCTCCATTTCTATAGTTTTTTCATTTCAAGAATGTTATATGAATGGAATCAGTATGTAACCTTTTGGGATTAGCTTTTTTCCCCACTAAGTAGTATTATCTGGAGATTCATTTAAGTTGTGGCATGTATGAATGTCCAGTCTTTTTTTTATTTCAGAGTAGTATTCCATGGCATGAACTTACCAAAATTTGTTTAATCCATTCACCCAGTGAAAGGTAGCTGGATTGTTTCCAGATTTTAGCTATAATGAATTAAAGCTGCTATAAGCATTCATGTACAGGTTTTTGCATGAACATTGGTCTTTATGTCTTTGGGATAAGTGCCTAGGGATACAGTTGCTGGGTTGTACAGTAGTTGCATGTTTAGCTTTTTAAGAAACTGTCAAACTGCTTCTGCAGAGACTACCATTTAACATTCTCAATAGCCTTCTGTGAGTGATACAGTTTCTCCATATTCTTGCTGGCATTTAGTGTCACCATTTTTCATTGTAGCCATTCTGATAGGTATGTAGTGATATCTCATTGTGCTTTAATCCGTAATTCCCTGATTGGTAATCATGTTGAACATCTTTCCATGTGCTTATAGCCATCAGTAGAATGTCTTATGTCTTTTATCCATTCTGGAATTGAATTGTTTATTTTTCTACTGGTGAATTTTTTTTCTTTTTCTTTTTTTATGGAGATAGGGTCTAACTCTTTTGCCCAGGCTGGAGTGCAGTGGCACATCACAGCTCACTGCAGCCTTGAACTCCTGCACTCAAGAGATCCTCCCACCTCAGCCTCCTAAACAACTAGGACTACAGGCACGCAGCACCATGCCTGACTAATTTTTAAACTTTTTGTAGAGATGGGTTTCACTATATTGCCTAGGGTGGTCTTCAACTCATGGCCTCAAGAAATCCTCATTCCAAAGTTCTGGAATTACAAGTGTGAGCCACTGTGCCTGGCTTTTACTGGTGAATTTTGAGAGCTCTTTTTATATTCTAGTTATTAGTCCTTTCTTGGATATGTATTCTGCAAGTACTGGTTTATAGATTTCACTGTTTTGTATGTGTGTGTGTGTGTGTGTGTGTGTGTGTGTCTGGTTTTGGTTTCAGGACAATACTAGCATTATAAAATAAACTGGGAAGGGTTCCTTACTCTTTGATTTTCTGGAAGATATTGTGTAGAATCAGTGTAAATTCTTCTTGAAATATTTGGTAGAATTCTCCAGTGAAAATATCTAGGCCTGGAGATTTCTTTTATGAGAGTCTTAAAATTATGAATTCAATTTCCTTAATGGTTATAGGGAGACTCAAGTGATCCTTTTCATATTGGATGAGTTTTGGTAGTTTATTTATTTTATTTTATTTTTGAGGAATTTATTCATTTTATCTAGATTTCAAATTTATATGTATACAGTTGTTTGTAGTGCTCCCTATTATAGTTTTGATGTCTGTAGTGATATCCCCTATTTCTGATATTGGTAATATGTGCCTTCTTTCTTATTTTCTTTGTCAGTATTGCTAGAATTTTACTCAGTTTTTCTTTCTTTCTTTCGTTTTGCTTTTGAGACAGAGTTTTGCTCTGTTGCCCAGGCTGCAGTGTAGTGGCATGATCTTGGCTCACTGCAACCTCCGCCTCCCAGGTTCAAGTGATTCTCCTGCCTCGGCTTCCTAAGTAGCTGGGATTACAGGCATGCGCCACCATGCCCGGCTAATTTTTTTGTATTTTTAGTAGAGATGGGGTTTCACCACGTTGGCCAGGATGGTCTCGAACTCCTAACATCAAATGATCTGCCTGACTCGGCCCCCCAAAGTGTTGGGATTATAGGCGTGAGCCATCATGCCTGGTCAGTTCTATCAGTTTTTTTCTTCAAGTATTTTGCCACTTTGTTGTTTGATATATGCACATTTGGGATTATTTCTTCTTGGTGGATTACTTTTTTATTATTACATAATTTATTTTTATTTTATTTTTTACTCTTTATACAGGGTCTCGCTTTGTCACCCAGAATGGAGTACAGTGGTGCAATCTTGGTTGACTGCAACCTCTGCCTCTGGGGTTCAGGTGATCCTCCCACCTCAGCCTCCTGTGTAGCTAGGACTACATGCTTAGCTATTTTTTTTTTTTTTTTGGTAGAGACAGAGTTTTGCCATGTGCATAGGCACATCTTGAACTCCTGGACTCATGAAATCTGCCTGCCTCCTGCAGTGCTGGGAGTTTACAGGCATGAGCCACTTTGCCCAGATTATTATTATTTTTTTGAGACATGGTCTCACTCTGTCACCCAGGCTGGAGTGCAGTGACACAATCGCAGGTCACTGCTGTTCGGCCTCCTGGCTGGAGCAATCCCCTCACCTCAGCCTACTGAGTAGCTGGGTCTACGGATTGGCACCACTGCTCCTGGCTCATTTTTTATTTTTTGTAGAGACAGGATCTCATTGTGTTGCTCAAGCTGGTCTTCAACTCCTAAAATCAAGTAATCCTCCCATCTTGACCTCCCAAAGTGTTGGGATTACAGAAGTGAGCCACTGTACCTGATTGAAGCCTACTTTAAGTGATATTAGTTTAGCCACTCTTCTTTTGATTAATGCTAGCATGCTATTTTTTCTATCATTTTACTTTCAAACTATTTATTCTTATAAATAGGATATAGTTGGCTTATGTTTTCTTAATCCACTATGCCAATCTCTGTCTTTTAATTGGGGTATTTAAACCAATTACATTTAATAGAACTATTGATACATTAGGAGTGAAGTCTGCCATTTTGTTTTTTGATTTTCTGTTTGTACTTTCTGTTTTTTGTGTCTCTATTTTTCTTTTCCCTGTCTTCCTGGGGGTTACTTGAACAATTTTTAGAATTGTATTTTGATTATCTATAGTATTTATTTCTTATTTTTATTTCTAAGTTTTACTTTTCTGTATATATAGTATTTTCGTGTGTATCTCTTTGTATAGACATTTGAGGGAAAGGTAATATGTTATATATACATAACTTATCTCAGTCTACTAATGTCATCATGCAAATTGTTTACTCCTATAGGTAAATGGGTATCTCTTTTTTTAACAGAATTTATTTTTTAGATAATTTATAGGTTCATAGCAAAATTGAGCAGAAAGCACAGAGTTTTCATATAACCCATTCTCATATATACTGCATATATACAGCCTACCCACTATCAACACTGGACATTAGAATGGTATATTTTGTTACATCTCTTACTGTTTTAAGATTTTTTTGGGGGACCAGGCACAGTGGCTTACATCTGTAATCCCAGCAATTTGGGAGGTCGAGGTGGGCAGGTAACCTGAGGTCAGGAGTTTGAGACCAGCCTGGCCAACATGGTGAAACCCTGTCTCTACTAAAAATACAAAAATTAGCCATGTGTGGTGGCACATGCCTATAGTCCCAACTTCTAGGGAGGTTGAGGTGGGAGGATCGCTTGAACCCGGGAGGTAGAGGTTGCAGTGAGCTGAGATCACGCCACTGAACTCCAGCCTGGGCGACAGACAGAGCAAGACCCTGTCTCAACAAAACAACAAAAAATTTTTTTGGTCTTTCATTTGCAGAAATTTGACTATTATATGTATCTTCCTGTGGGTTTCTTTGGGTTTGTACCATTTGGGTTTCACTCAGCTTCTTGAATTTGTATGTTCATATCTTTTTTGTCAAAGTTGGGAAGTTTTCAGCTATATTTATTTCTTCAACTACTTTTTCATTCATGCCCTCTTTTTTCTTTCCCTCCAGAACTGTGAGGACAAGAATGTTAGAACTTTTTTTATAGTCTCACAGTTCCCTAAGGACTTGTTCATTTTCTTCCCTATTTTCTCTCTATTGTTCATATTGAATAATTTCTTTCTTTTTTTTTCTTTCTTTTTTTGAGACGGAGTCTCACTCTGTCGCCAGGCTGGGGTGCAGTGGCTCAATCTTGGCTCATTGCAACCTCCGCCTCCCGGGTTTAAGCGATTCTCTTGCCTCAGCCTCCTGAATAGCTGGGACTACAGGCACGTGCCACCACACCCAGCTAATTTTTGTATTTTTAGTAGAGACGAGGTTTCACCATGTTGGTCAGGATGGCCTCGATTTCTTGACCTGGTGATCTGCCTGCCTCGGCCTCCCAAAGTGCTGGGATTACAGGCATGAGCCACTGTGCCTGGCCCCGACTGAATAATTTTTTTTTTTCAGACAGAATCTTGCTTTGTCGCCCAGGCTGGAGTGCAGTGGCATGATGATCTTGGCTCACTGAAACCTCTATCTCCCAGGTTCAAGTGATTCTTGTGCCTCAGCCTCCCGAGTAGCTGGGATTACAGGTGTGTGCCATCACGCCTGGCTAATTTTTGTATTCTTAGTAGAGGTGGGTTTTTGCCATGTTGGCCAGGCTGGTCTTGAACTCCTGACTTCAAGTGATCCACCCACTTCAGCCTCCCAAAATGCTGGGATTACAGGCACGAGCCACTGTGCCTGGCCAGACTGAATAATTTCTATTGTTTTATCTTCCAGTTTACTTATTCTTTCCTTTGTTCCCTTTATTCTGTTGTTTTCTTTTTAATCATTTTTTTTACCTGACTCACCAAGCCACATTCTGCTGTTGAGTTCATCCACTGAGCTTTTTGTTTCAAATACTGTATTTTTTAATTCTAAAATTTTAATTTGATTTTTCTTCATTTTCTTTATCTTCTATTTCTTTACCAAGACTTTTGATTTCTTTGCTGAGATTAAAAAAATTTTTTTCAAGCATGTTCACAATTGCTCATTGAAACATTTTTATGACAACTGCTTTACAATCTGTGTTAGGTAGTTACATTATGTATGACATCTTTTTTTTACATTCCTTTTGAGATCTTCCTGGTTCTTGGTATGATGAATGATTTTCAATGGAAACCTGGACATGTTGAATATTGTGTTTTGAGACTCTGGATTTTATTTAAACTTATGTTTTAATTGGCTTTTGCTGATAACCCTGCAGCAAAGGAAGGCGCTACCACCTTTTTACTGCCAGGTAGTCTGTGAATTCTGGCTCCTAACTAGGCCTCTAATGATACCTCCCAAACTGGAAGGAGTATTAGTACCTATCAGAGGCCCAGCTGAGCTGGAGAGTGCTGAACTTACAGGTGTTAGAGTAGCCAGTTAAAGCCAGGAGCCAAAATGAAAGTAACAGTCAAGCCTTTAATCACTTTCTGTGTTGGTATATGCAAGAGGTTAAGGAGAAAGTGCTGACTCCTCTGGCTGTTTTGCCCCATGGAATGGCATATCAGTTGAGGGCCAGCTGGATCAGCACAGAGATGGTGTTGTCTCACTGCCAAACAAAAGGCTACTGTAGTTTTATGGGCCCAGGGGGCCGGGGGGATGCAGAAGGGAAAAGTCTAGGAGTGAAAAAGTACAAAGTACTTTTTTTTTTTTTTTTGAGACGCAGTCTCGGTCTGTCGCCTCCGCTGGAGTGCAGTGGTGCGATCTCGGCTCACTGCAAGCTCCGCCTCCCGAGTTCACGCCATTCTCCTGCCTCAGCCTCCAGAGTAGCTGGGACTACAGGAGCCTGCCATCATGCCCAGCTAATTTTTTTGTATTTTTAGTAGAGACGGGGTTTCACCGTGTTAGCCATGGTCTCAATCTTCTGACCTCATTATCCGCCTGCCTCAGCCTCCCAAAGTGCTGGGATTACAGGTGTGAGCCACCATACCAGGCTTTTTTTTTTTTTTTTTTTTTTTTTTTTTTTTTTTTTTTTTTTTGGGAGGGAGTTTCGCTCTTACGCCCAGGCTAGAGTGAGGTGGTATCATCACTGCAACCTCTGCCCCCCTGTTTCAAGTAGTTCCCCTGCCTCAGCCTCCCGAGTAGCTGGGATTATAGGCGTCCACCAACACGGCCGGCTAATTTTTGTATTTTTAGTAGAGACGGGTTTCACCATGTTGACCAGGCTGGTCTCGAACTCCTGGGCTCAGGCAATCCGCCCGCTTTGGCCTCCCAAAGTGCTAGGATTACAGGCGTGAGCCACCCTGCCAGGCCGAAAAAGTATCAAGTACTTAAGGCAGAGTGCAGCAAAGTGTCTTCAAGCTTCCCTGGTAAGGAGGCCTCAAAATGGAGGAGCCCCAGCTAAGAATGCAGATATACATAAAAGCATGGCTGGTCAGGGAGGATTGAACCCTTGGCTCTAATTCCCTTCAGAGTTTGCAGTGTATTGGTTGTGCACCAAATCTGGTGTGGGGAGACCATCTTTCCTCCTTGAGGCCTGCTAGGTAAAGCCTTCGTAATCGTTTATGGTTGTGCCTAAAAAAATCAACACATTGGATTTTGGCTGCAACCAGACGCCTTATTAGTGCTTTATGATAGTAGACACTTTTTCATATTCCTCACACTAATGACAACTAAAAACCCTGACCATTATATATAAAACAAACATAAAACTCTGGAAGGTAGAAATAAGAAGGTTGACTGGCTAGGAACCTCAGGACTCAAGGAAAATACAGTGATAAGATCCCTGGATTTTCTTTTTGTCTCATGTATCCCAGATTTATTGCTGAAGAAGTCAGTGCTCCTCACTTCTACTGACACCATGGCAAGGGTGGCCTCATTACCTATGGGTGATAGTGAAAGCCCTGACACTCTGCTGGGCATCCTCTGGCACCACCCCAGTGGGGAAAGGAAGGTTGCTTCATTACTGCTAGGCTGGGAGTCAAAGTTCCCCTCATGCTGTGAAGAGGGAAGTCTAGTTTTCTTTGCTGGCACGGTGGGGGTGGGGCACAGCTTTTTCTGTGGGTTTGTTTAGAGTAGCTATTGTCTATAAGGTTTCTGCCCTGCTAGGCTGCCCCTTTCCTGGTTTTTTGGCTAGAAGTAGCTGGCTTTTGTGGGGGCTTTTTAGTCTATACACTTTGGTGTTTCCCAGTTACTGACTTCTTCAGCTCTAAATCTGGAATACATGAGACAAAAAGAAAATCCAGGGATGTCATCACTGTATTTCCCCTTGAGTCCTGAGGTTCCTAGCCAGTCCGCCTTCTTTCTACCTCCCAGAGTTTTATGTTTGTTTCATTTGCTTTTTATTTTTATTTTTTATTTGAGACGGAGTCTCGCTCTGTCGCCAGGCTGGAGTGCAGTGGCGGAATCTCGGCTCACTGCAACCTCCGCCTCCTGGGTTCAAGAGATTCTTCTGCCTCAGCCTCCCAAGTAGCTGGGACTACAGGAGCGCACCAACACGCTCAGCTAATTTTTGTATTTTTAGTAGAGACGGGGTTTCACCATGTTGGCCAGGATGGTCTCGATCTCTTGACCTTGCGATCCACCCACCTCGGCCTCCCAAAGTGCTGGGATTACAGGTGTGAGCCACCGCACCTGGCCTGTTTGTTTTATATATAATATTCAGGGTTTTTAGTTGACATTACTGTGAGGAATGTGAAAAAGTGTCTACTACATAATTCCAGAAGTCAACATCTTTTTCTTTGCATTTTTAAAATTTAAACAATCAAATTAATAAAATACTAAAAATTAAATGGAAACATTTATGGGAAAGGCAATTAGCCTTATCTCACTTCTGCATACCTCCAGTATTATTTCTTAAAGAAGAACACTGTAATCATGTGTTTCCAGTTGTTTGGGGGTTTATCTCCATATAGTTAAATATGGTAATGTACTTATTCATTATTTTAAAATTTATAACCTCTAAACATTATTCTGCTGTGTTACAAAATAATTTAATTTGGTTGCATTGTCCTCTTTATTCTTCTCTCAATCTTATTGGCATATATCATTAATCTTCAGTTCTATGGTTTACCTGTGTAGCATCAAGTTATAGTCACACTGTCACTGTATCTATACATGGATGGGTCTTTACACTAAGTACTATGAGTCCTCCTTTCCTTTCTTCCAGCATTTTCCTCCTCCCTCCATCTGACAACCTCTAACAGCTACACATTTACTTTACTCTTTTCCCTGCCACACTTTTACATAGTTTTATTTTAAAGCAATCTTGGTGTACTCGGTTTATATGATACCAGTTTATATGTGTTAAGCCATAGTATAGTTAGGGTCCAGATAGGAGACAGAAATTACATCTGCTATTTAAACAGACAGAAGCAGAAGAATTAATAACAAAATGTAAAGTTATTAATCAGGTAACTGAAAGGGTAAAAAGTGAATTCTAGTCATCAAGGAGATAGCAACTATAGGAAGCAGCTATCACCCTTAGGACTGAGAGAATAAAGAGAAGATAGGAGAGTTAGTAAAACTTAGAAACTTAGAGGAAGGGCCCTGAAAAGCTGAAACTCAAACTTCAGAGTTGAGGGCACTGGTGCTGGTGTGTTGTGGGGTGGGGGTATGGGTGTGATGAGCCTGGTTTTGTGAATGTTAGAAAAATTGCACACAAGATTCAGCTGCAGCCATGGAAAGGAATTGCTGCAGCTGGGGGGAAGAAGTATTAATAGGATGATTCTCATAGGAATGGGAAACAGACAAGAAGAAGTATGTCTTTTCTTCCTCCAGCCTGTAGTCTCTCTTCAGTGCCTTCAAGGGTCAGGTGGCAAAGCAGAACTGTGGTTTGTAGGGTGCCAGGTGCAGCATCACAAAACAGGTTAAAGAAGAGGGATTTCCATGTTGTTTCACATCTGTTTTTGATAAGGACTGTGTATTTTATTTCTTTTCTGTAAGTTCGACTTTCGTTAAATGTGTGTGTGTGTGTGTGTGTGTGTGTACATACATATGTATGTACATACACTTTTAAAGTGTATATATATATTTCTTTTAAATATCTACTTAGGCCAGGTGCGGTGGCTCATGCCTGCAATCCCAGCACTTTGGGAGGCCGAGGTGGGCAGATCACTTGAGGTCAGGAATTCAAGACCAGCTTGGCCAACATGGTGAAACCCCGTCTCTACTAAAAATACAAAAATTAGCCGGGCGTGGTGGTGGATGCCTGTAATCCCAGCTGTTTGGGAGGCTGGGGTAGGAGAATTGCTGAGGTGGAGGTTGCAGTGAGCCAAGACTGCGTCATTGCACTCCAGCCAGGGCAACAGGAATGAAACTCCGTCTCAAAAAAAACAAAAACAACAACAACAAAAAAACTATGTATTTTATAAATTGTGTGTACAAAATACATAAACCACTCTATTTATGAGCAGATTCAGTTTATTTTAACCCATATTCAGCTACTCTAAGAATTTTAAATTTCATTTATTAGTGGCAGCCTGTAGGGAGTAAGGAGTGCAAAGAAAGACTGAGTTACTTGAGGGAGGATGTGATACAGGATATCAAAGATATATCTATATATTCATTATTTCTCAGTTTGGCCCTCAATGCCATCTGATGTTTCCTTGGACCATTAACTGCTCACTTCTATAGGGAATGCTTAATTCAAACATGTATGCCCGTGTTGGCAGAAGATTCTTTGTCTTAGGAGCATTTGAGACAGTAGCAATGAATCGTGCTGCCTCTAAGTAATTTTTTTTTCAGAGATGAGCCATGGAGCCAACCATTAGCTGAATATTCTGAAAAAAAAAAAGCAAAAAAAAAAGCATCTCCCTTGGAAATGGAAGGGAAAGATGAAATCTGAGATAAAGATGAAATAATCTAGGTTTATGAGCTGTCTTCTCTTCTCAATGGTCAGGAAAACAGGGAATAAGGACCTTTTGCTTCATTTTGGATGTTTTATTTTATTTAATCTATTAGATCAATGAATGGCCTCCTCCCAATGCATGCATTCTCCATGTATTTGATGGTATTAGATGTAAGAATAATAAATGCCCGGGTGAATCTAAAGAGAGTTCACATAACGCTACCTACTCAACATCTATGGGAGTACCGAATGAAAATGTGCAAAGTAAAATGCATCAACAATTTAGAACTTCATGAAGTAGCAAAGCATAATGATTGGAGAAGCTCTTTTGACTTTTAGGCAGTGGAAGTCGCTCTAGCTATCTCAAGAAATGAGGGTTGATATGGTTAGGCTTTCTGTCCCCACTCAAACCTCACCTTGAATTATAGTCCTCATAATCCCCATAATTCCCACGAGTCAAGGGAGAGACCAGGTAGAAATAATTGGATCATGAGGGCGCTTTCGCCCATGCCATTCTCATGATAGTGAGTTCTTATAAGATTTGATGGTTTTGTCAGGGGCTCTTTCCCCTTCCCTCGGCACTTCTCCTTTCTGCTGCCTTGTGAAGAAGGTGCCTTGCTTCCCCTTTGCCTTCCACTATAATTGTAAGTTTCCTAAGGCCTCTCCAGCCATGCTGAACTGTGAGTCAATTAAACTTTTTTCCTTTATAAATTACCCAGTCTTGGGCAGTTATTTTTATTTTTTATTTTTTGAAATGGAGTCTCCCTCTGTTTCCCAGGCTGAAGTACAGTGTCTCAATCTCAGCTCACCGCAAACTCCGCCTCAAGGGTTCAAGAGATTCTCCTACCTCAGCCTCCTGAGTAGCTGGGATTACAGGTGCATACTAGCATGCCTGGTTGTATTTTTATTACAGACAGGGTTTCAGGGTTTCTCCATGTTGCTCAGGCTGATCTCGAACTCCTGACCTCCTAGGTGATCCACCTGCCTCAGCCTCCCAAAGTGTTGGAATTACAGGCGCGTCCCACTGTGCCCTGTGGGCAGTTCTTTATAGCAGTATGAAAATGAACTAATTGAGGGGGATATTTTATTTTATTCTTTATTTTAAAAAGTCTCCATTTTTAAATTTTTAAAGTTTTCATTTTTAATTTAATTTTTTTTAAAGGGCGTCTGGCTCTGTTGCCCAAGCTGGAGTGTAGTGGCATAACCTTGGCTCACTGCAACCTCTGCCTCCCAGGCTCAAGCAATCCTTCCACCTCAGCCTCCTGAGTAGCTGGGACTACAGGCCCACACCACCACACAAGGCTAATTTTTGTATATTTTGTAGAAATGGGATTTGGCCATGTTGCCCAGGCTGGTCTTGAATTCCTGAGCTCAAGTGAACTGCCTCTGAAAGTGTTGGGATTACAGGCACGCGCCATCGCGCCCAGCACATTTTCTATTTTTTTAAAGCTTTATTAAGGTATAATTGATATATAAAAAGCTGCACATATTTAATATGTACAATTTTATTAGTTTGTGCATATGCAAACACTGGTAATAGCATTACCATAATCAAGGTAATAGACATAATCAACACCTCCTAAAGTTTCATTGTGTCCCTTTGGGTTTTTTTCTAAAGAATACATATCTACTCTCTTAAGAATTTTGAAGACTACAATATTATATACATTATGATGTATAGCACTTTTTCATCTAACAAAACTGAAACTTTATACTTATTGAACGACAGGTTCTCAAGGAAATGGGGGGATATTTTACAGATGTATGTGACAACAAAAATATCAAGGATCTCATAGGATTTCTTGAAAGAATAAAGACTAATATTTTTTTTTTGGCACCTCAGGTGCATCAGGCCCTGTGCCACATAGTTTATACCCAGCAGCCCATTTAGCTCTCCTGAAACAAAACAAAACAAAACAAAATTAAGACAGTATTATTATCTTCATGTCTTGAGGCTAAGATGTTGTGACTTGATCATAGTTATGAAGCAGAACATGGGAGAGGAAGTACAGTGTTTGTGATTCCAGTGGCCACTCTTCTCGACTGGCCCCCTATTAATTACAAGCCTTTAATAACAGCCACCAATACTGAATATATTGGTGAATATAATAATGAATCCTCTTGCCTCTAATATTCAAGATAGCCATGGTGATTTAGTTGAATATAAATGAATTATATATATACACATGAAAGCTAGTATATATTCTAACAATAATTACTAACTTTAAAGGATAATCGGAACTCTATTCTGTTTGCACTTACTATCTTATCCTATTAAGGCAAAATCATTTCAGATTATTAAATATGACATTAATGTAGAAATAATTTTATGGCATTTTACCTTTATATGAAGTAACTCAATTATTTGTAAAAAGAGGGATAATCATGTCACAACCTTTGTGCAATACATATAGTGGGTGGAAAATGACATTTTAGTTTTAATTAGGATAATTTGAGATTCCTGCTGAGAAGTTTGCCTAAGGTCACAGAACTACTCAGAGCTAGAAATACAGCACAGGAATCTCTATTTCTAGCCCAATGATCCACTTAGTTAAAACAGGGCTTATGCTATTCATAAAGCAATGTCATCAGTCACAAATCTGTTAAGTAAGAGAGGAGTAAAAATTAGATATTAGGAGAAACAACCATTTATGTAATAAATGTCAGCCAATCTTTCTTTTTAAATTAATTTCATAATATTGTGTATCCATTTCTTAGAAGAAAAGTTTTATAAATTTAGGAAAAGAATATAACTATTCTTGATTATCAGTTTCCTTGGTTGAAATGAAATTGCATTTAGAGTTCATTTTGTAAAGCTTCAATGGTGTCTCTAAAATTACATGTCAAATAATAATAGATTATTATTAATTATACAGATCTCCATGATAATCCATAACCTCTGTAATGTATGGTGTTGCTTTACATTTTATTAATATGAGTGTTCAACACTGGTAGTTTAATTCAGAAACTGTTTTTACTTTTTCAGGATTTGTATAATGGTTTATAGGGATTATGATACCCCATGTATTGTTCTCACCTTATTGACTTATTTTAGCACATGATTTTATGATCAATTTCTTCTTTCTAACTTGCCCTCATTTCTTTTCTTTTCTCTTTCTTTCCTTCTCTCTTCCTTTCTTCCTTCCTTCCTTTCTTCCTTCCTTTCTCTCTCTCTCTTTCTCTCCCTCTTTCTTTCTCTTTCTCTTACTCTCTCTCTCCCTTCCTTCCTTTCTTCCTTCCTTTCCTTTCCTTCCTTTCCTTCCTTCCTTCTTTCCTTTCTTTCCTTCCTTCCCTTCCTTCCTTTCTTTCTTTCTTTCTTTCTTTCTTTCTTTCTTTCTTTCTTTCTTTCTTTCCTTCCTTCCCTCTTTCTTTCTTTCTTTCTCTTTCTTTCTTTCTTCCTTTCCTTCCTTTCCTTCCCTTCCTTCCCTTCCTTCCCTTTCTTTCCCTTCTTTCCCTTTCCCTTTCTTTCCCTCTTTCTTTGCCTCTTTCTTTCCTTCCTTCCTTTCTTTCTTTCTTTCTTTCTTTCTTTCTTTCTTTCTTTCCTTCTTTCTTTCTTTCTTTCTTTCTTTCTTTCTTTCTTTCTTTCTTCTCTTTCTTCTCTCTCTTTTTCTTTCTTTCTTTCTTTCTTGCTTTCTTTCTTTCTTTCTTTCTTTCTTCTTTCTTTCTTTCTTTCCTTCTTTCATCTCTCTTTCTTTCTTTCCTTTCTTGATGGAGTCTTGCTCTGTTGCCCAGGCCAGAGTGCAGTGGGGCGATCTCAGTTCACTGCAACCTCCGCCTCCTGGGTTCAAGTGATTCTCCTGCCTCAGCTGCCTGAGTAGCTGGGATTACAGGCTTCTGCCACCATGTCCGGCTCATTTTTGTATTTTTAGAAGACACAGGGTTTTGCCGTGTTGGCCAGGCTGGTCTCGAACTCCTGACCTCAAGTGATCTGCCCACCTCAGCTTCCCAAAGTGCTGGGATTACAGGCGTAAGCCACTTTGCCCGACCTGCCCTCATTTCAAGTCTCTAAAAACAATCCTGAAAATTCACTATTTTAAGTTTTTCTCTTTACCTTTAGTATAAGAAGAAATAAAAACTCATTTTATTTCTACTTGTTTTGTTTGCTTACCCAGAAATATTTCTACATAAGATATTTTATTTTAGAGTTTTTAATTGCGAAATGTTCATTGAATACTTGCACATTTGATAGTGCTTAAGTATTTTAGCACAATTTTTTTTCTTTTTTGAGACAGGGTCTCACTCTGTCACCCAGGCTGGAGTGCAGGGGGACCATCATGACTCAGTGCAGCCCCAACCAACCTCAGCCTGGGCCCAAGGGATTCTTGTGCTTCAACATCCTGAGTAGCTGGGACTACAGGTGCACACCACCACATCCAGCTAATATTTTTTATTTTTTGTAGACTCAGAGTCTGACCATGTTGTCTTGGTTAGCTCAAACTCCTGGGCTCAAAGGATCCTCCCTTCTCGGCCTCCCAAAGTACTCGGATTACAGGTGTAGCCACCATGCCTGGCCTTAGCACAATATTAAGCACTTCATAAGGCCTCAATAAAAATTAATTTTATTATTATTACCATTAATAGTGTGAGCAGCGCAATAGAACTATAGATCAAGTCTCTGTCTTCAAGGACAGATCTTAAAATTCAGTAATGGAGGAGATATGGCATGTAGAAAGAAGATGACACACAAGCCAAGGCTATGTCCTAGTGTAACTTATCTCTGATGCCCTTGCCTACTTTCTCCTTACCTGCTATCCCCTTTACTTGATAACTAACAAAACCGAAAACTGAAAGTAACTGGGAGAATGTCTGCGTAAATGTTAGCTCACAGCGTAATTCCTGGTGCTTGGGAAAATTCCAAATCACGAATATAGACTTTGACCAAGAGATCTTTGGGACAGTCAATATTATTCTTTAGAGAGCTGGCAAAATTTCTAGTCAATTTTAGGAAGAGGCCCTTGGAGTATTTCTGGAGTCCTGAGGCTACTTTGGAGATGAGATGAACTGTAGTTGTGTGTCTGAGAAATAATCCTGATAAATTTAGGCACAATTTACATTTCCTACTAACTCAGTAGGTGTCTCTAAATATCCCCAAGAAATAGCCTGTACTGACATTTCTGGCCTAGCTTTATGCCAAACCTCGTTGCTTAGGAATTGGAAAAAAACTGGTTTTGACCTGAGGAAGTGGTATGTTTGGAGCATGAGGCAGCAACCATTTACCAGCATGTGGGGTCATTAAGATTTCATGAGCTTTTTCTGTGCTACTCAAGTCCACCAAAATTGTTTCAACACCTATTAAGTGCCCAATACCATACTAAATACTTGGTTAAAACACATGTCATAGGTTCTTGTCCTTGAATAGCTTAACAATTTCCAAGGAGCAGGTTTTAAACTGCGTTCATTGCACTTTATGGTTCCAAGAAAGAAGCCCCAGAGCCAATACTGGCTTTAGTGTAATTTTAGAATTGCACCTAGCACATAATAAATGCCCAAATTGTGTTAGCCTTGTGGGTTTATAGTTCAACTGAAAAACTTTTATTGGCTTTATACCATTGATATATATTTATATATTGATCTGAATAAGATTTTATTTGAAAAAAGTTTCTGCTGCTAAATAAAGTTTAAAAAACTAATGATCTCAGGTATCTCATTTCAGAGTCGTACTAAAAATTAATATAAACATTCCATAAAGACTTTACTCAATTTTATAATATTATAGAGTCCCACTTTTGATTAAATGAATGTCTACAAAAAGTCAAAACATTTTGACTAATATGTACACTTTACTGAGTTTAGAATGGACCAATTATAGATAATAGGAAACAAGACTTATAGCCACAAACATTATGAAACTTTGTATGTGTCAAACCTGTACCCGTTTTTGTGAACATTATAAAGGATAACATGTATTGAGTGCCAGGTACTATTCTAAATCATTTTAAATATTTTATGTCATATCTTCATAGCCATATTAAGAGACAGGTACTATTTTATAGATGAGGTAATACCTTATTATTTTATTTTATTTTAATTTTTTTGAGATGGAGTCTTGCTCTTTTGCCCAGGCTGAAGTGCAGTAGCACTATCTTGGCTCACTGCAACCTCCGCCTCCTGTGTTCAAGCAGTTCTTCCTGCCTCAGCCTCCCGAATAGCTGGGATTACAGGCACCCACCACCATGCCCGGCTAATTTTTCTATTTTTAGTAGAGATGAGGTTTCGCCATGTTGGCCAGGCTGGTCTTGAACTCCTGACCTCAAGTGATCTGCCCATCTCGGCCTTCCAAAGTGCTGGGATTACAGGTGTGAGCTGCCACACCCGGCTGAGGTAATAACTAAAGACTAGAAATATTTAACATGACCCAAATCATGTAGCAAAAAAGTCTGTTTGTATAAAAACACAAGGCCATCTGAGCTATTAAGTATTATTATCCCAATTTTATAAATGCAGAAACTGAGATCTGAAATATCAGAATTTTTGTCTTAAATTATACAGCTATTAACTGTCAGAGCTGAAATTTAAAATAAGGTCATCTGACCCCAAATCTGGTATTTAAGGACTACCATAATGGTTAGAAATAGTTAAAACTTAGCAAAATATAAATTGGTTGTTTGTAACAATTGTGTAAAGTGAATACTTGATCAAGAAGTTTAGATATATGTAAAAATTTCTTAAAATACTTGATCAAGAAGTTTAGATATATGTAAAACTATCTTAAAAAGCCTGAATAGACTGACTAGATTACATTTTGTGGTTATTAATATATCTAAAGAAAGATTACATTAATCTAAAGAAACACTTAACATCTTTGTTGAGATATATCCCTAAGTGTTTCATGTATTTATGACATTACAAAAAATATTTTTGGCTGGGTGTGGTGGCTCACACCTATAATCTCAGTGCTTTGGGAGACTAAGGCAGGAATATCACTTGAGGGCAGAAATCTGAGATGAGCATGGTTAACACAGCATGATCCTGTCTCTACAAAATATTTTAAAAAGTAGCTGGGCGTGATGGTGTGCACCTACAGTCCTAGTTACTTGGGAGGCTGAGGCAGGAGGATCACTTGAGCCCAGAAGTTCGAGGCTGCAATGAGCTATAATTGCACTACTGCACTCCAGCCTGGGCAATAGAGTAAGACTCCATCTCAAAGAAAAACAAAGATATTTAAAAATACTTAATCCTGATTATTTACTGCTAGTATATAGAAATACTTTTTTTTGATGGGGTTGTTTGTTTTTTTCTTGTAAATTTGTTGGAGTTCATTGTAGATTCTGGATATTAGCCCTTTGTCAGATAAGTAGGTTGCGAAAATTTTCTCCCATTTTGTAGGTTGCCTGTTCACTCTGATGGTAGTTTCTTTTGCTGTGCAGAAGCTCTTTAGTTTAATTAGATCCCATTTGTCACTTTTGGCTTTTGTTGCCATTGCTTTTGGTGTTTTAGACATGAAGTCCTTGCCCATGCCTATGTCCTGATTGGTAATGCCTAGGTTTTCTTCTAGGGTTTTTATGGTTTTAGGTCTAACGTTTAAGTCTTTAATCCATCTTGAATTAATTTTTGTATAAGGTGTAAGGAAGGGATCCAGTTTCAGCTTTCTACATATGGCTAGCCAGTTTTCCCAGCACCATTTATTAAATAGGGAATCCTTTCCCCATTGCTTGTTTTTCTCAGGTTTGTCAAAGATCAGATAGTTGTAGATATGTGGCGTTATTTCTGAGGGCTCTGTTCTGTTCCATTGATCTATATCTCTGTTTTGGTACCAGTACCATGCTGTTTTGGTTACTGTAGCCTTGTAGTATAGTTTGAAGTCAGGTAGTGTTATGCCTCCAGCTTTGTTCTTTTGGCTTAGGATTGACTT
Source organism: Homo sapiens (assembly GCF_000001405.40). Taxonomy (NCBI): domain Eukaryota; kingdom Metazoa; phylum Chordata; class Mammalia; order Primates; family Hominidae; genus Homo; species Homo sapiens. The sequence goes on along the minus strand of NC_000006.12, from coordinate 63,408,219 downwards.
GGCGATGTGGGCTCTTTTTTGGTTCCATATGAACTTTAAAGTAGTTTTTTCCAATTCTGCAAAGAAAGTCATGGGTAGCTTGATGAGGATGGCATTGAATCTATAAATTACCTTGTGCAGTATGGCCATTTTCATGATATTGATTCTTCCTACCCATGAGCATGGAATGTTCTTCCATTTCCTTGTATCCTCTTTTATTTCCTTGAGCAGTGGTTTGTAGTTCTCCTTGAAGAGGTCCTTCACATCCCTTGTAAGTTGGATTCCTAGGTATTTTATTCTCTTTGAAGCAGTTGTGAATGGGAGTTCACTCATGATTTGGCTCCCTGTTAGTCTGTTATTGGTGTATAAGAATGCTTGTGATTTTTGTACATTGATTTTGTATCCTGAGACTTTGCTGAAGTTGCTTATCAGCTTAAGGAGATTTTGGGCTGAGACAATAGGGTTTTCTAGATATACAATCATGTCATCTGCAAACAGGGACAATTTGACTTCCTCTTTTCCTAATTGAATACCCTTTATTGCTTCTCCTGCCTAATTGCCCTGGCCAGAACTTCCAACACTATGTTGAATAGGAGTGGTGACAGAGGACATCCCTGTCTTGTGCCGGTTTTCAAAGGGAATGCTTCCAGTTTTTGCCCATTCAGTATGATATTGGCTGTGGGTTTGTCATAGATAGTTCTTATTATTTTGAGATACGTCCCATCAATACCGAATTTATTGAGAGTTTTTAGCATGAAGCGCTGTTGAATTTTGTCAAAGGTCTTTTCTGCATCTATTGAGAAAATCATGTGGTTTTTGTCATTGGTTCTGTTTATATGCTGGATTATATTTATTGATTTGCGTATATTGAACCAGCCTTGCATCCCAGGGATGAAGCCCACTTGATCATGGTGGATAAGCTTTTTGATGTGCTGCTGGATTTGGTTTGCCAGTATTTTATTGAGGATTTTTGCATCAATGTTCATCAAGGATATTGGTCTAAAATTCTCTTTTTTGGTTGTGTCTCTGCCCGGCTTTGGTATCAGGATGATGCTGGCCTTATAAAATGAGTTAGGGAGGATTCCCTCTTTTTCTATTGATTGGAATAGTTTCAGAAGGAATGGTACCAGTTCCTCCTTGTACCTCTGGTAGAATTTGGCTGTGAATCCATCTGGTCCTGGACTCTTTTTGGTTGGTAAGCTATTGATTATTGCCTCAATTACAGAGCCTGTTATTGGTCTATTCAGAGAATCAACTTCTTCCTGGTTTAGTCTTGGGAGGGTGTAGGTGTCGAGGAATTTACCCATTTCTTCTAGATATTCTAGTTTATTTGCGTAGAGGTGTTTGTAGTATTCTCTGATGGTAGTTTGTATTTCTGTGAGATCGGTGGTGATAATCCCCTTTATCATTTTTTATTGCGTCTATTTGATTCTTCTCTCTTTTCTTCTTTATTAGTCTTGCTAGCAGTCTATCAATTTTGTTGATCCTTTCAAAAAACCAGCTCCTGGATTCATTAATTTTTTGAAGGGTTTTTTGTGTCTCTATTTCCTTCAGTTATGCTCTGATTTTAGTTATTTTTTGCCTTCTGCTAGCTTTTGAATGTGTTTGCTCTTGCTTTTCTAGTTCTTTTAATTGTGATGTTAGGGTGTCAATTTTGGATCTTTCCTGCTTTCTCTTGTGGGCATTTAGTGCTATAAATTTCCTTCTACACACTGCTTTGAATGTGTCCCAGAGATTCTGGTATGTTGTGTCTTTGTTCTCTTTGGTTTCAAAGAACATCTTTATTTCTGCCTTCATTTCATTATGTACCCAGTAGTCATTCAGGAGCAGGTTGTTCAGTTTCCACGTAGTTGAGCGGTTTTGAGTGAGTTTCTTAATCCTGAGTTGTAGTTTGATTGCACTGTGGTCTGAGAGACAGTTTGTTATAATTTCTGTTCTTTTACATTTGCTGAGGAGTGCTTTACTTCCAACTACGTGGTCACTTTTGGAATAGGTGTGGTGTGGTGCTGAAAAAAATGTATATTCTGTTGATTTGGGGTGGAGAGTTCTGTAGATGTCTGTTAGGTCTGCTTGGTGCAGAGCTGAGTTCAATTCCTGGGTATCCTTGTTAACTTTCTGCCTTGTTGATCTGTCTAATGTTGACAGTGGGGTGTTAAAGTCTCCCATTATTATTGTGTGGGAGTCTAAGTCTCTTTGTAGGTCACTCAGGACTTGCTTTATGAATCTGGGTGCTCCTGTGTTGGCTGCATATATATTTAGGATAGTTAGCTCTTCTTGTTGAATTGATCCCTTTACCATTATGTAATGGCCTTCTTTGTCTCTTTTGATCTTTGTTGGTTTAAAGTCTGTTTTATCAGAGACTAGGATTGCAACCCCTGCCTTTTTTTGTTTTCCATTTGCTTGGTAGATCTTCCTCCCTCCTTTTATTTTGAGCCTATGTGTGTCTCTGCACTTGAGATGGGTTTCCTGAATACAGCACACTGATGGGTCTTAACTCTTTATCCAATTTGCCAGTCTGTGTCTTTTAATTGGAGCATTTAGTCCATTTACATTTAAAGTTAATATTGTTATGTGTGAATTTGATCCTGTCATTATGATGTTAGCTGGCGAAGGACATGAACAGACACTTCTCAAAAGAAGACATTTATGCAGCCAAAAAACACATGAAAAAATGCTCACCATCACTGGCCATCAGAGAAATGCAAATCAAAACTGCAATGAGATACCATCTCACACCAGTTAGAATGGCAATCATTAAAATGTCAGGAAACATCAGGTGCTGAAGAGGATGTGGAGAAATAGGAACACTTTTACACTGTTGGTGCGACTGTAAACTAGTTCAACCATTGTGGAAGTCAGTGTGGCAATTCCTCAGGGATCTAGAACTAGAAATACCAGTTGACCCAGCCATCCCATTACTGGGTATATACCCAAAGGACTATAAATCATGCTGCTATAAAGACACATGCACACGTATGTTTATTGTGGCACTATTCACGATAGCAAAGACTTGGAACCAACCCAAATGTCCAACAATGATAGACTGGATTAAGAAAATGTGGCACATATACACCATGGAATACTATGCAGCCACAAAAAATGATGAGTTCATGTCCTTTGTAGGGACATGGATGAAATTGGAAATCATCATTCTCAGTAAACTATCGCAAGAACAAAAAACCAAACACCACATATTCTCACTCATAGGTGGGAATTGAACAATGAGATCACATGGACACAGGAAGGGGAATATCACACTCTGGGGACTGTTGTGGGGTGGGGGGCGGGGGGAGGGATAGCATCGGGAGATATACCTAATGATAGGTGATGAGTTAGTGGGTGCAGTGCACCAGCATGGCACATGTATACATATGTAACTAACCTGCACATTGTGCACATGTACCCTAAAACTTAAAGTATAATAATAATAAAATAAAAAAAAGAAATACTTTTTTTTAGTATATTAATCATTGCAATGGACTGGATGTTTATGTCTCCCCCATAAAAGTTAGTTGAAATTCTAACTCCTAAGGTTATGACATTAGAAGATGGGGCCTTTGGTGATCCCCTCATGAATGGTATTAGTGTACTTATAAAAGGGATGCCAGAGAGCTTGTTTGACTCTTTTGCTCTATGAAGTTCCAGGGAGAAGATGTCCATCTATAAGAAAGTGGTCCCTCAGCAGACACTGAATCTGCTGGTGTCCTGATCTTGAATATACCAGCCTCCAGAACTGTGAGTAATAAACTGTTGTGTATAACCACCTACTTGATAGTATTTTATTACAGAAACCTGAACAGACTAAGATTTCTATAGTAAATAGAAATCTTGCTAAGCTTACATATTAGTTCTGGATTTTTTTTGGTAGATTCCATCTATTAATATTATCTATTTCTTTTTGAGTAAGCTTTGGTAATTTGTATTTTTTGAGGAAATTTAAGTTAACGCATTTTTATCAAAGTTGCCCATGATTGTATTTTAAGTTGTACATAATTTATCTATTGTTATGTAATAAATTGCCCCAAACTTAGTGGCTTAAAACACATTTATTATCTCAGTTTCTGAGCATCTTCTAGGAGTCTGGGCATGGCTTAGCTAGGTCCTTCGCTTAAGGTCTCATAGGCTGCAATTAAAGTGTCATCTAGGACTGGATTCTCATCAGGGAAATATATTCCTCCAGGCTCTATTGAGTTGTTGGCAGAATTCATTTCCTTGTGGTTGTAGGACTCATGGCGGCTTGCTTCTTAAAAGCCAGCAATGGAGAGAGAAAGAGAGAGAGAGAGAGAGAGAGAGAAAGAGAGAGGCTAGCAAGTCTCTCATGTAACCTGATACATGTAAACACGTGTATCTCATTGCCTTTACCACATTCCATTGTTTAGAAGCAAGTTACAGGTCATGCTCACACCTAAGGATGAAGGATTATACAAAGTCACGAACACCAGGATGTGGGAATCACGGGAATACTTTAAAGTCTGTTTACCCCAGTAATATTGTCCTATTAACCTTTTAGTATTTGTAGAATAGTAAAGGTTATTGTAGAATGTGTAGTGATCTCACCTCTGTCATTCTAGATATTGCTAATTTGTCTTCTCTTTTTTTCCTTTTCTGGCTAGAGTTTTATCAATTGTATTGATCTTCCCCCGAAACTATTTTTTGGTGTCACTGATTTTTCCCACTGTTTTCTGTTTTCTACTTAATTTATGTTTTGATCTTTATTTTCTTTTTCTGCTTGCATTGGATTTCATTTGATCTTTTATTTCTCAAGGTCCAAGCTAAAGACATTGTTTTGAGTCCTTTATTTTTTCTAAATTTAGGCATTTAATACTACAAATTTCCCCCTAAATTCTGTTTTTATGTCATCCCACAGATTTAGATGTGGAGTGTGTATCTTGACCTTTCCTCCTCAAAAGTAGTCTGCACCACAAACCTTACTTAGTATTACATCCTCCTGACCTTAGCCCAACCCTCCCAAGTACTTCATGGCTGCCAGCCCATAAATGCAAACTTTTACTTAAAATAATAACCTAGGATCATTTTTCAAAGAATTCCTAGACTTTAACATCCATATTTATCACCTATATTAGATTAGTTCTCCAGAGAGGCAGAACCAATAGAATGTTGTTCTCTCTCTCTCTCTCTGTCTCTCTCTCTCTCTCTATCATCTATCTATCTCTATATAAATTTATTTTAAGGAATTGGCTCATGTGATTGTGGGGCTTGACAAGTATAAAATCTACAGGGTAGGTTGGCAGGCTGGGGAGCCAGGAAATAGTTGATGTTGCAGCTTGATTCTGAAGGCAGTTTGGAAATAAAATTTCTTATTTTTGAGGGGACCTCAGTTTTTTTCTAAGAACTTCAGTTGACTGGATGAGCCCCAACCATATTATGGAGGGTAATCTGCTTTATCAAAAGTCTACTTATTTAAATGTTAATCTCATCTTAAAAAAAAAAAAGAAAACCTTTATAGCTACATTAAGGTTGGTGTTTGCCCAAACATCTGGGTACTATGGCTTAGTCAAGTTGACACATGAGATTTATCATCACATCACCCATCTAATTTCCAGATTGCTCAATTATTAACTTCTCATTTCCAATGACCTACCTGCTCCAATTATATATCTGTTCCAAAATTACATTTTGAGCCTGAAAATCACCAGGCAGGATCTACTCCAAAGTCACTAATTCAAATAGTCCACTTCCTGACCAAAGTCCCTTATTATTTCAGCTTATGTGTTTAAGTACTTTTATGGTAAAAGTTTTTAGAAGAAATAAGAATCTTCAGGCCCTTGATTCTTACTCTTTTCTCTATCAGTTAGGGCTCTTCCTTATCTATCTTGGATGTCATGGTCAAGTTCTTAAATTACTCTCTTGTAAAAATATTAAACATTATTTTTCTATCTTTCCATCATATCTTCTTGGTGAAAGCAACATGGGATGAACCCACATATTTTCTCCAAGCTTGCTTCTGGCTATCTGAACACCACTGGAGAAAAGACACAAGAGTGCAGGATTTACTATGAATTTATGTTCAACAGGCTCAATGGTTTTCAGTTGCCTGACAACTATATATATTTCTTTCGTGAGCCAAATTTCTCACTTTAGATTGACTAAAAAAAATCCACTGTCATCAAACTTCCACATCCACCTTCACCTTGTCACTCTCATAGTATTTTTTCACCTCCTACGTCTTCAAGAAAACAAGAGCTCCTTTACAGCTAGCAGCTAGAGTTCTAGTTGCTGCTCATGTCTTCATGCTTAGCAGTAGTAATGGCTGCTTACAGTTGCTCGTCACTGGGAGCTTTACTCTTTGTTGTCAGTTGCCTTAATCCCTTTTCACATGTTGGTAAGTACTACCTTCATTAAACTTTCTTTGATTAAACCTTTGGGTATGCCATCTGTTTACGTAAGTAATCCTGACCAATAGAAAATCTTAAATCAGCCTTTTGCCCTGTCATCATAACTGCATGCTCCAGTCGCATACATTTTAACACAGACTTCTCTAGAGCTAAACCAGATATTAGGCCAAAGGTGAAAGACTTGGTACAATTTTCACCTACACGCCCATGGCTGATATTATGGATCATGGCATGTATTCCTACTGATCCTTCCCACTTACAGCTGGGCAACTCATGAATACATCGGTTTAAATTTTGCTTTTTGTAAGTTGCATTCTTCCAAAGTAGTTTGCTTTTACATAACCTCAAAATTTTCTGTCCTTGTCACTCTTAGTTTGATTAATGGACATCTTGTGATGGTTATAACCTTGTTATTTTTGTATTTATTAATTATTAACTTTTTGAATTAACTTGTACCTTAATTTTGTAACTTTTTTTTTTTTTTTGAGACAGATTTTTGTTCTGTTGCCCAGGCTGGTGTGCAGTGGCATGCTCATGGCTTACTGCAGCCTCAACTTCCTGGATTCAAGTAATCCTCCCACCTCAGCCTCCCAAGTAGCTGGGATCACAGGCATGTGCCACCATGCCCAGCTAATTTTTTTTTTTTTAATTTTTGGCAGAGATTAGGTCTCTCTATGTTACCCAGGCTTGTTTGAAATCCTGTGCTGAAACTAGCTTTGTAACTAAGTCTTAATAATTGGAGAACTCTGAGTTTATCCCTGTGCATAAGAAGGACATAGGTATAGAAAAATTTATTGAATTTGCTTATGACAGGTTGGTATAAAAGTCAAATTATATTATAATAATGGGCTTATCAAATATTTATTAATGTTGAATTAATGTTTTTTTTAAACACAGAGTCTTGCTCTTGTCATCCAGGCTGGAGTGCAATGGTGCCATTTCAGCTCGCTGCAACCTCCACCTCCTGGGTTCAAGTGATTCTCCTGCATCAGCCTCCCGAGTAGCTGGGATTACAGGCGCCCACCACCATGCCCAGCTAATTTTTGTATTTTTAGCAGAGACAGGGTTTCACCATGTTGTCCAGGCTGGTCTCAAACTCCTGACCTGAGGTGATCCACCCGCTTCAGTCTCCCAAAGTACTGGGATTACAGGCGTAAGCCACCACGCCCGGCCGAAATTTATGTTTTATTGTACATAATATTTATTTTTTGGATGATTGGAGAACAATGATGCCAGTTTGATGGACTCTTCATATGAAATGCCCCAAAACACAGTATCATTACCTTAAAGGTTAGTAGAGATATGCATGCATTTACATTGCAACATTGACAGAAACCACATTTAGAAGATAGAGCATGAATATGTTCGTGCGGAGCCCTTGACTGTATTTAATCTTACATTAAGCCAGGAGGACGTCTACTGTTATCTAGCGAGATGGCCTGCTCATTAAATGTCCTGGAGGTGCACTTTATCCATCTTTTGGTAGGACCTCTGCTATATTCCTATCTCTGTCCTTCCCACTTTCCTAGAATCCTGAAGAAGTTTACAGCTTATAAGGAAATATTCTTGCCCTTCTGTTAACAGTGCATCTGCCCAGTAGACTGGAAGCCCAGGACTCCTGCCCCTGCCAAGCAAGTTTTCTCATTTGCCAAGCTGGAAGTTGAGGCTCTCTTTAGTGATATCAATACAAATGTTTCTGTCATTATTTACTTGTTTCATGGACTTGATTCAACTAACATCTATTTATTACCCTTTATATGCCAGGCCATCTTCACGATACTGAATATTAAAAGATAAACAAAATGAGGGCTATTTTTGCAATAAATTTGAAGTCTATATCAAAATCATGTGGAAATATATTAACAGAGAATTAAGTCTAGGTTAAGAACAAGAAAATCCTAAAAACTAATTTAGTATATTGGGAGGCTGAAGTGGGAAGATCACTTGAGGCCAGGAGCTCAAGACCAATCAGTCTGGGCAACATAGCCAGACTGTATCTCTACAAAAAATAAATAAAAAAAAATAGCTGGGTGTGATGGCATACACCTGTAGTCCCAGCTACTCAGGAGGCTGAGGTGAGAGGATTCCTTGAGCTCAGGAATTTAAGGCTGCAGTGAGCTATGATTGTGCCACTGTACTCCAGCCTGGGTGACAGGGAGAGATTCCATCACTAAAAAATAAAAAATGATGGCCGGGTGCAGTGGCTCACACCTATAATCCCAGCACTTTGGGAGGCCGAGGCGGGTGGATCATCTGAGGTCAGGAGTTCGAGATCAGCCTGCCCAACATGGTGAAACCCCATCTCTACTAAAAATACAAGAAATTAGCCAGGCATGGTGGCAGGCAACTGTAATCCCAGCTACTCAGGAGGCTGAGGCAGGAGAATCGCTTGAACCCGGGAGGCGGAGGTTGCAGTGAGCCAAGATCATGCCACTGCACTCCAGCCTGGGTGACAGGAGCGAAACTCCGTCTCAAAAAAAAAAAAAAAAATTAGTACTGTTGTGTGTTTCTAAATGATGCAGATATATTCTGAGAAATGTGTCATTAAGTGATTTCATTGTATGAAAATCATAGAGTGTATTTACACAAACCTAGATGCTATAGCTTACTACACACCTAAGCTATAAGGTATAGCCTATTGCTCCGAGGCTACAAACCTGTATAGCACATTACTGTACTGAATACTGTAGGCAATGGTAAGACAATGATAAGTATCTGTGCATCCAAACATAGAAGAGGTACAGTAAAAATATGGCGTAAAAGATTAAAAAAAAATGAGGCCACGTGCGATAACTCATGTTTGTAATCCCATCACTTTGGGAGTCCGAGGCAGAAGGACCACTGGAGCCTAGGAGTTTGAGACCAGCCTAGGCAGGATAGGGAGACCCTGTCTCTACAAAAATTTTTTGAAAACTAGCCATGTGTCATGGCATGTACTTGTGATCTCATCTACTTGGGAGGCTGAAGTCTGAGGATCGCTTGAGCCCAGAAGGTTCAAGGCTGCAGTGACTTTAGCCTGGGTAACAGGAGCAAAACCCTATATCAAAAGAAAAAATATATATATTTTAAAAAGTGGTACTATGAATGGAGCTTGCAAAACTGCAAGTTTTTCTGAGTAAGTCAGTGAGTGAGTGGTGAGTGAATGTGAAAGTCTACGATACTGCTATACACTACTGTAGATTTTATACACATTGCACATTTAGGCTATACTAAATTTATTTAAAAAATAGTATTCTTCCTTTAATAATAAATTAACCTTAGCTTACTATAATTTTTTTACTTTATCAACTTTATAATTTTTTCAATTATTTTACTCTTTTGTAATAATGCTTAGCTTAAAACACAAACACATTGTACAGCCAAACAAAAATATTTTCTTTCTTTATATCCTTATTCTAAAAGCATTTTTTCTATTTTTACATGTATTTTTTACTTTTAAGGCATTTTTGTTAAAAACTAAGACATAAGTACACACATTACCCTAAGCCTACACAGGGTCAGAGTCATCAATATCATTGTCTTCCTCCTCCACATTTTTTCCCGTTTCAAGATCTTCAGGGGCAATAACACACATAGAGCTGTCTGTCATCTCCTGTGATAACAATGCCTTCTGGAATACCTCCTGAAGGACCTGCCTGAATCTGTTTTATAGTTAACTTTTTTTTTTTTTTTTTTTTAGTAAATAGGAGTATACTCTAAAATAATTAAAAATATAGTATAGTAAATATATAAATAAATAACATTTATTATCATCAAGTTTTATTTACTGTACATAATTGTACATACTATACTTTTATATGACTGGCAGTGCAGTAGGTTTGTTCACACCAGTATCCCTACAAACATGCGAGTAATGTGTTGCCTTGCAACATTATGACAGCTATGATATCACTAGGCAATAAAATTTTTTCAGCTTCATTATAATCTTTTTTTTCTTTTTTTCTTGAGACACAGTTTTACATTGTTGCCCAGGCTGGAGTGCAGTGGCATGATCTTGTCTCATTGCAACCTCTGCCTCCCAGGTTAAAGTGATTCTTGTGCCTCAGCTTCCCGAGTAGCTGGGATTATAGGTGTAATTACAGGTGTAATTACAGGCGTGCCACCACATCCAGCTGATTTTTGCATTTTTAGTAGAGATGGGGTTTCACCATGTTGGCCAGGTTGGTCTCAAAAACTTCTGACCTCAAGTGATCCAGCCTCCTTGGCCTCCCAAAGTGCTGGGATTACAGGTGTGAGCCACCACACCTGGCCCATAATCTTTTTTTTTTCTATTAACAAGTCTTCCCACTTTTATTTTCCATTCATCATGCTCCTTTTTGTCAAAATCATAGCCCGCTTCTTTAAAATTGACAACCAAGATTCACTGGCAAGCATCCTTTGTCCTTGGACCATATAATCCCAGCTTTTGCCCTTATGTGTTTTTTTTTTTTTTTCTCCCAAGCCGACAAGTTTCCTGGAGCCAACTTTTGCAGCTCAAAATTGTTCACGTAATTTTATACTTTATGGCTTTGAGCCATGAACACTTGTACAACGTTGTTTTGCCACTTTTCATTTTATTTGGTGATTATTTCCTCCTGGAATACTCCCTTTGTATTAGCCAAAGGAGTGAAAGTTTGTATTGATTTCTTAGATGGTGCATGGGGGGTTGTGAACATATTTAAGACACAGAGCTGGACAGATAGCAAGATGAAGCTGTCTTATGAGATAAGAGGATTGAGCTCTGAAATGCCCAGGGTCCAATCAGCCTCAGGTGTAATTCTCCCGTAGTGCTTCTATAGGCCAAGTGTAGCTTGAGGGGGATGCAGAGCCTGCTAATCTATAAGGTAAGACCAGCCAAAGGCTAATATCTGGGGGGTGTGGGAGGGGCTCCCAGCTCAGGCATTCTCTTCCTTGGATGGGGATTCTGGCCTCCAGAGGAGGTGCTCCTTGAGGGTCTAGCCCTCACCAGCCACTCAGATCACCTGCAGCAGCACCTGCCTATCACTCAGCACTTTGAACAGGTGAGAACACCCCTTCCCCCATACACATGCTTGGTATTATCACTGAATCCTCCACCCACCCCAGTCCCCATCCAGACATCTTGCCTCTCTCCTCACTTACCCTAATATTTGGCACCCACTTCACACTCACCCTCTTCCAACAAGCCTCAGCCCCCTGATTCTGAAGCTCCCAAGGTCCTGTCTTTCCCACCCTTTGCAGAACCAGCCCCTCCACCCCAGCAAGAGACTCCAGCTGGAAGAGAAAACTTCTAAGCCCCCAAGGGAGGGGTAAAGCTAAAGGGGAGCACCAATATTGAAAGCAGGAGGCCACAACTGATGCGGAGAAGGGTACCCAAACTCCAGAGCAGCCTGACTAGGGCTGGGGCTCTCAGGCAAATACCTGAGGCTGCCCATCCTCATCTAGAACACCTCCTCTGAGCCCTAAGGATGAGGGGAGCCTATGGCAAAAGAAGCTATAGGCAGCAGCATCTTGAGGTCTAGAGAATAACTGGATTTGTTGAGTGAGATTCTGGACAGTCTGAGTGTTGGAGCCAAGAGTGCAGGCAGCCTGAGACCAGGCCAGAATTTAAACTGCTGTCACAGAGGGGACCTAGACAGCTGATTCATCCTGGTGGAAACCCTGCCTCTTCCCCAAGTTTTACCCTAATGGTCCATCCAACTTGCCAACCCCTTTGCCATCTAAAGGCCAGCAACTTGCCCGTCTCTCCACCCTACCCAGCCCAACATACCAGGAAGAGCAAGATAGCAACCAGACAATGAGAAACTGCCAGAGCTTCAGCCCCTGTCCCTGCCTGCAGACCTGCCGTCTCTGCAAAATGCCTCATCTGTGGATGCTACAAGCTTCTCAAGGAATCTCAAGTCCTAGCTGTCCTAGAGGCTAACCAAGAAGTCATCTCTCCATTTCAGTCCTCAACAGCTCCTGCAGACCCAAGTAGCGGAGGGGACCCCGAACACTCTCCTCTCACAGAGTCCCTAATCCTTTATCTTTCCCCTCCCTACAAGGCAGCCAAACATTCTAGAGCCCAGGAAAGCCCCAGTTCCAGGCTCTCCACAGTGCCCACCCAGCCCAGCCCTCCAGAAAGCCCCCAAATTCCAGCCCCCACAAAGTCCAACTTTGATATTGTCCAGATAGTCCAGCCTCTTGATCCTTCCCCAGACCCTAGTTCTCCAGAGAATCCCAGAGCCCAGCCTCGCAAAGTCCTGCTAGCAGAGCACACTCACCTCCAGTCACTGGAAGAATTGGGAGGCCTGAATTCCATCACCCACCAGCAACCAGCAGGAGCCCCAGGCCAGGAGCCAGCCCAGAGTGGCTGATCTTAAGTGCTTTGACGGTTAAGGATCAAGGGTCGGGAGGAGACTCCTGTCCTTCAATAAAGCCACAAGAGCCAGAAGCTGGTTTTTCCTGGTGAATTTCTCTAAGGCCCTCTCTCTGGAGGGGAACACAACCTACCCACCTCTCACCCTCCAAGGGCAGCCTCTTTAACTGGATTCTAGAAGGGAGTTCCAGGAAGCCCCCCAATACCCTAGGATCCTTACAACCTTGCAGTTCCTCTGCATTTGTGTCTTCCGTCTTGGCTAATGCCTCCAACAGCTCAAAACAAGCAAACTTTATTATACTTCACTATTAATTTTATATAAGTATATAAAAAGTTAACAGCCCTGCCCTCCCTTGTCCTCAGGAGCAGTCTTTGAAACAGCTTCTTCCATGCTATTCTTAAGAACTGGGTGGATCTGACTGCCCAGAGAGGGCTCTACCTTTCCCCAAGGTCACACAGCCATGAAGTGGGACAAATTGAGGAGAGGGGAACTAGATGGGCAGGCAGCCCCACACTTTCTTCTTGGAGTCCTGAGGGACCCAGGCCTCAAGTGCATGGAGAACTGAAAGAAAGGAGAGGGAGTTGTCAGGCCTGCAGTGCACACAGAGGGAAGAAGGTTCCACAAGCGAGGAGGTGGATCCCCAGCCCTGAAACCCTCAGCTGTAGGCACAGACGACCGCCTGACAGGCGGACGCCCCCCAGGCCCTCCTGCAAGTCTTCCTGAGCTGTCAGAGGCCGTGGCAGCTGCTGTATACAGCAAGCCAGCACCCGGCAGTCCTGGGCAGGGGCAGTGGCTGCATTGGGCCCCAGTGTTACCGGAAAGGGGTCCTGATCCAGACCCCAAGAGAGGGTTCTTGGATCTCGTGCAAAAAAGAATTCGAGGTAAATCCATTGAGTAAAGTGAAAGCGAGTTTATTAAGAAAGTAAAGGAATAAAGAATGGTTACGCCAAAGGCAGAGCAGCCCCTAGGGCTGGTGGTTATTTTTACGGTTATTTCTTGATTATTTGCTAAACAAGGGGTGGATTATTCATGAGTTTTCCAGGAAAGGGATGGGCAATACCCCTGGAACTGAGGGTTCCTCCCCCTTTTAAACCATACAGAGTAACTTCCTGACATTTGTAAACCATCATGATGCTAGTGGGAGTGTCTTTTAGCATGCCAATGCATTATAATTGCATCATAACTAGCATATCATGAGCAGTGAGGACCTCCAGAGGTCACTTTCATCTCCATCTTGGTTTAGTGGGTTTTGACCAGCTTCTTTACTGCAACCTGTTTTCTTATTAATTATTATTGTTATTATTGAGACAGAGTCTCGCTCTGTTGCCCAGGCTGGAGTGCAGTGGCGTGATCTCGGCTCACTGCAACCTCTGCCTCCTGGTTTCAAGTGATTCTCTTGCCTCAGCCTCCTGAGTAGCTGGGATTACAGTCGCCCACCACGCCCAGCTAATTTTTGTATTTTTAGTGGAGACAGGTTTCGCCATGTTGGCCAGGCTGGTCTCAAACTCCTGACCTCAGGTGATCCGCCCACCTCGGCCTCCCAAAGTGCTGGGATTACAGGTGTGAGCCACCGCGCCCAGTTGCAACCTGTTTTATTAGCAAAGCCTTTGTGACCTGTATCTTTTGCAGACCTCCTATCTCATCCTGTCACTTAGAATACCTAACCTCGTGGGAATGCAGCCCAGTAGATCTCAGCTTCATTTTGAAGTGGCTACATTGTCTGGGGTATATACCTGGGATTTGTTGTCTGGCGCCAGGAAAATTTAGGACACAGACACACATGAGGAGTTTAAGAGCGAAGGTTTAATAGGCAGAAGAAAAGAAAGTAAAACAGCTCTGCCTCTTGAGAGAGAGGGGACTTCTGAGAAGAAAGACCTGCCAGCAGTGGATGGGCCAGATTTTATAGTCAGGTTTGAGGAGGCAGTGTTTGATTTACATAGGGCTCACAAATTGGTTCGATCAGGTATGATGTTTTCATAGTGCTTGTGGTAAGACTGGTTGCCCCACCCTAATCTTATTGTGCAAATGGGCTTTCCAGTTAACCAGCGCCATCTTGTCTGCTCCTTACTGTACAGAAGAAGGGAAGATGGGCCAGGCGCGGTGGCTCACGCCTGTAATCCTAGCACTTTGGGAGGCTGAGGTGGGTAGATCACTTGAGGTCAGGAGTTCGAGACCAGCCTGACCAACATGGTGAAACCCTGTCTCTACTAAAAATACAAAAAAATTAGCCGGGCTTTGTGGCACACACCTGTAATCTCACCTACAGGTTGGGGAGGAGAGGCTGAGGCAGGAGAATAGCTTGAACCCAGGAGATAGAGGTTGCAGTGTGCCAAGATCCAGCTATTGCACTCCAGCCTGGGCGACAGAGTGAGACTCCATCTTGGCTGGGCGCGGTGGCTCAGCCTGTAATCCTAGCACTTTGGGAGGCCGAGGTGGGTGTATCACGAGGTCAGGAGATCGAGACCATCCTGGCTAATGCGGTGAAACCCCGTCTCTACTAAAAATACAAAAAAATTAGCCGGGCGTGGTGGTGGGCGCCTGTAGTCCCAGCTACTCGGGAGGCTGAGGTAGGAGAATGGCGTGAACCCGGGAGGCGGAGCTTGCAGTGAGCAGAGATTGCGCCACTGCACTCCAGCCTGGGCGACAGAGCAAGACTCCATATCAAAAAAAAAAAAAAAAAAAAAAAGAAGAAGAAGATGGAGCCACCATCTTGAACATGATTGGCACAACTGCCAATCAATGTCTGCAGCTCGGTTTTACAGACTGCTCTTCATTAGAAAGAAAAATAATTTGGGGTTGCTTTTCATTAAAAGGAAAACCTTACCGAGGACTTCCATATCCTCATTATCTGCCTAAGTAATTTCTTCTTAATTCCTTTATCAATTTTACCCAGCCCCTATTCAAGATGGAGTCACTCTGGTTCAAAGGCCTCTAACACCAGCGTTCAGATGAGCTGCTACTCCTCCGGAGGCAATTTGAAGTTGAGGGTCTGTGGCGCATGGGCACCCACCTGTTCCTGGCTGCTGGGTAGGTAGGTTTCCGCCTCCATCTATGCTTCTCCTGAAGCTTCTGCACCAGTAGTTCCAGTCCCACAGCCAGGAGTAGGGTGGCCAGGATGGATTAGTCCACATGATAGCAGTGATGCCCCCTGAGACAGGGTCCCTTTGGAGCTGGAGCTGGTGGGCATGATAGTGCTGCTCTCATTTACAGAAGGGGCCCCTGCTGTGGAGGTTTGTCTCAAGGCTGGGCCTAAGCAGGCCTGCAGCAGAGGCAGGCCCAGGGCCAGGAGCAGCCCTAGGCCAGGGTTTGCCATGGGCTGGGTGTCTGGTTGGCAGCACTGAGGAAGGGGCTTCTAGCACTGCGCCCCTCCTACTTCATATCAGTACATGAGTACCTGAGAGGCACCTGGCCTGGGCGTCTTTGACCTCTCTCAGATTTCTGGTCCATGCCCCTCCTCTTTTATAATCTTATGGGACCACTGTTTTATATGTGGTCCATTGTTGACCAGAATGTTTTTATACAGTACATGACTATAATTACTTGGAATTTTGGGGTGGAGGATGAAACCAGTGTTGTTGTTTTGTAATTTTTAAAAATAAACTTTCATATCATTGATTCCTTAAAAGAAGACTTATACTGGAGAGGAGACCAAGTTGCTCTGTGCGTCAACCCATGCTCATTGTCCTTCCATGTCCAAAGACCTCTTCTATGAAAGACAGCTGAGTGTTTCTCTGCTCCTAGGGCCCTTATGCTTTACATCATGTGACTTCTGCTTTTCTGGACCAGCAATGACTTAGTTCAAGGATTAACCTTTGAGACAGAGATAGCTAAAAGCCTCGCTATCAGCCCATGAAGTGTAACTGAACTCTGCCCAGCAAGAATGGTCAATATTGGATGTTGACTAACCGTAAAGCAGATCTCCCTTGGGAATTTGGAGGGAAACTTAAGTGAGCAGGAACTAGAGACACATTGAGGCTTCAGAAATCACAAGACAGTAAAAGCTAACACAGACCTTGAGGTGGAGAGAAGGCAAGTGGAGAGAACAGTGTTGGAGGATACAGAGGTACAAGCAGAGACTGAAATCAACCCACTTACAAGTTGGGAATCCTTGTCAGAAAAAGCAACAGAAGTTTACAGATGCATGGATCTTTGCAGATGTTGCTGTTGAGTGTAAGAGCTGCTATCAGTCCTCTACATTGTGTATTCTGAATGAGCTACAGTTCCAGCTGCTGGCTGAGTAGTTGCTAAGACACAACCTCTTGGTTCTTACTTCCCTTCCATATCTTTAGACCTACACCAACTAAGATAACTTGAAAATGTCATGTTTTTCTCAAACCCAAATAGGATTGACTGCTAAGGACATTTATACATTGCAAATAAATTATTTAATAGCAAATTTGTCTCCATTATCATATTTTTTAAAAACGAGATTTTAAATAATGCTAAATGAGTCTTACCTGTGTACATATTCTATTAGAGCTATTTGAGATCTGATAATACTTAGTAATTCTATTTGTCTATTTAACAGAAGCAATCAATTTATTTCAGATTACCTTTTATCCAAAGAGAAGGTAAAAGTATGCATCCTTTCCAATGGAACTTGTTATAATTCAAATAATTGAAAGTGAATGGAGAGAGATAAGAAAGTTAAGGATATTATCTGAACTAATTCAATTCCAATTTTCTTTTCTTTTTTTTTTTTTTTTTTGAGATGGAGTCTTGCTCTGTCGCCCAGGCTGGAGTGCAGTGGCGTGATCTCGGCTCACTGCAGGCTCCGTCCCCCGGGGTTCACGCCATTCTCCTGCCTCAGCCTCCCGAGTAGCTGGGACTACAGGCACCCGCCACCTCGCCCGGCTACTTTTTTTTTGTATTTTTAGTAGAGACGGGGTTTCACCGTGTTAGCCAGGATGGTCTCGATCTCCTGACCTCGTGATCCGCCCGCCTCGGCCTCCCAAAGTGCTGGGATTACAGGCGTGAGCCACCGCGCCTGGCCGATTCCAATTTTCAATAAAACAAATTCAATTCCTGTGTAACAATCTCCTCCCTGTTGATAAAAAAAAATCTGACAATGAAGTGGTGAATTTGGCAATAGGTCATGCATTCTAAGAAAATAATAGTTGATCAAAATTTGTGGAATCCGGCTGGCACAATGGCTCAAACCTGTAATCCCAGCACTTTGGGAGGCCAAGGCAGGTGGATCACCTGAGGTTAGGAGTTTGAGACCAGCCTGGCCAACATGGTGAAAACCCATCTCTACTAACGATACAAAAATTAGCCAGTAGTGGTGGTGCATGTCTTTAATCCCAGCTACTTGGGAGGCTGAGGCACAAGAATCGCTTGACCCTGGAAGAAGGAGGTTGCAGTGAGACAAGATTGCGCCACTGCACTCCAGCCTGGGTGACAGAGCGAGACTCTGCCTCAAAAAAAAAAAAAAAAAAAAAAAAAAAAAGAAAGAAAGAAAGAAAGTGTCCAAATACTTCAGCTGTAGAATTATTCTTTATACAGTTTCT
This sequence comes from Homo sapiens, assembly GCF_000001405.40. NCBI lineage: Eukaryota > Metazoa > Chordata > Mammalia > Primates > Hominidae > Homo > Homo sapiens. The sequence continues at coordinate 63,390,057 of NC_000006.12, read as the reverse complement.
GAGACCATTAGAGTCTTTTCTCTTCATTTTCTACATCTCCCTACTTAGCATTCACAAAAGGTGTGTTTTCTTTAGGCTTAGATTAGACCTAGAAAATTTTCTCTCACCATTTTTTTTTGTGGGGGATGGGGGAGGAAGAGAAAAAGGAGATAAACTTTGAAGCATGTACATTAATGCACTTAATGTCTGGAGCACAATGACTAAATTATTTTTAGTGTAAAAAATAATTTAAAATGACTGCATTTTATGATCTCTATTTCTGTATGCACTACCTTTGAATTTCTGTATTGGAATAATAGTACTGATATGATCGTCTCCATTAGTAGATTCATGAACTATCATGGTTTGGTTTACTCACTGGCTTACATACTTAATATTGAAATGCAACCATGTAGCAGTTTCACAGCACAGAGTGGCAACCAAGAGTTTTGTATACAGATAAGATTTAAGTGAAACTACACAGGACCATTGTTCAAAACAGAAGCCATGCTTTCCTTAAGGTTAAACACAGTTCCTTCAAATTTTTCTCTTTTGTTCTCTTCTTCTGTTATCAGATTGTGCTAGATTTTGCAATGGGGTCAAGGGTAGATGCAGAAGAAGACGGTGGGATTGTTTTGCCAAAATAAGACTGACATGTTCTAGACTGAGTGTAGTTTCTATTACTTGTTTAAGAATGAACACATAGAAACACAAGAAGATACAAAATGAATCAGGCTCAATATCCTTTCCTCTCTATCTGAAAATGTAAGGTAAGCTTCTTTTCTATTGTTAGTAAGAAAATATGAGAGTAGAAAATAGGTTTCACATTTTTTGATTTGTTCTTATATTAATAGATCTATTATTTATCATAGCTTTTTCACTTTCTGTGTGACTCTGAGCAATTTACTTACTCTTTCTGTGATTCAGTTTCCTCCTTTCCAAAGTGGAGACAATAATGTTCAGTTTACTTACACGTAGGGGTGGCCATAAGGATTAAATGAATGAATACTTATAAGGGTTAGCTCTTTTCTTCTTTTCCCTTCCCTTTTTGTCTTCCTCATCCTATTTGTATTTCATCCTTGTAGACTAGGAGTTACTACTTTCTGTGCATTCTGCTTAAATATATGCATCCTAAGATGATTTTTGAGTGACTGTACATGGTTTGTGCCAAGTATAAGAATGTCTTCTATTCTGCTTTCAACTCACTGCCTGCTTATCAATACTCTGATGGCCTTTTTGTCTATTAGAACCACATTAGACTGACAACAAGTTCTCTGTCTTGTTTTTCCAAATGGCCCTCGAAGCCAGTTATCCCTTGGCCATTATTTACGTTATTTCTAGCTTTAGGACCTCTATTATTTTTCCAGGGCTGCTGTAACAAAATACCACAGACTGGGTGGCTCAAACAATAGAAATTTATTTCTTCACAGTTCTGGAGCCTAGAAGTCCAAGATGAAGGTGTTGGCAGGGTTGGTTTCTTCTGAGGCCTCTCTCCTTGGCTTGTCAATGGCCGTCTTCTCCCTGGCTTCACATCATTTTCCCTCTGTGCACCTGTGTTCAGATTTCCTCTTCTTACAGGGACATCAGTCATATCAGATTAGGGCTCACCCTAACTGGCCTCATTTTAACTTAGTTACCTCCTTAAAGATGCTATCTCTAAATATGGTCACACTCTGAAGTACTGAGGATTAGAACTTCAGCATGTGAATCTTCAGGAAACACAATTTAGCCCATAATAGGACCTCACTTTTCTCATCAAGAAGCTGGTATCTTAAATTTCTGTCCAACTGCCTACCTTGTGAAATTTCCTAAACTTTTTCCTTATCTTCATAATTCACCACTGGTAAGTCATTTTTAAATTACGAAATGATACTCCATAGTCATCTTCTGTTTCAAAAATTATTGCTGGGCATGGTGGCTACAGGCATGAATCCTAGCACATTGGGAGGCCAAAGCAGGTAGGTCACCTGAGGTCAGGAGTTCGAGACCAGCCTGCCTAACATGGTGAAACCGCATCTCTACTAAAAAAAAAAAAAAACAAAAAAATTAGCTGGGCATGATGGTGGGCACCTGTTATCCCAGCTATTCGGGAGGCTGAGGAAGGAGAATCACTTGAGCCTGGGAGGCGGAGGTTGCAGTGAGCCAAGATTGTGCCACTGCACTCCAGCCTGGGTGACAGAGCAAGACTCTGACTCAAAATCAATAAATCAATCAATAAATAAATAGCCAGGCGAGATGTGGTGGTATGCCTGTAGATCTAGCTACTCAGGACGCTGAGGTCGGAGGATGGCTTGAGCCTGGGAGACTGAGGCTGCAATGATCATGAGCTATGATCATGCCACTGCAGTGGGACCCTGGCTCAAAAAAAAAAAAATTATTGATCAAAGTTAATCTCAGTACTGATCTCTGTGACATCTCTCCCATTGCATGGATTCCTCTAAAATTCAGGCTCTAACTTTTTGTACTAATATATATTTTTAATCCATGATAAAATATTTTCTGTGAATACAGTTGTCCCTCAGTATCTGTGGGGGGTTAGTTCCAGGACCTCTGGAGCACATCAAAATCTGCAGTGGCTCAAGTATCTGATAAAGTATTTGCATGTAACCTATGCATATGCTTCTATATACTTTATATAATCTCTTAAATCATTATAATACCTAATACAACAAAGATATATAATATGTAAATTATGTAAATAGTTGTTATACTCTGTCGTTTTAGGAATATTACAAGAAAAAATGCATCGTTATGTATTCAGTACCGATGCATTTTTCTTTTCCTGAATATTTTTGATCTATGGTTGGTTGAATTCATGGAAGAGGAACACATGGATACAGAGGGCTGCTAATTGTATAATCCAATAGTGAGTGATTCACCTTTAAGATAATCTTTGGTTCGAAGGTCTGAATTTAAAGTCTTTGCACTTTACCTTTGCTCGTTTTCCTTATTTATCTATTTTTCTTTTATTTTTTTTTGAGACGGAGTCTTGCTCTGTTGCCCAGGCTGGAGCACGGTGGTGTGATCTCAGCTCACTGCAACCTCCACCTCCTGGGCTCAAGCAATTCTCCTGCCTCAGCCTCCTGAGTTGCTGGGATTACAGGTGCACGCCACCATGTCTGGCTGATTTTTGTATTTTTAATAGAGACGAGGTTTCACCATATTGGTCAGGCTGGTCTTGAGCTCCTGTCCTCAGGTGATCCATACCAGCCTTGGCCTCCCAAAGTATTGAGATTACAGGCATGAGTCACCATGCCCGCCCCTTATTTATTAATTTACCTCTTCAAAGAATGCTACTAGACGACTATAATATCCCCTTACAGAAACCATATTACTCTTTTCCCAGTAGATTACCCTCTCTAAATATTTATTGAGTCAGGGAAAGGAACATGGGTTCTTTTGTTGAACTTCAATGTTGAGTGTATAGTCAAGGTATTGTATAGTTCCAAGACCATTAAAATGAATTATTAGATACAAAGCATTTTCAAGAATGACATTTAGGTTAACTGGTTATGACTAGGAATACAGAAATCAATACCTGACGAAAAGTGATGCAAAAATCAGGAAATGAGATTGGAAATATGAAAGACAGGTTACCAAAATAGGATCAGAGAATCAGATAAGGAGAATTAGCCAGAAACAAACAAACAAGTAAGCAATAATAATAATAATAATAGTAAAATAAAAATTAAAAAGCCCCAAAACTCTGAAAGTCAATGATATTCTCAATGGCTGGATCAAGGTCAATGTATTTGTAGCTGAGCTACAGAAAGTAAAATGTTTACCTGGTGGCATGTCTTATCCCACTGAATTTTGGATTATAGATTAAGCTCTATGTATTCATCCTATCTATATTCACAAAGGGGTCCCTCTCTTGCTTATAAAGTCTCTATCAAACTTCCAAGTAGGGAGGTAAGACTCTACAATTACAAAATCCTTTTAATATTTTATAAATCCTTAAATCTCTGGCAATTTATAAAGTTAATGAGAAATTGTATGTATTTCTACATTTTCACCTTATAATTTTTTAAAACTGTTAAGTGAATACTATCTGGTCCCAATATATTAACATCAAATTTATTAATTGGGTAGAATAATGAATAATGGAATTAGTAAAGTAGTTGGTGTCAGGAAATTGGGTCTGAGGTCTCAGACTTTTTGCCTATGTGATATTGGGTATCGGTCCTTCAGGAATTTGCCATTACTTATAAACAGAGCATAACACAGATATATGTATTGGGTTGACCATGTCAACTAAAAGATAGGTTATTAGCTTATCTTTCTGAATTTGCCTACATTTTGGAACTGACTTTGGACTTCATTTAAGTGGATAGATCCAAGATTGTAATTCCCACCTAAGAGAAACTAAGCAAGTTTATAGGGGACAATTGAGAGTCTAATGCTTAGAAAACTATGGATAAGTTAGACATAAGTTAAAAACTCTGTGACGGGTTGGAGGCAAAACTTAAGAGCCAAGAGTATAGAGTTGGAAATGGAAGAAGACTAAGAACTGATGAGTAATAAAGGAGTAAAGTCTAGAGCAACTGCTGAAACAGCCTTAGCTTGTCAATAGCTAAACTTTATCCAATTGATTGTATCAATAGGATGATTTTGGCTATAATTTATAGAAAACCACAGCTTAAAGAAATCAGGGAAACTTATTTTCATATAAGAGGACATTTGAAGACAGAGTGATCTAAGTTTAGTTAATTCAGTGGCTCAGCAGCATCATTAAGAAATAAGTTTTTGTTTTATGTATATTTTGGTAGATCTGCCATACTCAACATGGAAACCAGTTCTCAGATGGATTCTCTGTACAGGTGTAAGATGGCTAAAGCAATTCCCATCTTCATAATCAGATATCAAAATGTCCAGTAACAGAAAGGGTGCTTCCTTCCTTGTGTCATTATTTTAAAATTCATTTACATGTCATTTTTAAATGACTATATTAGATTTCTAGGGCTGCCATAACCAAATACCACAGGCTGAGCTTCCTAAAGAACAGAAATTTATTTTCTCATAGTCTGCAGGCTCGAAGTTCAACACCAAGATTCACAGGTTTGTTTTTTCTGAGGTCATCCTCCTTGGCTTACAGCTGGCCACATTCTCTGTGTCCCCACATAGTCTTTCCTCTGTTTGCTTATCCCTGGTGTCTTTTCAAGTGTCCATAGTTCCTCTCAAAATGACATCAGTCAGATTGGATTAGGGACTTCCCATAAAACCTCATTTAATTTTAGTAACCTCTTTATAGACATTATCTCAGCTGGGTTCAGTGGCTCATGCCTGTAATCCCAGCACTTTGGGAGGCTGAGGCGGGATCACCTGAGGTCAGGAGTTTGAGACCAGCTAGCTTGACCAACATGGTGAAACCCTGTCTCTACTAAAAATACAAAATTAGCCATGTGTAGTAGTGCATACCTGTAAACCCAGCTACTTGGGAGGCTGAGGCAGGAGAATTGCTTGAACCTGGGAGGTGGAGGTTGTAGTGAGCCGAGCTTGTGCCATTGCACTCCAGCCTGGGCAACAAGAGCAAAACTCCATCACACACACACACACACACACACACACACACACACACACACACACACAAGGTGTTATTTCCAAAGGCATTCATATTCTAAGGTACTGGGAGTTAGAGCTTCAACGTATTAATTCAACACAATTCTGCTCATAACGGTAGTGGAAAACCTTTCCATAAGTTTCTCCCATATCATCTCCCCTCATGTCTCATTGTGCAGAATTAGGTCATGTGATCATGCTTAAACCAATCCTTGGAAAAACAACTGGGGTCATAATTATTGGTATAGGCTTATCAAGATTTACTCTTGGAACTGAAAATGGGGTAACCCCTCCTTGGTTCTCGTGGCAGGAAGAGAGGTAGACATCAAATGAAATCAGGGCCCTTCAAGCATGGAAAAAACTGGGGAGGACTTCTAGGAAGGCAGCCAACTGGTGTGCACAATCATCATAGGTTTGTGGTTTATGGGTGATTTGGGTTGGTCTAAACGTTTAGAAGCAGAGGAGACTGTAAATACACTAAGGAGTGGTGAAATCTAGGGAACTGAAAGCAGACATCTAGGATCCTTTTAGAATGTCAAGTTAGAGAAGTGGTTAGCAGAGAAGCTGGTATGTGGGAGACAATATTAATGAATAACCAGAGATAAAATGAGTTTGAAAGGGTGGCTCAATAAATAGTTCTACAAATTCTGACTTTGCAGTGCAGGCAGTATACTGTATCCTCTATGAGTTATTTACCCTCTCTGATCTTTATTTGTAAAATGGGAATGATAAAGTCAATTATTTCACAGATTTGGAGGATTAAATAAGACAACTCAGTGAAAAAGTTATTAAAATATAAGGTAATACATGGATATTAGAAACTATTATAGTGTATAGTTAATGGCATTGAATCTAGTATATGACTTGTCTGTGTCCAGCACAATCTGAGAAAATTAGTTTAGTAAAGACTTAGAATTTCTATAATCTGTTTTGTGTCTTATTTTTATTTATGAGGGCATAATTTGCACTATGATCATCAAGTAGTTACCTGGATTAAAAAAACGCCCTGTTCAAAAGGTTTATCTCTAAGTTTTGGTCTATTCTGTTCTGGTGTATTCTTATCCCTGTGTGAATATGCTGTTGATCCCCTGGGTCTGTGTATGTGCATGCAAGAGTGTGTGTGTGTGTGTGTGTGTGTGTGTGTGTGTAAGTAATGGTTAAACAAGGTTTATGTGCTATTTTGTGTGGGTATGAACCTATGAGTTGGTTGACTTCCCTTCTGTCATTGAGAAAGTTTTAAAAAAAAAATCCACTCTTGGTTGGATGTGGTGGCTCATACCTGTAATCCCAGTACTTTGGGAGGCTGAGGAAGGAGAATTGCTTGAGCTCAGAAATTTGAGACCAGCCTGGGCAACATAGCTATACCCTATCTCTATAAAAACAAACAAACAAACAAACAAACAAATAAATCTGCTCTTTTAAAGGTGCTTAAGGCTTTCCTTCTTAACATGAACAAAAGCAGGAAAGGTTAAGCAGTCTTTTGAATTTGAGATACATATGCCTGTAGCTATTTAATTAATTAGAATGTGGGTCTTACATAAACTTAGAAAGATCATTGAGCTAGATAATCCCTTTTGTCTTTTTCATGGCTAATAATGATGGTAACAGTATTTACTTTTACCCATTCTTGAACTGTTGTAACTTAACAGTATGTGACAGCAGTAATTCTTATTATATATGTATATGTTGTACAGTTATATCTTAGCTTGGGTTTGCCAGGAAGCAGAGCTTGAGACAAAGTCTTGTTTTAAAACACTTTATTGGGAAGTATTGAGTCCAGAGATCAAAGGTGAGCCAAACAGAAGAGAGATGCAAAATGACAATGTATTATCAAGTATATATGTCTACAGGCAACTAGCTCCTCAATCACCCAGGCACATAAAATGTGTCTTAGGACTGTCCTTCTGAGACAGTGAGAAACCTGTATCTCTCAATGGTCAAATGATTGGCTTTACCCTCCTAGGTAACACATGCATGGGTGCAAAACATGCTTCTGTGTCATCTCACATAGTGTGGTCAACAGAGAACACCTGGGCAGAAGATGAGAGGCTCCTGGGGACTGGTCTGAGACAAGGTGCTGTAAAAGAAAACCTATATTAAAGTGGTTGGAAGTGCACAGACTGGTTGCTTCACCTGCAGCCAGAATGCAAGACAGGTGAGGTGAAAGTCTAAAAGGATGCATAAAGACATATTCAATGTACTGTATACATACACCAATAATTTTGGTTAACTAGGGTTTCACTGTTAAAATAAATATTATTACTAGTAAGTATTTATAGTGAAGATATATTTGAGTCTATATAAAAATGTAAGTTCTCTTCAATGTGGATGGCATTATCTATTTTAAAATGCTTGCTTATGAAATATAATACATTTTGTAGAGGAAATACAATATTCAAGGGTCCTGTTTTAAGCTTTGTTTCCTCTTGAAAGTGAGAAGCCTTAATGATTGAAGAAGAATAGCACTTGGTTGATTGCTTTTATGTTTAAGGTACCAGGAATTTAATTTGTGTGCTAGTAGGTTCAGCATGAGTGTGAAAATGTGATATAGTGTTTAAGAGTTGTCATGTAGTCAGGAAACATTTTCTTTGGAATTAAAAAAACAATATTATCCCTTAGTGACTTTTTGTTGACATTCAACTAATGACAGAGAGACATTTCTGTTTCCTTAGAGGGCACTATGCTTTGAGCTATAATGCCATAATCTGGGGGTAATTTCTGAGCTCCATTGCTTGCTGTGTCTGGAGCTGGACAAGATGAAATGGCAATATCAAGCAGCCACCTGCATTTTATTATAACTTCTTATTGTAATTATAGTTATCATGGCCATTTTGGTCCAACTTAGTTTTTCCAGATGAATGGGTTAATTTGCAAACTTGTGGTGATGAGGTAAGTTGTGATATTCATGGTCTTTCAGAAACAATAATTTTAAATGGTATTAACCAGTTGCACTGAGAAGGCTTTCTTACTGGATAATTTTTATGAAGGAAATGCTAGCCTGTTTGATATTACTTTTCATAAGAAGTTATTTTCAAGAAGGGTGTGGTCTATAGAAGAAGGCAGTTTTTCTTAGTACTACTCTTTTCTTTCAGTACCAAGGTCAAGCATTTCATGATGAAATTTAAGAGCGGTTGTTAAACTTTGAGCAGAGGAAGAAATTTCATCAACCAACTACTTTCTTCCTGTGGATGCCCTGATTTGAACTATTTCCTTATGAAACTGGCATACAGATTGCAGAAAAGTTGAAATTAATTGACATCCATATGTTTTATTTGGCATCATAAGCTGCTGTCTCTCAAATTTTTTTCTTCTTTCTTTGAGACAGGGTCTCACTCTGTCACCCAGGCTGGAGCACAGTGGCACAATTATGACTCACTGCAGCCTCGACCTCCTGGGCTTAGGTGATTCTCCCACCTCAGTCTCCTGAGTAGCTGAGACTACAGGTGTGCACCACTATGCCTGGCTAATTTTTGTGTATTTTGTTTTTTAGAGATGAGGTTTTGCCGTGTTGCCCAGGCTGATCTCAAACTCCTGGGCTCAAGTGATCTGCCTGCCTTGGCCTCTCAAAGTGCTGGGATTACAGGCCTGAGCCACCACGCCTGGCCCATCACTTTTAACAGGTGTTTGTTTGTCTCTTAACTGAAAAAAAATTTCCTGAACTTTCTTTCTGCAAATTGAGATCAAATTCCAAATAGGGTTTCCATATTTTCATAAAGTTTCTGAAATATTCAAACCTGTATTAAATACAAAGCAAAAACATGCATATAAAAGGCAAATACCTTTTTGGCATCTAGAATGAGGATAAAGAGCACAAAAATTTAGGAAAAAAAGAAAAGAGCTATTTTTTTATTTTGATGCCACAATGAACAAATTTTATCCTGTTGGCTAACCTGCAACATGGCAATAAAAATGCTCCTTCCGTAACTTCTCTATGAAGGCTGAAAAAAAAATGTTTTCAGAAAGTGAATGTTATCAAGTCAATCACATAAGACTCCACCTGTCAAACAGCAGACTTAAGTTGGTGATGCTTATGACGCTGTCTACCAAAAAGGAGCAGCTTGAACATAAAAATAGGTCTGTGCCCTAGGGAGGAATGCTGTTTCCTTTCCTGTGATATGCGTCTGCAGACTCATCTCCATCAAGAATACCAATTCAAATTGATGTTATTGCTTTCTATTCTGTATTTTTTAGATGTCTGCCAAGTACCTACCAATGTGTAAAGTGGCACAGAAATTCAACAGGAGGAAGACAAGGTCTCTGGTTTTTTGAAAACTTTTTTTGAGAGAGATGTGTTGAAACAGACACATTTAAATAATGCAAAACAAAACCCTGTAAATGACTAAAAGCCATAGTAGATCTTTAGCTAGAAAATAATTTTATGAGGCCGGGCGTGGTGGCTCATGCCTGTAATCCTAGCACTTTGGGAGGCCAAGGCGGTGGATCACCTGAGGTCAGGAGTTCGAGACCAGCCTGGCCAACATAGTGAAACCCAGTCTCTACTAAAAATACAAAAAATTAGCTGGGTGTAGTGGCAGGCGCCTGTAATCCCAGATACTTGGGAGGCTGAGGCAGGAAAATTGTTTGAACTCGGGAGGCAGAGGTTGCAGTGAGCCAAGATTGCACCATTACACTCCAGCCTGGGCAACAAGACCAAGACTCCATCGCAAAAAAAAAGAAAAAAATTATATGGCAGATTGCTTCTACATTAACTACAGCAACATTTTACAAGCCTGCAAAATTTTTGTAAAAAAACAAAAACAACTAAAACTAGCTTCATGGATCCTACTCCAGAGAGTTTGATTAAGTAAGTTGAATGCATGAACTAAGACTCTGTATTTTTAACAAGCTTCTGAGGTGCTTCTGCTAATCACTGAGTTATTGACCACTGGAGCAAGAGGAGCTAAAGAGGACCTGCTGTAGTCTGCTTGATACACACACATCATACAAATATTAATCACTGAGAAAAATTGAAAAGGCAATTTTATTGGCAATACAGATAAGGAAAGAAACAACATCAACTGCACTTCCACCTTTATCCTATTTTTCCTCCCAGGTGCAAGTCATCCCTGAGGAAGTAGTGACCAGCTGTGGATGCTACGCTGAGGCCCTTCTTTAAGAGTGATCTGATGGCACTGGATGTCTGCTGAGGCTTGTGTCTAGAAGGAATGAAAGGATGTGCCAACAACAGCAGTTGTCTCCTCGTTTTCAAAGCTCAGGCCTCATGGTATCCCCTTCTCTTGGTTCTGTTTACTAAAACATATCAGTGCCTGACTATGCCTGAATGATCCATCTTCCTTAAGGCTGCTACACCATAACTAGGAGCTTTAAAAAAAAGGGGGGGGCATTTACTCTCTGAGGCACTCAAAAAAGCACATGCTTTTAATTGAGGGATGGGGGTGACAATGGATCATTCTGTTGATTTTAACTATCTCATATTTGTTAACAGCATCATTTCCATGGATAGCTTTCTGAAAGACTGCCTATCCACTTAGAGGTGAGGAGAAGTAATAGGGGAGGAAACCCTGCCGAGCTGCAAAAAGTTCTAAATCCAGTCCTTTAATTATCTTGCTTAAAATTCTTTATTGGCTCTTTGATACCCTCAGAATAAAGCAAACTGCTTAAACATGACTTACAAAGTAATTGCTATAGTTTGAATATTGTCCCCCAAATCACATGTTGAAATTGATTCCTAGTGTCAGAGGCGGGGACTGTGAGAGGTGTTGGGGTCATGGGGCATATCTCTCATGAATAGATTAATGCTCTGTCAGCATGGGGTGGGGTTGTGTGAGTTCTCACTCTTATTAGTTCCCAAAGAGTTGGTTATTCAAAAAGAGCCTGGCATCTCCCTCCTTTTTGTCTCTTGCCTCCTCTCTCACGTGTGATCTCTGTGCATGTGCCTTTCCGTTGCCTTCCCCATGAGTGGAAGTGGCCTGAAGCCAATGCTGGTGCCATGCTTCCTGTACAGTCTGCAGAACTATGAGCCAAATAAACCTATTTTCTTTATAAATTACTCAGCCTCAGATATTCCTTCATAGCAACACAAATAGAGTAAGACAGCCATTAATATCATGCCTATACCTGAGACAGTGGTATGCATTAAACATTACATCTGCCCCTACTTTTCTAGGTCATTATAATTTTGGGGGTGGGGTGGGAGAAGCATATGACTAGTGCTAACCAATAGGCTGTGGGTAGAAGTGATGTGTGTCACTTCTAGACTGAAGTATATAAAAGTCATTCAGATGTCTGTTCCCCTGCTGTGGTGATCAAGAAAGCCAGATGTTTCTATTGTTGCGGATATGAGATGTTGTCTCCATTACTCTAGATCCCTAAGCGTTTGTGTTCATTAGATGCTGCAGCTAAACTGAAATTCTTTCAGTTCCTTGGTCATGCTTACCTGTCATCCTTTGCAAATACTTTTCTCTTTCTAGATTGCTTTTCCATCTCTTCTTCAAGTGTCTCTTTTTCTTTTTTTTTTTTTTTTTCAAAAATCTGGTTTAATCTTCTACCTAGACCACTAAAACCTTTCTCCATATCAGCAATAAGGCTGTTTTTCTTTCTTGTTATTCATCCTTTTTCTTTTCTTTTTTTTTTTTTTTTTTTTTTGAGATGGAGTCTCTCTCTGTCGCCCAGGCTGGAGTGCAATGGCACGATCTCGGCTCACTGCGACCTCCACCTCCCGGGTTCAAGCGATTCTCCTGCCTCAGCCTCCTGAGTAGCTGGGACTAGAGGCGCACACCACCACGCCCTGATAATTTTTTGTATTTTTGGTAGAGATGGGGTTTCATCATGTTGGCCAGGCTGGTCTCAAACTCCTGACCTTAAGTGATCCTCCTGCCTCGGCTTCCCAAAGTGCTGGGATTACAGGTGTGAGCCACCGTGCCTGGCCCAAGTGTCTAACTCTTTTCTTCTCTTCTTGGTCAGAACATCACTTTCTCTGGGAAGCTTATTTTGATCTTCTAGGTTTACGTTAGGTGTTCTTTCTATAGAATTATCCTGCACTTATCACACCATGAGGTAATTAGTTTCCTGCTTCTTTATCCTTGCACTTCTTTGAAGGATTGAATGAACCAACTCCCCAGGGCTGAGTTTGGAGAGCTGGGGCAAAAGGTGGAGTGAGGGAGGCAGCATGGCAGCATCTGGAAAGCTGTGGAAAATTTGCCTTCAGGGCATGCAGTTGATGGTTACCAACCCCCATTCTATTGCCTGGTTGATTGTTAGACCTCTTACACCTTCTGGGTTGCTCTCTGCCTATTGGCTTGCCATAATTCATAAAGGATACGTTAGCGTCTATTGCCAAAGATTAAAAAAGCCAGCTGGTTTCAGAATACTAAGTGGCAAATGTTTACTATAAGTCAGATGAAGACAGGCTGTTCCCTTAGCAATATTTTGCTCTAAGTAAGAGGAAAATTAGTCTAAAATTAATTTAAGCTATAAATTATAATGTCAAAAAGAATCAGTGCATATCTATCTACTTCTTTTTGAGGTATCATTTGCACCTAAAGTAATTTTCTTAATATGGGAGCAGTCTGTTTAGATTAGAAAAGCACAAGCAAGGCACTTCAAATACTATATTTTTCTTTTGTTCTGCTTTGTTCTGGGTTTGGAAGCCTAGGAACACTCAGCTGAATTGTGTTTGGACAAGAATAGTGGCCACTTGTGAATGTAGACCATTGTTAAAATGCACTTTGTATGTTCTAGTAAAAGTTATTCACCCCAAAATCTTGTTTTAGCTAGCAAACTGACTCAATCTGAAAGTAGATGAGTTTTAAAAAGTCAAATAAAATACAATTTCCTATTTCCTTTTTTCATTTTAAGCCTATTCTCTGATGATTCCTTTCTCATATTTAAAATTCTACTGGGCTCAGGTAAGAGGCAGTCAGATAATTAAAAAAGAAGTTAAAGAGAAATGCAATAGGTGAATGTTTTCTAGAAGCTCAGAAAAGGCTGAGTGTATCCATTGCCATTTGTTTGAGTCTATTAGGGAGCTATAGTGCAGAATATTGAATCTGAGCATAGTGATTTTTCTAGATGTCAGCATCAGTAGACAGAGGGCTTGCTCTTCATCAAGGCAATCTTTACCCTTTGTAAGCTTGGCTCTGAATAAATAGAAAGTATTGATTAAGAAAAGTGAGGAAAGGGTATAATTTTGATGTTTCTTAGGTTTTAGATAGTACTCCTGGTGTTTATTATCTGCATTGCTCTCTGCTGTGAGCCCAGGGTGTTTCTTCAGAAACGTTCTGTGTTCTGCCCTTAATAAGCTTTTGGGTTAAGTAAAAAAGAAATAGAAAGCTTTTTCTCTGCCTTTGAAGAGTGTAGGAATGGTTAGAGAGACAAAACACAGAAAATGTAAGCGCAATTAGCAAGCATCGGGGGAACATGGGCAAAATAATCTGGTATGAAGTAAGGTCTGTGGAGTAAAGAATCATATATCGTGGAGAGAGCATAGCAGTGTGTTAGAACGGGTTTGGACTGCTTGGGTTTGATATCATTCAGTACTATTATATTTAATTTGTGACATTAAGAAAATTACTTAATCCCTAGGCAAAATAAAGATAATACAACATTCACTTCATTTGGTTCTAAGGACCAAACAAGATAATATGTAGAAAGTGATTATCATGATACCTACAACATAGTATATGCTCAAAAAACATTAGCAATTATTATCAATATCATAGGCAATATTTTTGATTAGGGAATTATCTCACTTAAAGGAAGTAATTTTCTACTCACTTCCTAACATGCTATCTTTCTCTCTTGTTTTTCTTATCTCATTTCCAAACTCAGCATTATCTTGACCCTTTAAAAAGTTTCTTAAAGTTGAGAAATAATAAAACCTATTATTAAAAATAATGTACCAGCCAAAGGCAAACTGCCTTAAATGCATTACTCTCTAATCTCTCCAACAACTAATAAAGTAGATGGTGAGTACAGACGAATATATACATATCCACATAAATAAGTGTTTTCATATTTTGCTTCATATATCAACCTAGGGAATCTGAATAAAAAATGTTTCCATTTATGATCCAGCTTTTCTTGCAATTTCAGTGCAAACTAGTAGTAATATTTGCCAAGAAAGATCATAATTGCTATATAATAATATAAATATAAATATATAGTAATAATAGCTAACACTTATACAATTGTTGTCAAGCACTCTTCTAATATATACATATATGTATGTGTAAGAATTAATTTAATACAATTACAGAAAGTCAAATTGATTATGAGGACCACCAATAATGTATTCTTTTGGCCACTCTATACTGCTTTTTATCAGCTCTGGATATATTTAACCCAATTTTAAAATTCTGGAATTCCTTAATTTCTAGAATTTGTATCTCTCAGTCAATGGTTAAAAAAGAAAATGATTAAAAAACAAAAACGGAATTAATTCTTGATAACATGTTTTCTTATTGCCCCGGAAAATCAACAATGACATCAATAACAATAGAGTCTTATAGCCTAAACAGAGTTCCCATGATAATTAGGAAACATTTGTGTCAAAATGTCAAACTGTCTTCCCAAGATCAGGTTTTCCTAACATGTTTATTATCAGCAACTTTTTTTTTTCTCTTTTCCAGTCACAATTTCCTTTTATTACAAGACTGTACTTGCACAGCAATATTTCCTTAAGCAAGAGATGGAGATGTTCAGGAGTAGCACATGTAATACCTGAGCTAGGTGTAGGTTTTGTTATCAGGGATACTGTGGAAGACAATAACGGAAAGGGGCCTCATGCCAAGGATGCAAGCAGCCTCTAGAAGCTGGGGAAGACAAGAAAAACCATTTTACTTTCCAGCCTCCCTGTGGATCCATTTTGAACTGACTTCCAAAACCATAAGACAACACTTTTGTCTTGTTTTAAGCCATTACATTTGTGTTAATTTGTTACAGTGGCAGTAGTAAACTAATGTTGATACTAAATGGGAGGATCATTGTTCAAATCTGGTCTTCAAATGTGTCTATTCCAACTAAAATGTGTTTATGATCCTAAGTGATGTATTTTGTTCATTTTAACATCTTGGGAATTGAGATGCATCTTAGAATCAATGACATCTTAGAATTGCTGCTGGTCAGATGGCAAAGGTGCTGTAGTGGCGTTACCCTTCTTTTTGGAACCTAGAAGCACTGTCAACAAAATTTGCAGAAGGAGTATCAACTATTTCAAAGAAAATGTCAGAAAAATATCATGGCGCTCTATTGAAACCATTTTGTTTTGAAATAATTGCCTACTTTCAGAAAAAAATGATGCAAATAATTTGCATCAAAGATAACATTTTGCCACATTTTGTTTTACCATTCTATCTGTATCTAAGTAATATATATTGGTGTTTTTTTTTCTGAATAATTTGAGAGTAAGTTTCGGGCATGCAGACACAATGCCCTTTACACCTAAATAATACTATACTTCAATGTGTATATTCTAAAAATAAGGTCATTTTCTAACATAACCATAGTACAGACATCAAAATTAGTCCATTAGCATTGATGAAATATTCTTATCTAGACATTCCAATTTTGTCAATTGTCCCATGGATGCCACTCCCCCGCCACCCCACCCTGGCCTTTTTTGAGACAGAGTCTCGCTCTGTCTGTTACCCAGGCTGGAGTGCAGTGGCCCCATCTTGGCTCACTGCAACCTCCAGCTCCTGGGTTCAAGCCATTCTCGTGCCTCAGCCTTCTGATTGTTTTGTAATTTTGGTAGAGACTGGGTTTCGCCACATTGGCCAGGCTGATCTCGAACCTCTGACCTCAATTGATCAGCCCGCCTTGGCCTCCCAGAGTGCTGGAATTACAGGCATGAGCCACCACTCCCTGCCCCACAGATGCCCTTTTTTAGCAAAAGAAATAATTCTCGTCAGGGTCACATGTTGTATTCAATTGTCTTGTCTCTTTAGTCTCCTTTAATCTGAAAAATTCTTCAATCTTTCCTTCTCTTTTATGACCTAACATTTCTTAAGATTACAGGCCAGTTATTTTGTAAACGTATCTTAATTTGAGTTTGTTCTGATGTTTCTTCATGATTAGATTCAGGTTATACTTTCTGTGGTGGAGGAGAAGCGGGTAAGGAAAATCACAGATATTTATTTTCAGTGTAGCATATTAGGAGTTACCTGATGATGTCATTTTGTCTTATCACTGATGTTAACTTTGATTACTGGGTTAACATGACGTCACCAGGTTCCTCCACACTGTAGTTACTATTTTTCCTTTGGTAATCAACATGTATCATGTAGGAAGAAACTCTGTGCTCACTTAAATATCTTTTTTCTTTTCATCATTTCTTAATTGAGCACTCTTCTAAACCATAGGAACAAAATGGCTGTGGAGGAGGTAAGGGAGGTGGTGAGTCACATGTGTTTGCAAGCTGCTTGCATTGGGAGTCAAAGGGATGTCAGCCAGCTTTACATAGTCTCAAGTAGCACCAATGGCTTTGGTTCTTTGATAGATTATTTTATGAAATGCTGTGTCACCAGTGCAGTTAATGTAACAGAGGATATTTTGTGGAAATAAATTAAAACATGAGACTGAGCCCAAAAGTTAGACTTGGATGTAAAAAATTGTAGAAAGAAATAACCAATTTATTTACCTTAATTTTTTGGTATGTGCACACAATGATGTATAATAAAAATCTACATATAATTAAGTACAAAAGAACTTTTAAAATAAGTATAAATGAATATTCTTAGTGTTAGGAAAGCCTTTTGTCATGGTTTGTTTTTTTCTTTTTTATTAGTACATTATGGCATGTTTTACAATTATGGTGTCTTAGATTCCATATGATGGAAGATTTGACATTATAGGATAAGGACTTTGCTGATATAGTCCTTACTATTTTATTCTTTGCTTTCATTTCCCTCTAAATTGTATTCTTATATTTTCTAAAAGAAAGTCAGATGAAAATAATTTACAATGTATCATCAGCATGATGAGCCCTAGTCAAAACTCTGAAGTAGAATAAATTCTTTGCTATTTAGAAAATCCCGTTGGTGGCATCTAATCATTATTTCCCCCCCTCTTACCACCCACTCCTCCACACATAGGGACACAGCTGCTCTTAGAAAAAAATTCAGATCAATTTATTTGAAGTGAGTTAGGAAAGACAGTAGCATCACTCAGTATTCTATCTCAGCATATTTGGATTTTTGTGGGTACAGAGCCCTAGGTCAGCTTGACCAAAGAAATGAAGCCTAACTGAACAGTTTCACACATCTTGGTACTTCATGGGGTATTAGTTTTAGAGAGCTGGGAAGATTTTTATTTTTGTTTTACTACATAGTCAACAGCCCGGGACTAAGCAGCCCACCTGGGGTCTTCTGGACACAGTAGCCCCAGAGGAGTCTGTTTTATTCACTGTATTTCTTTTGCATGATGAATGAAACAAGAGTAGTAGCATAAGCAGAGACTTTGTAGTCACAAAATAGCCTATTTACCTTCATGAGACAAGTACACGTAATTTCTAAAGTCAACAAACTCAAGGAAGACCCAGATTGGAAGCAATTTTGCAGACATCAGTGACAATAAGCATAGATTAGAGTAAAAGCCTTTCTCATGAAAAATGAAAAGATTTGAGAATACTGTATTTACTCTGCAAAGGGAAGATTAAGGGAAAAATGTGTTTGCTGCAGTTAAACTATGAACTGAGAATAAGCAGTTCTTTACCAAAACTACTCTGGGCCTCTATTTTTCTCCCATTATTAGCCCACACCTGAGAAATTACATTGTCTAAATCCAGGAACTTTAAAGGACCAAAAGTCATTAGTATTGGGTTATAACAATGTAAATCATTCCCTATTTGACTAATAACTCTTTATACTAAGAAAATGTGTTATTTTGACTGCTGGTTCTCATTTATAGGTAAATGTAGAAAAAAAGTTGGTGACAACTTCAGCAGCTGCAGTGAACAGAATTACGACTTCCTTTCCTTTTGGCTCTTAGGAGTTCTCCAGAGGTACAGCAGAAATATCAACACCAGATGGCTCTAACGGAGATTACATTCATTTTTTATTTATATTCCATCTATTTCTAAAAAAAGTATTTAATATAGTTCAAAATCTCAAATCATTGTCAGAGTGGAAACTTCTAATTGTTCTGAATATGTCTCCCTAGAGGAAATGCCGTTTTCAGTGGTTTACAGAGCAAATCTCTTGGTTCGGTTGTTTATAAAAGTGTTGATAGAAGTTGGTTCTTATATGACAGGGCCTTGTGACTTGAATTGCTATGGCAGGGACTGACCTTGGTCCTGATCCAAAGATTCTAGAAAATAGAAAGCATTAGAAGAGCACCCAGGATATGTTCTAGGATGTTTTTTAACTACTTAGATTTGTCTGAATAGAAACAGTTTAGTTTTCAGTAAATGCTCATTAGTAGTTTTATAACTTGCTTTGCTGAAAGGGAAAGAGATAATGATAGAGAAGAACGCTAACTAACATTTTGAGAAATTAATATATGCTAGATGCTAGACTTTCCACTCTGACAGAACCAATCTGTTTGTCTTATGTTTCTTTTTTGATGTATACGCAAAAATTGCGCATGATAAAAATCTACGTTTCACAAGCAGGGCCAGCTATGTAATTTGCAGGGCCCGGTGTGAAGTGAAAACACAGGCCTCTTGTTCAAAAAGCAGGAAAAATGCTTTTTCCTATTTCTAAAGTTTTTTTCTCTACTAGCCATAGCATTTTAAAAATTTTGTTATTTAATATTGTGCTTTCTTGGCATGGGGCTACTTGCAGGATGAGTGCAAACCCTCACAGGAACCCAGAGCCCTGCCCTGATACTTGGCAAGCAGAATGCTTACATCTGGCCCTGCCCCAATCTGTGCCCCTGCCCAGGCCTCAGCTGGGGGTGGAGGGCACCAGTGATTTCTGGGTGAGGAGAGCATCTTTGAGATCTCATCCTGGATAGATGCGTAGGCAGGACCCATGTGAGCCAAGGCTCCAAGCCTCCAGTGCCTGCTCCATGTCCCACAGGAGTTCACTTACAAAATTCAAAGTCAAAGAAAATTAAGAATTTCAAGGTAGTGGCCTCTGGGCATTAAACCCTAAACATAGGCTTACATGAGTGTGGGAATCTGCATGACCGTGTAACTGCCCTGGTTGTACAGCTCTGCTTATAAGTCCTTCTGAGTAGGTTTTGGGATTCTTATTTTATAGACGAAGAAGTTAAACTATGAGTGTTCACACCTACTAAGTCACAGAATTAGAAATTCTACCTAGGTTGATTTAGCTTCTATACCTGTACCTGGGATACCATGCCAGCACATCTTGTCAGTTACTCTGTTCTGGGATCTACCTCAGGGCTCTGACTTTGCAATGTGACTTCTTACTTGAGGGGGATGTTACCTGGCATGAATAGTTCAAAAGTCTTTACAATAAGCTGAAATTATTGCATTTCTATTATCAAAATTCTAATGTCTGTAAATCTCCATGTTGCAAATACCTGGAAGAGAAATGTGACTTTTCTTTCTTCTTCTTCTTCTCCTTCTCCTTCTTCTTCTTCTTCTTTTTTGGATACACAGTCTCACTCTGTCACCCAGGCTGGAGTGCAGTGGCCTGATCTTGGCTAACTGCAGCCTCGGCCTCCTGAGTTCAAGCAATTCTCATGCCTTAGCCTCCTGAATAGCTGGGAGGCAACAGGCATGTGCCACGCCCAGCAAATTTTTTGTATTTTAGTAGAGATGGGGTTTCACCAAGTTGCCCAGGCTAGTCTCAACTCCTGAGCTCAGGCCTCCCAAAGTGCTAGGATTATAGGCATGAGCCACCTCACCTGGCCTTATTTTTCTTAAATGCTTTGAGTACTCTATTCCTATTAAGAGAGTGTGCTTCTGGAAAGAATTCTGTAAACTCAATATATAAGTCTAACAGTTCTCTCAGTCACTTCCTAGAGAATATTCATTTTCTTATTGCATTGACTCTCCACCTACCTGCACGGGGAGCTTGAGAAACTGATAGGCCCCATGGTTCAACAATCAAAGCAGAACCTCTAGGGTGAAGACTGGGCATCAGTGCTTCCACATTTTCCCAGGTGATTCTCATTTGTAAACACAGTGGCAAACTACCACTTTGCCTGTCACACTGAATAACCTGACATGAACGACGTTATTTTACAACAGGAGCCTTTCAGTATCAGAATAAATTTCAAGTGACCTAGCATTGTTGCCACCTAATATTCAATACCTTCAGTTACACCTGCATATGAATGTGTTCAAGCCAATGTAGAAATATTTCTCCTGGTATATTTATTAGTCATAATGGACATCTATTTACACTTCAAAAAGTAGCAAGTATACATATTGCAAGTCACATGACTTAAGACTCTGCCTACAGATCATGCTGGATGGATGTTTGGTGGTATTATTGTAGGAATTCTCTGGTCAGGTGCTCCAACATTTATCTGTGTATGAAGTTAAATCATCATAAAACAGCACATTTAAACTGATGTTCCCTTCCTTGTTCAGATTTAAAGACATACCCTCAACATTTATAGAGACAAATATGAGCAGCACCAATGTGAAGGAAAGTCTCTGGATTTCCCGCAACTGTAATTGAAGGTAGTCATCATTGTGTTAAGATTTTGATGTGGCTCACCTGGAACAAGTTGATGGTTTTTGGTCAACTTCTCTTTAGCAGAAATAGAGGAATACTGATGGGGTATGTGTTTAAATATCCATTCTGTATGCAAATATGTATTTTGCAGTAACTCTGTGCCAGGCTTCCTTCTTACTCCAGAGGACATAACAGTAAACAAAACAAGATAAAAATCTTTGTCTTCATTAAGTTTACATTCTGGTAGGAGGAAACAGACAATAAACAAAATAAATGAATTTTAAAAATTAGAGGCTGATAGATGTTTTGAAGAAAAAGAATGCAGACGAGGGAAGTAAGAACACTGCAGTGGCAACATGCTGCGTGTGTGGAGTGGGGGGAGGAGCGTTAATTTTAAACGGTGTTACCGGGAAACAATTACTGAAAAGGTGACCTTTTAATAGAGGCTTGAAGGAGGGGAAGTGGTGAGCTGAGAAGGAGTCTAGAGGAGAGCAGCAAGTGCAGAGCCTGGCATTCTCTGGGAATCCCAACAGGACTGTATTTCTGGAACGGAGGGGACAAGAGTGAGAAAGTTCCCACAGACGGTTAGGTCAGGGATTTTGAATTTCTGCTGCTAAAGGTGCTGAGGGGAATTTTATAAAGCTGTAAGGAGGGTGCCGTAAGAGATTCACCATCAGAGGAGTACTTGGACCAGATAGCCTTTAAGGGTCCCCAGGAAATGCCATGATTCCTGGTTGTTGTAAGATGCACTTTAGTCTCTGAGCAGGCGTCTTTAACTTCAAAACCAGTCAGGAAAAAACAACGAAAAGTCAAATTCAAAGTTGCTCCCTCTTTTTTTTTCTTTTTTTCTGGCTTCTTTTTTTCTTTTTTATTTTTTTATACTTTAAGTTCTAGGGTACATGTGCACAATGTGCAGGTTTATTACATATGTATACATGTGCCATGTTGGTGTGCTGTACCCCTTAACTCGTCATTTACATTAGGTTTATCTCCTAATGCTATCCCTCCCCCCTTCCCCCACCCCACGACAGGCCCCAGTGTGTGATGTTACCCACCCTGTGTCCAAGTGTTCTCATTGTTCACTTCCCACCTGTGAGTGAGAACATGCAGTGTTTAGTTTTCTGTCCTTGCAATAGTTTGCTCAGAATGATGGTTTCCAGCTTCATCCATGTCCCTACAAAGGACAAGAAATCATCCTTTTTTATGGCTGCATAGTATTCCATGCTGTATATGTGCCACATTTTCTTAATCCACTCTATCATTGTTGGACATTTGGGCTGGTTCCAAGACTTTGCTATTGTGAATACTGCCTCAGTGAACATATGTGTGCATGTGTCTTTATAGCAGCATGATTTATAATCCTTTGGGTGTATACCCAGTAATGGGATGGCTGGGTCAAATGGTATTTCTAGTTCTAGATCCTTGAGGAATTGCCACACTGTCTTCCACAATGGTTGAACTAGTTTACAGTCCCACCAACAGTGTAAAAGCTTTCCTATTTCTCCACATCCTCTCCAGCACCTGTTGTTTCCTGACTTTTTAATGATTGCCATTCTAACTGGTGTGAGATGGTATCTCATTGTGGTTTTGATTTGCATTTCTCTGATGATCAGTAATGATGAGCATTTTTTCATGTGTTTGTTGGCTGCATAAATGTCTTCTTTTGGAAAGTGTCTGTTCATGTCCTTCACCCACTTTTTGATGGGGTTGTTTGATTTTTTCTTGTAAATTTGTTAAAGTTCTTTGTAGATTCTGGATATTAGCCCTTTGTCAGATGAGTAGATTGTAAAAATTTTCTCCCATTCTGTAGGTTGCCTGTTCACTCTGATGGTAGTTTCTTTTGCTGTGCAGAAGCTCTTTAGTTTAATTAGATCCTATTTGTCAATTTTGGCTTTTGTTGCCTTTGCTTTTGGTGTTTTAGACATGAAGTCCTTGCCCATGCCTATGTCCTGAATGGTAATGCCTAGGTTTTCTTCTAGGGTTTTTATGGTTTTAGGTCTAACATTTAAGTCTTTAATCCATCTTGAATTAATTTTTGTATAAGGTGTAAGGAAGGGATCCAGTTTCAGCTTTCTACATATGGCTAGCCAGTTCTCCCAGCACCATTTATTAAATAGGGAATCCTTTCCCCATTGCTTGTTTTCGTCAGGTTTGTCAAAGATCAGATGGTTTTAGATGTGTGGTATTATTTCCAAGGGCTCTATTCTGTTCCATTGGTCTATATCTATGTTTTGCTACCAGTACCATGCTGTTTTGGTTACTGTAGCCTTGTAGTATAGTTTGAAGTCAGGTAGCATGATGCCTCCAGCTTTGTTCTTTTGGTTTAGGATTGTCTTGGCAATGCGGGCTCTTTTTTGGTTCCATATGAACTTTAAAGTAGTTTTTTCAAATTCTGTGAAGAAAGTCATTGGTAGCTTGATGGGGATGGCATTGAAACTATAAATTATCTTGGGCAGTATGGCCATTTTCATGATACAGATTCTTCCTATCCATGAGCACGGAATGTTCTTCCATTTGTTTCTGTCCTCTTTTATTTCGTTGAGCAGTGGTTTGTAGTTCTCCTTGAAGAGGTCCTTCACATCCCTTGTAAGTTGAATTCCTAGGTATTTTATTCTCTTTGAAGCAATTGTGAGTGGGAGTTCACTCTTGATTTGGCTCTCTGTTTGTCTGTTATTGGTGTATAAGAATGCTTGTGATTTTGGCACATTGATTTTGTATGCTGAGACTTTGCTGAAGTTGCTTATCAGCTTAAGGAGATTTTAGGCTGAGACGATGGGGTTTTCTAAATATACAATCATGTCACCTGCAAACAGGGACAATTTGACTTCCTCTTTTCCTTATTGAATACCCTTTCTTTCTTTCTCCTGCCTGAGTGCCCTGTCCAGAACTTCCAACACTATGTTGAATAGGAGTGGTGAGAGAGGGCATCCCTGTCTTGTGCCAGTTTTCAAAGGGAATGCTTCCAGTTTTTGTCCATTCAGTATGATATTGGCTGTGGGTTTGTCATAAATAGCTCTTATTATTTTGAGATACATCCCATCAATACTTAGTTTATTGAGAGTTTTTAGCATGAAGCTCTGTTGAATTTTGTCAAAAGACTTTTCTGCAGCTATTGAGATAATCATGTATTTTTTTTCCTTTGGTTCTGTTTATATGATGAATTACATTTATTGATTTGCATATGTTGAACCAGCCTTGCATCCCAGGGATGAAGCCAACTTAATTGTGGTGGATAAGCTTTTTGATGTGCTGCTGGATTCAGTTTGCTAGTATTTTATTGAGGATTTTTGCATTGATGTTCATCAGGAATATTGGTCTAAAATTCTCTTTTTTTGTTGTGTCTCTGCCAGACTTTGGTATCAGGATGATGCTGGCCTCATAAAATGAATTAGGGAGGATTCCATCTTTTTCTATTGATTGGAATAGTTTCAGAAGGAATGGTACCAACTCCTCTTTGTACCTCTGGTAGAATTCGTCTGTGAATCCATCTGGTCCTGGACTTTTTTTGGTTGGTAGGCTATTAATTACTGCCTCAATTTCAGAACCTGTTATTGGTCTATTTAGGGATTCAACTTCTTCCTGGATTAGTCTTGGTAGGGTGTGTGTATCCAGGAATTTATCCATTTCTTCTAGATTTTCTAGTTTATTTGCGTGGAGGTGTTTATAGTATTCTCTGATGGTAGTATGTATTTCTGTGGGATCGATGGTGATATCCCCTTTCTCACATTTTATTGTGTCTATTTGATTCTTCTCTCTTTTCTTCTTTATTAGTCTTGCTAGTGGTCTGTCAATTTTGTTGATTTTTTCAAAAAAACCAGCTCCTGGATTCATTGATTTTTTGAAGGGTTTTTTACATCTCTATCTTCTTCAGTTCTGCTCTGATCTTAGTTATTTCTTGTCTTCTGCTAGCTTTTGAATGTGTTTGCTCTTGCTTCTCTAGTTCTTTTAATTGTGATGTTAGGGTGTCAGTTTTAGATCTTTCCTGCTTTCTCTTGTGGGCATTTAGTGCTATAAATTTCCCTCTACACACTGCTTTGAATGTGTCCCAGATATTCTGATATGTTGTGTCTTTGTTCTCATTGGTTCAAAGAACATCTTTATTTCTGCCTTCATTTTGTTATGTACCCAGTAGTCATTCAGGAGGAGGTTGTTCAGTTTCCATGTAGTTGAGCAGTTTTGAATGAGTTTTTTAATCCTGAGTTCTAGTTTGATTGCACTGTGGTCTGAGAGACAGTTTTTTGTAATTTCTGTTCTTTTACATTTGCTGAGGAGTGCTTTACTTCCAACTATGCGGCCAATTTTGGAATAAGTGTGAGCTGGTTCTGAGAAGAATGTATATTCTGTTGATTTGGCGTGGAGAGTTATGTAGATGTCTATTAGGTTTGCTTGGTGCAGAGCTGAGTTCAATTCCTGGATATCCTTGTTAACTTTCTGTCTTGTTGATCTCTCTAATGTTGACAGTGGGGTGTTAAAGTCTCCCATTATTATTGTGTGGGAGTCTAAGTCTCTTTGTAGGTCTCTAAGGACCTGCTTTATGAATCTGGTTGCTCCTGTATTGGGCGCATATATATTTAGGATAGTTAGCTCTTCTTGTTGAATTGATTCCTTTACCATTATGTAATGGCCTCCTTTGTCTCTTTTGATCTTTGTTGGTTTACAGTCTGTTTTATCAGAGACTGGGATTGCAACCCGTTTTTTTTTTGTTTGTTTGTTTTCCGTTTGCTTGGTAGATCTTCCTCCATCCCTTTATTTTGAGCGTATGTGTGTCTCTGCATGTGAGATGGGTCTCCTGAATACAGCACACTGATGGGTCTTGACTCTTTATCCAATTTACCAATCTGTGTCTTTTAATTAGAGCATTTAGCCCATTTACATTTAAGGTTAATATTGTTATGTGTGAATTTGATCCTGTCATTATGATGTTAGCTGGTTATTTTGCTCATTAGTTGATGCAGTTTCTTCCTAGCATCGATGGTCTTTACAATTGGCATGTTTTTGCAGTGGCTGGTACCAGTTTTTCCCTTTCATTTGATTTTCATTTTTTCCTTCATTTCAAGTTTGTTGAATCTGACAATTGTGTCTTGGAGTTGCTCTTCTGGAGGAGTATCTTTGTGGCATTCTCTGTATTTCCTGAATTTGAATTTGGCCTGCTTTGCTAGGTTGGGGAAGTTTTCCTGGATAATACCCTGAAGAGTGTTTTCCAACTTGGTTCCATTCTCCCCATCACTTTCAGGTACACCAATCCGATGTAAATTTGGTCTTTTCACATAGTCCCATATTTCTTGGAGGCTTTGTTTGTTTCTTTATATTCTTTTTTCTCTAAAATTCTCTTCTTGCTTCATTTCATTCATTTGATCTTCAATCACTGATACCCTTTCTTCCACTTGATCAAATCAGCTACTGAAGCTTGTGCATGTATCACATAGTTCTCATGCCATGGTTTTCAGCTCCATCAGGTCATTTAAGGACTTCTCTACACCGTTTATTCTAGTTGGCCATTCATCTAATCTTTTTTCAAGGTTTTTATCTTCTTTGCGATGGGTTGGAACATCCTCCTTTAGCTTGGAGAAGTTTGTTATTATCGATCGTCTGAATCCTTCTCTCAACTCGTCAAAGTCATTCTCTGTCCAGCTTTGTTCTGTTGCTGGTGAGGAGTTGTGTTCCTTTGGAGGAGAAGAGGCACTCTGATTTTCAGAATTTTCAGCATTTCTGCTCTGGTTTCTCTCCATCTTTGTGGTTTTATCTAACTTTGGTCTTTGATGATGGTGACATACAGATGGGGTTTTGGTGTAGATGTCCTTTATGTTTGTTAGTTTTCCTTCTAACAGTGAGAACACTCAGCTGCAGGTCTGTTGGAGTTTGCTGGAGGTCCACTCCAGACCCTGTTTGCCTGGGTATCACTATCAGAGGCTGCAGAAGAGCAAATATTGCAGAACGGCAAATATTGCTGCCTGATCCTTCCTCTGGAAGCTTCGTCTCAGAGGGGCACCTGGCTTTATGAGGTGTCAGTCGGCCCCTACTGGGAGGTGTCTCCCAGTTAGGCTACTCGGGTCAGGGACCCACTTGAGGAGGCAGTCTGTCCGTTTTCAGATCTCAAACTCTGTGCTGGGAGAACCACTACTCTCTTCAGACCTGTCAGACAGGGATGTTTAAGTTTGCAGAATTTTCTGCTGCCTTTTGTTCAGCTATGCCCTGCCCCCAGAGGTGGAGTCTACAGAGGCAGGCAGGCCTCCTTGAACTGCGGTGGGCTCCACCCAGTTCGACCTTCCCGGCTGCTTTGTTTACCTACTCAAGCCTCAGCAATGGTGGATACCCCTCCCCCAGCCTCACTGCTGCCTTGCAGTTTGATCTCAGACTGCTGTGCTAGCAGTGAGTGAGGCTCTGTGGGTGTGAGACCCTCTGAGCCAGGCGGGGGATATAATCTCCTGGTGTGCCGTTTGCTAAGACCATTGGAAAAGCACAGTTATTAGGGTGGGAGTGTGCCAATTTTCCAGGTACCATCTGTCATGGCTTCCCTTGGCTACGAAAGGGAATTCCCCGACCCCTTGCACTTCTGGAGTGAGGCGATGCCCCGCCCTGCTCTGTGGGCTGCACCCACTGTCTGACAAGCCCCAGTGAGATGAACCTGGTACCTCAGTTGGAAATGCAGAAATCACCCGTCTTCTGTGTTGCTCACACTGGGAGCTGCAGACTGAAGATGTTCCTAGTTGGCGATCTTGGCATCTCCTCTTACTGGTTTCTGTATTAACTTTTAATTGTGATTTTAGAGTATACTCCTTCTACTTATATATATTTAAAAAGTTAACTGTAAAACAACCTCAGGCAGGTCCTTCAGGGAATGTTCCAGAAGAAGGTATTGTTATCATAAGTGATGACAGCCCCGTGCATGTTACTGCCTCTGAAGAACTTCCAGTGGGACAAGATCAAGTTGCTCCCTCTTGAAATGAAAACTCTGTCAACACAAATAGTTTTACGTTTTGTGTCCATTGCTATGTTTCAGGAGCTACAAGTGTGCCTGACATACAATACCTGCAAAATGAATATTTATTGTTTAAATAATGATCATTGAAGTTGACAGGTAATCAACCTCCCCTTCATTCTTGCTAACAAGAAGTTCACTGAAAATCATCCAGTTGTTCAAAGTTAAAAATCTAGGGTTGTAGGGGTGGAGCCAAGATGGTCGAATAGGAACAGCTCCAGCCCACAGCTCCCAGCCTGAGCGACGAAGGAGTTGAATGATTTCTGCATTTCCAACTGAGGTACCGGTTGCATCTCACTGGGGATTGTCGGAAAGTTGGTGCAGGACAGTGGGTGCAGTGCACCGAGCCTGAGCTGAAGCAGGGTGAGGCATTGCCTCACCCAGGAAGCTCAAGGGGTCAGGGAATTCCCTTTCCTAGCCAAGGAAAGGTGTGACAGACGGCACCTGGAAAATCGGGTCACTTCCACCCTAATACTGCGCTTTTCCGATGGTCTTAGCAAATGGCACACCAGGAGATTATATCCTGCGCATGACTCGGAGGGTCCTACACCCACGGAGCCTTGCTCATCACCAACACAGCAGTCTGAGATCAAACTGCAAGGTGGCAGTGAGGCTGAGGGAGGGGTGCCCACCATTGCCGAGGCTTGAGTAGGTAAACAAAGCAGCCAGGAAGCTCAAACTGGGTGGAGCCCACTGCAGCTCAAGGAGGACTGCCTGCATCTGTAGACTCCACCTCAGGGGGCAGGGCATAACCAAACAAAAGGCAGCAGAAACCTCTGCAGACTTATTTGTCCCTGTCTGACAGCTTTGAAGAGAGTAGTGGTTCTCCCAGCATGCAGCTTGAGATCTGAGAATGGACAGACTGCCTTCTCAAGTGGGTCCCTGACCCTCGAGTAGCCTAACTGGGAGGCACCCCCCAGTAGGGGAGGACTGACACCTCACATGGCTGGGTACTCCTCTGAGACAAAACTTCCAGAGGAACGATCAGGCAGCAACATTTGCTGTTCACCAATATCCGCTGTTCTGCAGCCTCCGCTGCTGATACCCAGGCAAACAGGGTCTGGAGTGGACCTCTGGCAAACTCCAACAGATCTGCAGCTGAGGGTGCTGACTGTTAGAAGGAAAATTAACAAACAGAAAGGACATCCACACCAAAACCCCATCTGTACATCACCATCATCGAAGACCAAAGGTAGATAAAACCACAAAGATGGGGAAAAAAACAGAGCAGAAAAACTGAAAATTCTAAAAATCAGAGTGCCTCTCCTCCTCCAAAGGAACACGGCTCCTCACCAGCAATAGAACAAAGCTGGACGGAGAATGACTTTGATGAGTTGAGAGAAGAAGGCTTCAGACTATCAAACTACTCTGAGCTAAAGGAGGAAGTTCGAACCCATGGCAAAGAAGTTAAAAACCTTAAGATTAGATGAATGGCTAACTAGAATAACCAATGCAGAGAAGTCCTTAAAAGACCTGATGGAGCTGAAAACCATGACACGAGAACTATGTGATGAATGCACAAGCCTCAGTAGCCGATTCGATCAACTGGAAGAAAGGGTATCAGGATGGAAGATCAAATGAATGAAATGAAGCGAGAAGAGAAGTTTAGAGAAAAAAGAATAAAAAGAAACAAACAAAGCCTCCAAGAAATATGAGACTACATGAAAAGTCCAAATCTACGTCTGATTGGTGTACCTGAAAGTGACAGGGAGAATGGAACCAAGTTGAAAAACACTGCAGGTTATTATCCAGGAGAACTGTCCCAATCTAGCAAGGCAGGCCAACATTCAAATTCAGGAAATGCAGAGAATGCCACAAAGATACTCCTCAAGAAGAGCAACTCCAAGACACATAATCGTCAGATTCACCAAAGTTGAAATGAAGGAAAAAATGTTAAGAGCACCCAGAGAGAAAGGTCGGGTTACTCACAAAGGGAAGCCCGTCAGACTAACAGCTGATCTCTTGGCAGAAACTCTACAATCCAGAAGAGAGTGGGGGCCAATATTCAACATTCTTAAAGAAAATAATTTTCAACCCAGAATTTCATATCCAGCTAAAGTAAGCTTCATAAGTGAAGGAGAAATAAAATACTTTACAGACGAGCAAATGCTGAGAGATTTTGTCACCACCAGGCCAGATCAGAGCAGAACTGAAGGAAATAGAGACACAAAAAGCCCTTCAAAAAATCAATGAATCCAGGAACTGGGTTTTTGAAAAGATCAACAAAATTGATAGACCACCAGCAAGACTAATAAAGAAGAAAAGAGAGAAGAATCAAATAGATGCAATAAAAAATGATAGAGGGGATATCACCATCGATCCCACAGAAATACAAACTACCATCAGAGAATACTATAAACACCTCTATGCAAATAAACTAGAAAATCTGGAAGAAAGGGATAAATTCCTCAACACATACACTCTCCCAAGACTAAACCAGGAAGAAGTTGAATCTCTGAATAGACCGATAACAGGCTCTGAAATTGAGGCAATAATTAATAGCTTACCAACCAAAAAAAGTCCAGGACCAGATGGATTCACAGATGCATTCTACCAGAGGTACAAGGAGGACCTGGTACCATTCCTTCTGAAACTTTTCCAATCAATAGAAAAAGACAGAATCCTCTCTAACTCATTTTATGAGGCCAGCATCTTCCTGATACCAAAGCTGGGCAGAGACACAACAAAAAAAGAGAATTTTAGACCAATATTCCTGATGAACATCGGTGCAAAAATTCTCAATAAAATACTAGCAAACCGAATCCAGCAGCACATCAAAAAGCTTATCCACCATGATCAAGTGGGCTTCATCCCTGGGATGCAAGGCTGGTTCAACATATGCAAATCAATAAATGTAATCCAGCATATAAACAGAACCAACGACAAAAACCACATGATTATCTCAATAGATGCAGAAAAGGCCTTTGACAAAATTCAACAGCGCTTCATGCTAAAAACTCACAATAAATTAGGTTTTGATGGGACATATCTCAAAATAATAACAGCTATTTATGACAAACCCACAGCCAATATCATACTGAATGGACAAAAACTGGAAGCATTCCCTTTGAAAACTGGCACAAGACGGGAATGTCCTCTCTCACTACTCCTATTCAACATAGTGTTGGAAGTTCTGGACAGGGCACTCAGGCAGGAGAAAAAAATAAAGGGTATTCAATAAGGAAAAGAGGAAGTCAAATTGTCCCTGTTTGCAGGTGACATAATTGTATATTTAGAAAACCCCATTGTCTCAGCCCAAAATCTCCTTAAGCTGATAAGCAACTTCAGCAAAGTCTCAGCATACAAAATCAATGTACAAAAATCACAAGCATTCTTATACACCAATAACAGACAAACAGAAAGCCAAATCATGAGTGAACTCCCATTCACAATTGCTTCAAAGAGAATAAAATACCTAGGAATCCAACTTACAAGGGATGTGAAGGACCTCTTCAAGGAGAACTACAAACCACTGCTCAATGACATAAAAGAGGATACAAACAAATGGAAGAACATTCCATGCTCATGGGTAGGAAGAATCAATATTGTGAAAATGGCCATACTGCCCAAGGTAATTTATAGATTCAATGCCATCCCCATCAAGCTACCAATGACTTTCTTCACAGAATTGGAAAAACTACTTTAAAGTTCATATGGAACCAAAAAAGAGCCCACATTGCCAAGACAATCCTAAGCCAAAAGAACAAAGCTGGAGGCATCATGCTACCTGACTTCAAACTATACTACAAGGCTACAGTAACCAAAACAGCATGGTACTGGTAGCAAAACATAGATATGGACCAATGGAACAGAACAGAGCCCTCAGAAATAATGCCACATATCTACAACTATCTGATCTTTGACGAACCTGACAAAAACAAGCAATGGGGAAAGGATTCCCTATTTAATAAATGGTGCTGGGAGAACTGGCTAGCCATATGTAGAAAGCTGAAACTGGATCCCTTCCTTACACCTTATACAAAAATTAATTCAAGATGGATTAAAGACTTAAATGTTAGACCTAAAACCATAAAAACCCTAGAAGAAAACCTAGGCATTACCATTCAGGACATAGGCATGGGCAAGGACTTCATGTCTAAAACACCAAAAGCAATGGCAACAAAAGCCAAAATTAACAAATGGGATCTAATTAAACTAAAGAGCTTCTGCACAGCAAAAGAAACTACCATCAGAGTGAACAGGCAACCTACAGTATGGGAGAAAATTTTCGCAACCTACTTATCTGACAAAGGGCTAATATCCAGAATCTACAATGAACTCAAACAAATTTACAAGAAAAAAACAAACAACCCCATCAACAAGTGGGCAAAGGATATGAATAGACACTTCTCAAAAGAAGACATTTATGCAGCCAAAAGACACATGAAAAAATGTTCATCATCAGTGGCCATCAGAGAAATGCAAATAAAAACCACAATGAGATACCATCTCACACTAGTTAGAATGGCGATCATTAAAAAGTCAGGAAACAACAGGTGCTGGAGAGGATGTGGAGAAATAGGAACACTTTACACTGTTGGTGGGACTGTAAACTACTTCGAACATTGTGGAAGTCAGTGTGGCAATTCTTCAGGGATCTAGAACTAGAAATACCATTTGACCCAGCCATCCCATTACTGGGTATACACCCAAAGGATTATAAATCATGCTGCTATAAAGACACATGCACACATATGTTCACTGAGGCAGTATTCACAATAGCAAAGTCTTGGAACCAGCCCAAATGTCCAACAATGATAGAGTGGATTAAGAAAATGTGGCACATATACACCATGGAATACTATGCAGCCATAAAAAAATGATGAGTTCATGTCCTTTGCAGGGATATGGATGAAGCTGGAAACCAGCATTCTCAGCAAACTATCGCAAGGACAAAAAACCAAACACCGCATGTTCTCACTCATAGGTGGGAATTGAACAATGAGAACACATGGACACGGGAAGGGGAACATCACACACCGGGGCCTGTTGTGGGGTGGGGGGAGGGGGGAGGGATGGCATTAGGAGATATAACTAATGTTAAATGACGAGTTAATGGGTGCAGCATACCAACATGGCACATGTATATATATGTAACAAACCTGCACGTTGTGTACATGTACCCTAAAACTTAAAGTATAAAAAAAAATTGGGGGTTGTGATTTTAACTTACATTTCTTTGTAACCATAAAGATGCTTTAAAGATTGGAAGACAATTGGTCATGTTGCAGTTTTGGCACTTAACATCCTATATTTTCAGGAGAAGATATCTCTTCTCCTAGGTATATGCATGGCACAATTCCTCAGTGTCTGTTCACATCTTACCTTCTCTATCCAAATGTCACATCTTTGACTACCTTACCTAAACATGCCTCATCTCTTGACTGTTACTTTTATTTCTTTTACTCTGCTTTATTTTTATTTTTCTTATTTTTTAACTTTTTGAGACAGAGTTTTGCTCTTGTCGCCCAGGGTGGAGTGCAGTGGCATGATATCAGCTCACTGCAACCTCTGCCTCTCAGGTTCAAGCGATTCTCCCACCTCAGCCTCCCGAGTAGCTGGGATCACAGGCACGAGCCACCACACCCAGCTAATTTTTGTATTTTTTTAGTAGAGATGGGGTTTCATCATGTTGTTCAGGCTGGTCTCGAACTCCTGACTTCACGTGATCTTCCTGCCTTAGCCTCCCAAAGTGCTGGGATTATAGGCATGAGCCACTGTGCCTGGCCTGCTTTATTATTATTTTTTTAAATGTGGACTATGAGTTGAATTGTTTTTCCCCAAAACGATAACTTGAAGTCCTAACCTTCAGGATCTCAGAATGTGATCTTATTTTTAAATACAGTGTTTGCAGATGTAGTCAAGATGAGATTATTAGGGTGGGCCCTAGTGCAATATAACCGGTGTCCTTATAAAAAGGGGAAATTTGGACATATATATATAGATGTGCGTAGAAGGAAGAATATGTGAACAGATACAGGAATAACACCATGTGAAGACAGAGTACTGGCGAGGTCCAGTGGCTCACGCCTGTAATACCAGCACATTGGAAGGTCAAGGTGGGTGGGTCACCTGAGGTCAGGAGTTCACAACCAGCATGAGTAACATGGTGAAACCCCGTCTCCACTAAATACAAAAAATATTAGCCAGGCATGGTGGCACATGTTGTAATCCAAGCTACTTGGAAGGCTGAGACAGGAGAATTGCTTGTACCTGGGAGGCAGAGGTTGTGGTGAGCCAAGATTGCACCATTGCACAACAGCCTGTGCATCAAGAGTGAAACTCCGTCTCAAAACAAAACAAAAAGACAGAGTACTGGAGTGATGCATCTACAAGCCAAGGAATGCCAAAGATTGCCAGCAAACGACTAGAAGCGAGAGAAAGGCCAGGAAAGATTTTCCTCCAGGTTTCAGAGACAGCATGGCTCTGTGGACACTTTGATTGAACTTCCAGCCATAAGAATTAATGACACAATAAATTTCTGTTGTTTTAAGTTACCCAGTTTACAGTACTTGGTTATGGCAGCCCAAAGAAATGAATACACCACCTGGCATAGGATGTACTCTTTTTGTTGTTCAATTTCTGCCTGCCTCTACTAGACTAATTACCATGAGGAAAGAGACAAAGTACATTTTCTTCACTTTTGTGCCCCAAGTACTTAGAACAGTGCCCAGCACTCAATACATATTTGCCAAGAGAATGTAGGGATATTTTATTTTTCATTTTTTTTTAAATTGATACATAATATTTGTATGTATTTGTAGGGTACATGTGATATTTTGTTATATGCATAGAATGTGTAACCATCAAGTCAGGGTATTTAGGATACACATCACCTTTTCCATTTATCATTTTTATGTGTTGGGAACATTTCAAGTCCTCTGTGTAGCTATTTTGAACTATACAATACATTGTTGTTTACTGTAGTCACCCTTCTTTGCTATGGAACTTTAGAAACTATTCTTTCTTTTTCCTCCCCTACACCCACACCCACACCCATACCCTTCCTAGTCGTTAGTAATTGTCATTTTACTCTGTACATCCAAGAGATCAACTTTTTTTTTTTCTCCCATATATGAGTGAGAACATGCAATATTTGTTTTTCTGGGTCTGGATTATTTCACTTAACATAATGATCTCCACTTCCATCAATGTTGCTGCAAATGGTATTATCTCATTCTTTTTTATGGCTAAATAGTATTCCATTGTGTATATGTATCATATTTTCTTTAATCATCTGTTGATGAACACAGGTTGATTCTCTGTCTTTGCTGTTGTGAATAGTGCTGGAATAAATATGTGAGCGCAGATGTCTCTTCAACATACTGATTCCTTTCCTTTGGATAATTGCCCAGTAGTGATAGATCATATGGTATTTCTATTTTTAGTTTTTTTGAGAAATCGCCATACTGCTTCCATAGTGGCTGTACTAATTTACATTCCCATCAACAGTGTACAAGAGTTACCTTTTCTTTGCATCCTCACCAGCATCTGTTATATTTTTGTCTTTTTAATAATAACTATTCTAACTGGGGTAAGATGGTATCTCATTTTGGTTTTAATTTACATTTCCCTGATGATTAGTGACGTTGAACATTTTTTCATGTATTTGCTGGCCATTTGTGTGTCTTCGTCCAAGAAATGTTATTCAGACCTCTTGCCCACTTTTTAAAGGGATTATTTATTTATTTTTTTTGCTGTTTGAGTTCCTTATGTATTTTGGATATCAGTCCCTTGTCAGACAAGCAGTTTGCAAATATTTTCTCCCATTCAGCAGGCTGTGTTTTCATGATATTGATGGTTTTCTTTGTTGTGCAGAAGCTTTTTAGTTTAATATGGTACCATTGTCTATTTTTATTTTTGTTACCTGTACTTTTGAGGTCTTAGCCATAAAGTCTTTGCCTAGACCAATGCCCTAAAGTGTTTTCTCTAGGTTTTTTCCCTAGTAGTTTTATAGTTTGAGGTCTCATGTTTAAGTCTAATCCGTTTTGAGTTGATTTTTATATGTAGTGAGAGATAGGGGTCTAGTTTCATTCTTCTGTGTATAAATATCCAGTATTCTTAGCACCATTTATTGAAGACGGTGTCCCTTTTCCCAATGTATATTCTTGGCAACTTTATAAAAAAAATCAGTTGCCTTATATGTAGACTTATTTCCAGGTTCTCTATTCTGTTTCATTGGTCTATGTGTCAGTTTTTGTATCACTGTAATGATGCTTTGGTTACTATAACCTTGTAATATATTTTGAAGTCAGGTGGTGTGATGTCTGCAGCTTTGTTCTTTTTGCTGAGGACTGCTTTGGCTACTCAGGCTCTTTTTTGGTTTCATGCAAATTTTGAGATTGTTTTTTCAATTTCTGTGAAAAACATTATTTTTTCTTTTTTTTTTTTTTTTTTTGCTACAAACTGCTTCTTTCTAAAAGAGAAATCTAAGTCCAGGTATTAATGAAGTAGGAAAAATTTCAATAATTATAAGAGTATAGTAGAAAACTTCACCTTACGTTCTGTTATGGTTCCCTACAAAATACTCTGTGATAGAAGCTATTTCTCTGGTAGGGAGAGTCTTAAACATCTGTGAGCATATCCAGGAAGGCACTGTTGCCAGGGATGGGAACATTTTCTGCACAGGAGACCCTGTTAGGTACTAAGGATCAGGTTTTCCTGTGTGTCTCAGGATGTTGCCTATTGCCTCTTGCCTGTTGGGTCTGCAACAGAAATCTGCAATTTCTGGCCAGACTGCTCAATTTCCTTCCCCTTTGGTGTTACTGACCTCTGCTGTTAAAAAGCAGCGCCTCTGCTTGCCTCTAAAGCTACTCTCTGGTTTCCAACCATTAAAACATTCAATAACCAATCTCATCATTCTGGAAAACAAATATCCTGGAGCTCAAAGGCTACAGAGACTTTTCCAATTATTTCCTAAAATGGCTTTTTAGATTTGAAAGTTCTTCTGTGAGAACCAGGGTCACGTGTCTGTCTTCAGCGTTACAGAGAAAGACAGATGGAGGTTGTTGCGCTCACAAGAGAAAAGGAAACTTAAGGCAGCTTCCCCTTTTCTTGACCACCGGATGTGTCTTCTGCAACTTCTGTGAACTCCAGTAATTGAGGTCATATTGTGGCATTAAAAAAAAATCCAGCTGTTTGCATGGTTCCCTTAATCCTTACTCTTATCTAATTCAACCACCTAATCTGGCCAAGAAATGTGAGGGGAACAAAATTCTATCCCTTTGTTTGAGAGACAGATGAACAGTCTCTAACATAACCCACAAATAAAACTGTGTGTCTGTGTGTGTGTGTGTGTGTGTGTCTGTGTGTGTGTGAGAGAGAGAGAGAGGAAGAGAGAGAGAGAGAGACAGACTGGAGTGCGGTGGTGTGATCATGGCTCAGTGAAGCCTTGATGTCCCAGGTTCAA
Source organism: Homo sapiens (assembly GCF_000001405.40). Taxonomy (NCBI): domain Eukaryota; kingdom Metazoa; phylum Chordata; class Mammalia; order Primates; family Hominidae; genus Homo; species Homo sapiens. Next base: position 63,352,577 of record NC_000006.12, on the reverse strand, counting down.
GCAATCTTCCCGCCTCAGCCTCTTAAGTAGCTGGGACCACAGGCATGTACCACCACACCTGGTGAATTTTCGTATTTTTTGTAGAGATGGAGACTCTCTATATTGCCAGAGCTGGTCCCGAAATTCTTGGTTCAAGCAATCCTGCCTCAGCCTCCCAAAGTGCTGGGATTCTAGGCGTTAGTCACTACACCTGGCCAAACAAAACATTTTTAAGATTATTGATCTTAGTGGAGTCCTTGTGATAAGGCATAAGCATGACATTCCAAAATAGAAAGAATACAAAACAATGGATTTGCGCATAAATATCTCTACTAACATGTGAGTTTTGGAAAATTCCCTATTTCATGAATCATTAGCTTGTAAGTTTTGTTTTGATGTTATACAAGCATTTCTAAAACAAGTCTGTGTAGATGTTGCCACCTACTGTTTGCCTAGAAACATCCTTCATATAATTCATTTCATGTAACAATAGTCTTTTTTCTAATTGCATTTATTTTCCAGGAAGGTCATTTCTGTCTCAACCATTTCTTGTTTTAAAATTATTTGTCTATTTGTTACTTACTCTTAAGTACCATATCTACGAGGTCATTACAAGAAATTCTTTCTTTATACATTGGAAAATCCTGAGGCAATGACACAATTTTCTTTAAATGTTCTCTGATATATTGAAACAGTAAATCAGTCTCAGGTTTAAAAAGACTATACAGTATATGTCATTGAAACATCATTTAAAAAATTATTAGTCTCCATGTAAATCAAAGTGGTCAAGATCATTAGATTGCTGTTAGTTTTATTTTGACATTCATATTTAAGATATTTAGGCTGAGTGTGGAGGCTCATATCTGTAATCTTAGCCCTTTGGGAGGCCGAGGTGGGTGGTTCACTTGAGGCTAGGAATTCGAGACCAGAGTGGCCAACATAGGAAGACCCCGTCTCTACTAAAAATACAAAAAATTAGCCTGGCATGGTGGCGGGCACCTGTAATCCCAGCTGCTTGAAGCTGAGGCACAAGAATCACTTGAACCTGGGAGGCAGAGGTTGCAGTGAGCTGAAATCGCACCACTACACTCCAGCCTAGGTGGCAGAGTGAGACTCTGTCTCTGTTTCTGTCTCTCTTTCTCTGTCTCTCTCTCTCTCTCTCTTCCTCTCTCTCTCTCTCTCACACACACAGACACACACAGACACACATACACACACACACACAGAGATATTTATAAAGCAAATATCTGCTTTTTTTCCTTCCTTTTGTCTTAATCTTTTCAGGCTGCTATTAGAAAGCACCATAAACTGGGTGGCAGATAAATATCAGAAATGTATTTCTCACAGTTCTGAAGTTTGAGAAGTCCCAGAACAAGACACTGGTAGCTTTGGTGTCTGGTGAGGGTCTGCTTCCTCACAGACAGGGTTTTCTCACAGTAACCTCACATGGTAGAAATGGGAAGGGATCTTTCTGGGGTCTCTTTTATAAAGACACTAATCCCATTTGTGAGGGTTCCATTCTGATAACCTAATCGCCTCTCAAAGGACCCACCTCTTATGTTAACCTTGGGGGTTAACATTTCCACATATGAATTTGGGTGGAAGAGACACAAATATTCAGAATATAGCACTGTAAATAGTTTTGGATGTTAGTGATTGAATGGCAAATTCTTTTTTATTAGGATAAAAAACCAATTGTTTTACTTACCAATTGGTCGTCTGAACTCGTTTTTGTTTGTTTGTTTTTTTTTTTTTAGATGGCTCTGTGGCCCAGGCTGGAGTGAAGTGGCACCATCTCAGCTCACCGTAACCTCTGCCCCACAGGTTCAAGTGATTCTCTTGCCTCAGCCTCCTGAATAGCTGAGATTACAGGTGTGCGCTGCCATGTCCAGCTAATTTTTGTATTTTTAGTAGAGAGAGCGTTTCACCATGTTGGCCAGGCTGGTCTGGAACTTCTGACCTCAGGTGATCCACCCACCTTGGCCTCCCAAAGTGCTGGGATTATAGGCGTGAGCCACCACCCCTGGCCTGAACTGTTTACTTTGTAGTTAGTTTTATGATGTGCCTGTGGCACTATTTTCAGTATGCTGTTTATTAAAACTGGAAATAAAGTAAAAAATTTTAAATCTTCACAACCAGGTTAATTTGAATGCACTGAGATAATTTATGGTTTGCAGACAAATAACTATGACTAGATCCAGTAATAATTATAATTACAAATCTGTAAAATATTTTCCAGTTTGTGAAGTCCTTTGTATATTTTAATAAATTTGGTCCTACTAACAACCCTGTGAAATAATTAATATAGTAATTGCTTTCATATTATAACCAAAGAAAGAATGAAAGAAATCAAGGTAATAATTGAATAGAACACAGCTAGAATAACTCTATAAATCCAGTTTTCTTAACTAAAAAGCTTACTCACTTTTACCATTCCTCATGAGTTAATTATTAGGTTGGTGCAAAAGTATTTGCGGTTTTTGCTAATTACTTCTGCACCAACCTTAATAATTTACATGATAGGTACTGAACTCTTTTTCAACTTTTCCTTGTTGAATGAATAGTTTTAAAATGCTTTCAAATAATCAAACATTCTTCTAAATCTTTGGGTAGGTCTCTAATAACTGAAATGGAACTATATTCATCTTCTGTGAAGCTGGCCTGGATAAACCAGCTTATCCCTAAATGCCACCAGAATGCGTTGAGAAGTGGATTGTTCCCAGTCTCCGTAGAAGGACTCAGCCTACCCAACACCTTGATTTCAGTCTTATGATAACTTGAGCACAGAACTCAATCACGTCGTTAGTACATCTCATCTACAGAAGCTGTGCTATCATAAATTTGTGTTATTTTAAGCCCTTTTTATTGTAAGACTCTGGTTCCTGTTTCCTTGCTGGTTGTTGGCCAAGGGCACTTTCAGCTTCCAGAGGCCATCTGCATTCTTTGCCATGTGGTCCTCTCCATCTTCAAAGCCCGTGGTGGAAAAACTCTCCCTTGTCGAATTGCAATCATAGTTTGAATCTCTCCAACTTCCCTGTTGCTGACCTCTAAACACAGATTAAAGGGTTTGTGATTAGGTCAGACTTTCTTAGAATGTTTCTCAACCTTAACTGATTTGAGGCCATAGCCACATCACAAATCTTTTCACAGCAACACCTAGATTAATGTTTGATTGAATACCTAGGAGAAGGTGTTTTTGCACCAAGGGTTGGGAATTTAGGGGCCTTTTTAGAATTCTACCAACCATGTTTCTCATCAGCTACAAATATTTCCTAATTTAGCCCCCAGTCTCCAGTCTCTGCCTTAATACTCTCACAATTTACATTACAGAGTGGCTTCTTAATGAATCATTCCAAAGCACAGTTCTGATTAAGTTTATTATCTTACTTAAGTCAATAACAACAAAACAACCAAAAGTTTGAGGGCAGCCTATGGCATGTAAGAAGCTCTTTGAAAATCAAGGTCTAAAGGACTCCTGTTTCTCTTCCTTTCTTCATGCATCATTAAATTGAGTATTCACCTTGTTTTTCTGTGCACAGTAAGCTCAGTGCTTTGACTTCTGCCCCCTTTTCCTTATCTTCAACTTTACAGGAACAATTCTCGATTGCTTGAAGGCTGCATTCCAATGCTAACTCTTCCAAAGAACTTTGCATTAACTTGTTCCCCTTTGAAAGCCTTTACTACGTAGTTTTAAAAATCTATACTTCTGGCCAGGTGTGGTGGCTCATGCCTGTAATCTCAGTGCTTTAGGAAGGCGAGGCAGGAGGATTGCTTCAGGCCAAGATTTCGAGACCAGCCCGGGCAACACAGCAAGACCCCACCTCTATTTTAAAAAAGCAAAAAAAAAAAAAAAAAAAGTAAAAATCTTCATTTCTAGTGTAGTTAGTATCCTACTTTGGGTTAAGATACTAAATAATGCTCCATGACTCCTACCAAACACAGATTACTGTAGGCCAGATGTGCAATAAGATGTTGTCTCTCTTCAACATCTACTAGTGCCTTGTAGAGATGATATGTTCCAAAATATTTGTTGAGCCGTTAACTAAAAAATCAAAATAGAAACTAGAATGCCATGCGCACCAAGAGCTCGTAGACCTGCATTGTGAATGCTTAATTACATTTCCATATATTTTTTTTTTTCTTTTGAGACAGAGTCTAACTCTGTCGCCCAGGCTGGAGTGCAGTGGTGTGATCTCGGCTCACTGAAACCTCCGCCTCCTGGATTCAAGCAATTCTCCTTCCTCAGCCTCCCGAGTAGCTGGGATTACAGGCATGCGCCACAGCTCCCAGCTAATTTTTGTGTTTTTAGTAAAGACGGGGTTTTGCCATGTTGACCAGGCTGGTCTCGAACTCCTGACCTCAGGTGATCTGCCCATTTCTGCCTCCCAGTCCATACTTTTATATTAGTCTGTTCTTTCTTTTGTGGCTGCTAGTTTTCAAGGTCATTGTCTCCTGAGCTGCTGTATTTACGTTAGACTATATTCTTCAGCTCTTGGCTAATATTGAATGACTAGCTTATTTATGCTTTCTTTTGTTATAAATCAGTGGTTTTATTTGTTTTTTTCTTACTTGGAGAAAGGAGTTTCTCCTCCAATTTTAAGAAAATTTTCAAGAGCTAGAAGCAGACTTGATCTTATATCTTATTTTCTTATTCACACAATTAACCTTTTTCTAATATTAGGAATATTTCCCTACAAGTCATTCCTGACTAATGGACTCTGCTGTATGAGTCATATATGACTTAGCAAGCATTTTGGATTTTTAAATAAGTTACCGCTTATTTAAGCAGGCTGCAGAAACATTAGTCATTGTGAGATTCAGCTTACATGTTTTCACTTAGTGACTAATTGAGTATAAGAATGGAACAGATATTTACGTGGTAATTTTCCAAATTTTCAAAAGACTTTGGCATCAGTTATCTTATTTCATGAAATGTGTCACTGTAAGATAAGCAGTTCCTTATCTTAGAGACCTCTCTAGCCTTTTAAGCATACTGGAAAAAGCCATCTTGGAAAACAAATGAATGAATGAAAGAATGAATGAGTGAATGAACTGATGGAATAATGATGGATTAGAAAAGACACTGAAGCAGGAAAGTCATAGACCTTGAAATTATATGTCTGAACAGTAAATTAGACCTTATAACTTAACTGAAGAGCACAAAGAAGACCTAAATCAATAGTAAACCATATTATTATAACCCTCCAAATTGTAAAAATGTCAATTTCCCCCAAATATTTAGTTAATGCAAATTCAAAGTACTTTGGAGTTCTTTTTTTTGTTTTAAAAAAGACTGGTTTTAAAATTAATCAGTAAGGAAAAATACATAAAACTAAGAAATTTTGAAAAGAAATAATGAAGTAAGATTTGCCCCATGAATTGTTTTTCCCTCTCCTACTCACCACTCATTCTCAGTTCCTCACTTCTGACACCAGATGGGTAGGATTTATTTTTCCCCACATACTAATTCTCCAGCAAACATCAACTGGGTGTCTCTGGTGGCACAGAGCTTCCAATCCCTTGAAATTTCCTGGATGATAGGAGTGCCTCTTGTTCTAATGAGGCAACTTTTGGTGGGCATCTGAATGGAGGCTGGTAACCAGAAAGACTAAGCCATGATTTGAAGACTGGAACTTTCATACTTCGCCAGGAGATGCTACCCCTCTCAGCTTCTCCATGTGTTCAGCAGTCCATAGGTCTCCCAATTCATTGTTTAGGGATTTTTATGGAGGCTTTTTCAAGAAGGCATGACCGAGCATTAACTCAATCTCCAGCTTCTCTCCTCTTTCAAAAGGATGGTGGGGTGAGCTCGAAAGTTCCAGGCCTATAATTCAATTCAGTTCTGGTAATATCTACCTAGAGTTAGAGTCACATCCTATAGGTTAAGGGCTCAGTCTCACAGGATTGCCCCCACTTCAGAGGCCAACTGCAATCTGGGAACTTCTGACCGGCTGGCTATGAATTGGGATTCACATGACTCCCTCCTTAGGTTAAATCATTTAATCATTTACTAGAGTGGCTCACAGAACTCAGGAAAGCACTTTACTTTTTTTTGCCAGTTTATTATAAAGGATATTATAAAAGATACAGATGAACAGCCAGATGCATTAGGCAAGATATGGGGGAAGGGGTACAGAGTTTCCACGTCCTCTCCAGGGCTCAGCATCTCCATGTGTTCCGCAGTCCAGTTGCTCTCCAAACCCATTGTTCAGGGATTTTTACGGAAGCTTTTTCAAGAAGATATGATCAATTATTAACTCAATGTCCAGCTTTTCTCCTCTTTCAGGACGATGGTGGGGTGGGCTCAAAAGTTCCAGGCTTTAAATCATGACTTAGTCTTTCTGGTTACCAACCTCCATGCAGACGCCCACCAAGAGTTGCCTCATTAAAACAAGAGACACTCCTATCACCCAGGAAATTTCAAGGGATTGGGAGCTCTGTGTCAAAGACCTTATTAGAACGAAATATTCACCTAGCACCCCTATTGCTCAGGAAATTAGAAGAGTTTTAGGAGTTATGTGCCAGGAACCGGGGACAGAGACCAAATAGATATTTCCGATGTCACAATATCACAAAAGTATACTTTAAATTTTTGGTAAATAAAACAATGCAGAATTAGTGTAAATTCAACAAATGCATCAACAGAATGGAATATAGAATCCAGAAACAGACCATTTAGTTTTGAAAATTTAGTTTATGAAAAGGATGGTCTTTCAGTAAGTGGGAGAAAATTTTTAAGTAAAAGATATTGGACCAAAGAGTGTTGGTTGGCCCATTCTTTGCTGCTTCTGTGGTTATGGAACCCATGATTTCTAGCTGAACAAATGGCTGCCCACAGTAGACAATACTTCCTAATCTTTCTTGGAGTAAGGTCGCCATGTGATTAATTCTAGACCAGTGGGATGTAAGCAGAAGGTTGTAATCTTAAAGTGAGGGGCATGACCACCTAACAGGGCTTTCCTGCTGCCTGAAATGAGAACATGATATCTGCTACCTATCGTTATCTTGGCTCATATGGAAAATGCAATGGTTGTGATTGGTGGAGTAATAAGACATAAAGAAAAGGGATCTCTGACACTTCTAGTGACCTCCCAAGACAGGTCTCATCATGAAGATACTGTGTCTTTGGAATACACTACAAATCTTGAATTGCCTGTCTTTAAATTTTATTTTTGGCGGAAAATAAAATTCTAGTTAGTTTAAGCTACTATTATTTTAGATTTTCTGTTATTCCCAAATGAACCCAATCTTAGCTGACACAGATGTGAGGTTATTGAATACGCATTTAAAATTTTAAATTTACAGAAAAGTAAAAGAGAAGAAATAAAAAAGAAACCACCTTACTAAAATCTGTTAAAGAGGAAACAAAGAATTACCCAACCCAAAACATATATTTCTGAGTCTAGGTTTCATCCTTCTATTGCTAATGTTTTTAGCATTAGCATAATAATATTGCTAATAATTTTTTAAAGGAATATTTATTTTTTTTTGTGGGATAATGGTGTCAGCTCCAAAAGTGCAATTGTAAATCTCTTATTTAGGTCATAGAATTATTTTCCTTTAGAAATTAAGTTATAAACAATGATTGGGTTTCCTGTGAGCCAATGCTATAGAGGACAATGGTAGATTTTGATGAACACATAAGACTTTAAACCAAAATACTGATAGTGGTATGCATTTCTAACATAATCACATTATCACATTGTAAGTTTACAGTATTATGTGTGCTTATAGTATCTTAACTATAAATGCTATTTATTCCTTTGCCAAATATCATTCTATGAGTATTTTTTTCTGTACTACAACTTTTTGTTTTCCTTTGGGCTAATAACAGGTTTTTTTTTCTTTTTCTTTTCTATTTACTTGTCTTTCTATATACTAATAATCAATTTGGCCCTAAACTCTCAGCCAGTTGTCTAAATCTCCTCTTCATACATTCAGACCCACCAGGCATTCTTACAATGTCCACCATTCTGAAGAATCTCTCCCAGGCCTTCAGAACTGCTTTCCTCTAGAATGATTTCTCTGTGGGCCTTGTATACAGCCATCATCATGGGAACTCTTTTCACTTCTTCTATAAGTAGGATCTGTTGTTTCTTGAACTGCATGATTTCTTCTTTTTTAGTTTACTTTCTTTGTAGAGGAGCACATCTTCTAGTAACCTCCTCAGAAAGGCTTCATAATGACAATACTGTGTCTTCAGAATATCTTGGTATATCCTCACATTTGTTTGATAGTTTGACTGGATAGATAGTTTTGGATTTGAAATTGCTTTTCCTCAGAATTTCAAAAGCAACTTACATTTTCTTCTAAACTACAGCTTCGTTACTGAGAAGTCCAAGCCATGCTTATTTCTAGCCCTTTATCACTGTATTCATTTTCTACTACTGTGTAACAAGTTTACCACTAATTTAGGGACAACACCTATTTATTATCTCATAGTTCTATAACTTGGAAGTCAGGGTGAGTTTTCTTCTTTTAGGGTCTTACAAGGCCAAAACCAATGTTTTGATTTTGGGCTGGGCTGTCATATGGAGGTTATGGGGAAGAATGTATTTCCAAGCTCTTTCAGATTTTTGACCAAATGTGGCTTCCATCTGTAGGACTCAGGTCCCTGTTTCCTTGCTGGTGGTTCTCTGGGGGCTGCCCTCAGCTTCTAGAAGTTGCTGTCATTGTTTGTCATGTGGCCTCCTCTGTCTTCAAGCCAGCAATGGTTCACTGAATCCTAGTGGCTTCCTACCTCTCTGAATTTCCCTTCTGCCAGCCAGAGAAAACTGCTTTTAAAAGGCTCATGGGATATGATTAGGCCCACCCAGATAATCTTTGTATTTTAAAATCAGTGGTTTGGGATTTTAGTTGCATTAGCAAAATCCCTTCACGGCAGTACCTAGAGTAGTTTGATTAAATAACCAAAGGAAGGAAATCTTGGGGGATCTCTCTTTAGAATTCTGCCTACCACAGTAACCATTCATATTTTGCAAAAGAGCATTCCCTTTCCTAGGAAGTTCTGATACTCTTCCTTGCTGCTTGAGTAGGAATGCTCCCCATACCCTACTCATTGTCATCTGCCAGGCCTAGATTTCTACTATAGATCACATGGAGAGTGACAGGGAAGCAACTAAGGGTAGAGCAGGACTGCTTATTTATAAGTTGAAAAATTGTGAGCTGGGTAATTCCTTTTTAAACACACACATTTATTTAAGTTACATTTTTTGACTCTTCTGTTTTATAAACATATAATTCAAAGTGATAGGAACTCTTAAATGGCAGATCATATCTCAGACTCATGAAAGTAACTAGGAAATAATAAATATGTAATTGAATGCCTAATCTTTTATGGAGATTCGGGTTAAAACGTGAATAGGACTTAATTAAAAAATTATGCAAGCCTACATACTGAGTTAGCTTAGACTGTTTTCTTTCAACTATTTTATTGGTATAAAATCATAATTAACATTATTCAAACTATTATATTTATAACTCATATGAATAGGCAAGTCATTATTGCAATTAAGGAACTTGAAGACTTTTATATTAAACAAATTTTATAATGTCATTAAAACCAAGAAGTGAATCTGAAAATGTCTCATATGTTTGAGAGGAAGCAATATTTTGATCCAACAAGGAAAAACTTTCAACTCAAAAGCAGGCTGAATAAGTGAATGTAGGGGAGAGAGGAGATTGACTCCCATATGGTTAATGGTCAGTGTGACATCACTGCAGGAAACATGATTGGTGAATAAGGATTAAGGCTAAATGACACAATCAAGCTGACATAGGCTAGGGCCAGAATTTGAAAGCCTTGTGTTATATCTGAGTTTCAGTGCATGGTTCTGATCGATGTAAAAAGGGACAGTATTAATTCCTATTATTTCACGAGTAAAATTTAAAAAGCTGATCACCAAACCTTCCTATATAGAATACACTTCAGTGCTTTTAGTGAGATCTTATGAATCACACTATAATGAAATTATTGAGCAATTTTCTCTTTGGTAGTTCTTGGACACTGACGTTCAAGTTCATTTTGTTGACTGAATTTAAAAAATATGGTTCTAATATTTTCTTTATAGACATAAAGTATAACTATTTAATGTGTACTACTTGCTATGTTCATTACATTTATTGAATCATAGCATGTGTCATGACTATTTCCAACCCTCTTTTAACTATTTTAAATAATTTTTAACAGCCTTAAATAATCTATTATATGCCAATACATAAATAATAACATTTCAAGTTAAAAAATACTATTGCTTAAATCGTTTGAACTGAACTAATTCTATAATTGCATAAATAATATGTATAAATTGGGGTTCTCAGTGACAGAATCAAATTGGTTGATTTAAACAGAAAATGAAATTGTAAAGACATTGAACAGCTTGCAGAGTCATCAGGGAGCTTGGAAATGAAGAGTAACAGACTGAACTACAACCAAAAGCATGACACAGAACTGGCCTTACAAAGATACCTCTGCCACTGTACACTGGGTGATGTAGCTTGACCCATTGATATCACCCATGGGACACCATGTCTTGTGACTTGTACCATCACTACTTTTACCCCTGGAAACTAGAACTTTCAGTCACTGCTACCAGCTCTAAAATGAAATCTTCACCATCCCTGTTCCTTTGCATCCTTGCTCCTTTGACTTAGAATCCTGGTAGCTCTAAGTGGTTGAACAGAGGACACACATCTATGCTTAGATAAGGTACACAGGCTGGCTGCATTGTTAGACATTTGAGAATCTGATATTTTCTGTTTCGTTGTGATAATCAGTGTATAACTTGCACAAAGACTCTCAAGATAGGGTTTTCTTCCAATATAGGAAGGGTTTTAGATGTTAGGAAGAAAAAAAAAGGCAAAGCAAATATCCCTTTAGCCCCCACTGACATTCTCAAATGTCAATTTAGGGTTTGCAATGTCACAATGCCAGCTGGACCCTTCCTTTCCAGTGTCATAGGGGGTTCCATCACACTAGCCAATGCAGTGTCCTATATCCCAGGGAACAGGTGGACTAGCACACCAGGAAGTCTTCCCCCAGGACAAAAGGAGCCATAATGCATAATCCCCAGAGCCTGGGAGCTACCTTCCTGGGGCTGCTGCTACTGACAGCAACCCCAGCCACTCTAGAGACAGGACGGACAAGCACCTGAGCATGCTTTCAGGCATCCTGAAGACCGATCCACTCACACACATTGTTTGGGAGCGTAAGGACAGGCCTGCCTAGCCCACCACTGCCAGTGCCTACACATGTTGTTTGAAGGCTTGAGGATCAGTCCATACCACCTACAACCAGTGGTGCTCATGCATGCTGTGTGGGAGCCTGAGGATCGGCCGGCCCTGCCCACTGCCACTGCCACTGCTGGCATCCATGTGTGCCATCTAGGGGCCTGAGGATCAGCTTGCTTCTGCTGATACCTATATGCACTTCCCAGGAGCCTGAGGACTGGACTGCCTGGTGTTCCAGTTTCCAGCAGAGCCTCACTAAAGCCAACACTAACAAGTGTAGCCTAAGCCACTGAGGAACTCAGAGACACTGCTGATGTTGACTACAGTTGAAGAAATCATATGGAGACTACACTACTGCATCCACTCATAATCAAAACCAAAGCACACTACACAACCAATGCTATAGATACTTTTACAGGAAAAAAGTCTTTCGCTATAAAAACCAATCCATAAATTTGGAATAAGTGACTGTTATATCAGGTGTGCAGATAACAATGTAAAGACACACACACACACACACACACACACACAAACCATAAAAAGCAAGGGAATATGACTTTCTAAAGGAAAATAATAGTCCTGTAATAATAGATCCTAAGTAAAGGAAAACTATGAAATGCCTAAGAAATTCAAAATAATGATCTTAAGGAAACTCAGTGAGATATAAAAGATAAACCATACAAGGAAATCAGAAAAACAATTCATGATATGAATGAGAAATTCAACAAAGAGATAGATATCATTAAAAAAAAAAGCCAAACAGAAATCCTGGAAATGAAGAATTCAATGAAAGGAAAAAAAAATACAAGGGAGAGCTTCAACAATAGACTAGATCAAGCAGAAAAAAGAATTTCTGAACTTGAAGACAGGTCTGAAGTAACCCAGTCAGACAAAACAACAACAACAGAATAAAAAAGAATGAAGAAAGCCTATGTTACATGTAGGACACCAAAAGGTGGACAAATATTTAATTTTGGGAGTTTCAGAAGGAGAGGAGATGGGGAAACATGTAGAAAATCTATTTAATAATATAATAACTGAAAACTTCCCAAATCTTCAGAGAGATATAGACATCTAGATACAGGAAGCTCAAAGATCCCCAAATAGATTTAATCCCAAAAGGTCTTCTCCAAGGCACATTATAGTCAAACTATCAAAACTCAAAGAAGAATTCTAAGGACTGCAAGAGAAAAGCGTCAAGTCACACATAAGGGAATTCTCATCAGACCAGCAGCATATTTCTCAGTATATATCTTATAGGCCAGGAGGAAATGAGTTGATATATTCAAAGTGCTGAAAGAAAAAAAAACACCCTGCTAGTTAAGAAGAATACTATAACCAGTACAGCTATCTTTTTTTCAGAAAATGAGGAGAAGTAAAGTCTTTATAAGAAAAGCAAAAACTGAGGGAATTAATCACTGTTAGAGGGGATCTACAAAAAAAGCTTATGGGAGTCCTACATCTGGAAGCAAATAAATGCTATCTGACATCATGAAAACACATGAGAATATAAAAGTTACTGGTAGAGCACATACACAAATGAGAGAGAGAAACAAATCAAGTTATCATTACAGAAAACCACCAAATCATAAAAGTAAACAATAAAAGAGGAAGAAAGGAACAAAAGATATACAAAATAATCAGAAAACAACATAATGACAGGAGCAAGTCCTCACCTATTGATAACAATCTTGATTATAAATGGTTTAAATTCCCCAATTAAAAGATACAGACTGGCTGAATAGATGGAAAAAAACCAAGACTGAACTATATGATACCTACAAGAAACTCACTTCGCCTGTGAAGACACACATACACTGAAAGCGAAGGGAAGGAAAAGAATATTCCATGCAAATGGAAGACAAAGCATGCAGGAGTAGCTATACTTATGTCGGACAAATTAGATTCTACATAAAAAACAACAACAATGAAAAGACAAAGATCATTATATAATGATAAAAGGATCAATTCAGCAAGAGCATATATCAATTGTAAATATATGTGCGCTCAATATAGGAGCACACAGATAGGTAAAGCAAAGATTATTAGCACTAAAGAGAGATTAAACTCCAATACAATTACAGTTAGGAACTTCAATATCCCATTTTCAACTTTGGAGAAATCATCCAGATAGAAAATCAACAAAGAAACATCAGACTTAATCTGCATTATAGACCAAATGGACTTAACAGGCATTTACAGAACATTTCATCTAACAGTTACAAAATACACATTCTTCTCATCAGCACATGGAACATTCTCCAGGATAGACTATATATTAGGCCACAAAACAAGTCTCAGAAATTAAAACAAAGTCAATATCATATCAAGTTGCTACTCAGATAAAAATAGAATAAAACTAGAAATGAATAACAAGAGGAACTTTGAAAATGTACAGTTTTCAAATATATGGAAATTAAACACCATGCTTCTTAATAATAATTGGGTCTATGAAGACATTAAGAAGGAAATAAAAAATGATCAAAACAAATTAAAATGGAGACACAACACAACAAATCCTATGAAATACAGCAAAAGAAGTTCTAACAGGGAAATTTGTAGCAATAAATGCTGACATTACAATAGAAAGATTTCAAATAAACAACCTAAGGATGTAGAAAAGCAAGAACAAACCAAACCCAAAATTAGAAAGAAAGAAAAATAATAAATATCAGAACAGAATGAAACAAAATAGAGACTAAGAAAAGGATCAATAAAATGAAGTTTGTTTCCTGAAAAGATAAAATCAATAAACTGTTAGCTAAACTAACCAAGAAAACAAGAAAGACCCAAATAAGTAAAATTAGAAATGAAAAAGGAGCCATTACGACTGATACTACAGAAATACAAAAGATCATCAGAGACTGTTATGAAAAACCATATGCCAAAAAATTGGAAAACCTATTAAGAAATGGGTGAATTCCTGAACATATATAACCTACTAAGATTGAACTAGGAAGAAATAAAAAATCCCTGAGGTTCAGAGCTTCAGTGAGGGCCTGAAGAGCAGACAGGTGCTATGGAAGAATCTGAAATGTAGCTGTACCCCCAACCCAAACCCTACTCTTATGATCTCAATCGTGGTGATGTTAGAGTGCCTATAATGGCTTCTTATTTATTTATTTATTTATTTTTGAGATAATTTTGAACTTAAAGAAGAGTTGTCAAAATATTACAGAGTTCTGGCTGGGCACGGTGGCTCATGCCTGTAATCCCAGAACTTTGGGAGACCAAGGCAAGGTGATCACCTGAGCTCAGGAGTTTGAGAGCAGCCTGGCCAAGATGGTGAAACCTTGTCTCTACTAAAAATACAAAAATTAGCCAGGGGTGGTGGTGTGTACCTGTAATCCCAGCTACTTGGGAGGCTGAGGCAGGAGAATCACTTGAACCTGGGAGGTGGAGGTTGCAGTGAGCCAAGATTGCACCACTGCACTCCAGCCTGGGCAACAGAGCAAGACTCCATCTCAAAAGAGAAATAAATAAATACATAAATAAAATAGTACAGAGTTCTTATATAATCATCACCAAACTTTCTCTTATGTTGCATATTTTTGTTGTTTGTTTTTGAGACAGTATCTCACTCTGTTATCCAGGCTGGAGTGCAGTGGTGCAACCATGGCTCACTGCAGGCTCAACTTCCTGGGCTCAAGTGATCCTCCCATCTGAGCCTCCTGAGTAGCTAGGACCACAGGCATGTGTCACCATGCCTGGCTAAATTTTTTGTATTTTGTGTAGAGATGTAGTTTGGCCATGTTACCCTGGTTGGTCTCAAACTCCTGAGCTCAAGTGATCTACCTGCCTTGGCCTCCTAAAGTGCTGGATTACAGGTGAGAACCACCTCACCTCGTCCAAAGTCTTTTTTGTATTTATTTATTTATTTATTTTTAAAATTGAGACAGAGTCTTGCTTTTGTCTCCCAGGCTGGAGTGCAGTGGCGCTATCTTGGCTCACTGTAACCTCTACCTCGCAACCTCTGCCTCTTGGGTTCAAGTGATTTTTCATGCCTCAGTCACATGAGTAACGGGATTACAGCCCTATGCCACCATGCCTGGCTAATTTTTGTATTTTCAGTAGAGACAGGGTTTTGCCATGTTGGCCAGGCTGGCTTTTTGTATTTTAGGAAACTACATTACATTTAGAAATGTCAGGCCAGGCACAGTGGCTCACACCTGTAATCCCAGCACTTTGGGAGACCGAGGCGGGCAGATCAAGAGGTCAGGGATTTGAGACCAGCCTGGCCAACATGGTGAAACCCCGTCTCTACTAAAGATACAAAAAATTAGCCAGGCATGGTGGTGCGTGCCTGTAATCCCAGCTACTCGGGAGGCTGAGGCAGGAGAATTCCTTGAACCCAGGAGGTGGAGATTGCAGTGAGCCGAGATTGTGCCATTGCACTCCAGCCTGGGTGACAGGGTGAGACTCCATCTCAAAAAAAAAGAAAAGAAAAGAAAGGAATGTCATAATTTTTGGGGCCGGGCATGGTGGTTCACGCCTGCAATCCCAGCACTTTGGGAGGCTGAGGCGGTACTGTTGCCTGAGGTTGGGAATTCGAGTCCCTACTAAAAATACAAAAATTAGCAGGGCGTGGTAATGCACACCTGTAATCTCAGCTACTACGCGGGATGCTGAGGTGGGAGAATCGCTTGAATTTGGGAGGCAGAGGTTGCAGTGAGCCGAGATGATGCCACTGCACTCCAGCCTGGGTGACAGAACGAGAGTCCATTTCAAAAAAAAAAATCATTATTTTTTATTATTCCATATAATCTATACATAGGAACTTTATAATTTTATACATATATATATATATACACACACACACACACACACACACACACACACACACACACACAGATATTCTATAGGGAAAATGACCTTATAAATTGTATTACAATTACAGCATGGGAGTGAAGGCATGTGTGAAACTAGTAATACCATCTGAAGCATAAGTAAGTGCAGGGACTGCAGACGGGTCTCTCTGTTTTTCTTTTATTTTTATACTCTATATGTGTACATATTTATAGGCTACATGTGAATCTTTGTTACATTTATAGAATGTGTAATGATCAAATCAAGTATTTAAGGTATCAATTATCCAAGTATTTATAATTTCTGTGCGTTTAGTACATTTCAAGTCCTCTCTTCTAGCTCTTTAAAAAAATACAAAACATTGTTGTTAACTTTTAAAAAATGCGTTGTATAGTCTCACCTTACTCTACTATCAACATTATAAATTATTCCTTCTATTTAACTGTATGTTTGTATCCATTAACCCACTTCTCTTAATCCTCCCCCACTCAATCTTACCAGTTTGCGATATCTGTCTTTACCTCTATGTGATCAACTTCTTTAGCTCCCACATATGAGTGAGAATATTCAATATTTGTCTTTCTGTGTATTCCATTGTGTATGTATAGCACATTTTCTTTATCCAGTCATCTGTTGATGGACACTTAGGTTGACTTCATATCTTCTATTGTGAATAGTACTGCAATAAACATAGGAGTACATTTGTCCTTTTGATACCTTGAATTATCTTCCTTTTGAATAAATACCCAATAGTGGGATGGCTGAATTGTACGGTAGTTCTATTTTTTGATTTTTTTTTTAAGAAACTTCCATTGTGTTCTCCATAGTGGCTATATTAATTTACGTTTCCACTAACAGTGTATAAGAGTTCTTTTTTCTCCACATTCTCTTCAACATGTTATTTATTGTTTTTTTGACAATAGCCATTCTAAGTGGGGTAATAGGACATCTCATGTGATTTTGATGTGGTTTTGATTGACATTTCCCTGATGATTAGAGATGTTGAGCATTTTTTCATACACCTGTTGGCCATTTGTATGTCTCTTTTGAGAAATGTCTATTCATGTCGTTTGCCCACTTTTTAATGGCATTATTGTATTTTTTATTGTTGAGCTGTTTTTGTTGCTTGTGCTTTGGGTTTTTTACTGCTGAGTTGTTTTTGTTGCCTGTGCTTTTGAGGTTTTAGTTATAAAATCTTTGCATAGACCAATGTCTTGAAGAGTTTTTCCTATGTTTTCTTCAAGTAGTTTTATAGTTTCAGGTCTCACTTGTAAGTCTTTTACCTATTCTGAATTTATTTTTGTGTGTGGTGAGAGATAGGGGTCTAGTCTCATTCTTTGGCATACAGTCATCCAGTTTTCCCAGCACCAACTATCAAAGAGACTGTCCTTTCTTCAATGTATTTTTTTTTTTTTTTTTTTGAGATGGAGTCTCATTCTGTCATCAGGCTGGAGTGCAGTGGTGCAGTCTCGGCTCACTGCAACCTCCTCCTCCAGTAGTTCAAGTGATTCTCCTGCCTCAGCCTCCTGAATATCTGGGATTACAGGCACCTGCCACCATGCTCAGCTAGTTTTTTTTTTTGTATTTTTAGTAAAGATGGGGTTTCACCATGTTGGTCAGGCTGGTCTTCAACCCCTGACCTTGTGATCCATCCTCCTCAGCCTCCCAAAGTGCTGAGATTACAGATGTGAGCCACTGCGCCCAGCCCAATGTATTTTCTTGATGGCTTTGTTGAAGATCAGCTGGCCGTTAAGTATGCAGATTTATTTCTGGGGTTTCTATTCTGTTTCATTGGTCTATGGGTCTATTTTTATACCAGAACCATGCTGTTTTGGTTACTATACACTTGTAATATATTTTGAAGTCAGGTAGTGTGATGCCTCCAGCTTCATCCTTTTTGCTAAGAATTACTTTGGCTATTTGGGCTCATTTTCAGTTTCATAGAAATTTTAGAATTGTTTTTTCTGTTTCTATAAAAGCGACATTAATATTTTGATAGGGATTGCATTGAATATGTAGATTGCTTTGGGCAGTGTGGTCATTTTCACTGTGTTAATTTTTCCAATTCTTGAGCATGGAATTAGTCTTTCTATTTGTTTGTGTCCTCTTCAATTACTTTCATTAGTGTTTTGTAGTTTTCCTTGTAGATATCTTCTATCTAATAGGTTAAATTTATTTCTAGTTTTTTTTGTAGCTATTGTAAATGAGATTGTCTTCTTGGTTTCTTTTTCAGATATTTCAGGATTGGTGTATAGAAATGCTGCTGGTTTTTAATATGTTAATTTTGTATCTTGCAACTTTGCTGAATTTATCATTTTTGAATTTTTTTTGTAGTCTTTTAGCTTTTCTAAATGTAAGATCATGTCATCTGCAAAGGCGAACAATTTGCCTTGCTCTTTTCCAATTTGGATGCCTTTTATTTCTTTCTTTTGACTGATGCTCTGGCTAGGACTTCTAGTACTATGTTGAATATAAGTGGTTAAAATGGGCATCCTTATTTTCTTCCAGTTCTTAGAGAAAAGGCATTCAACTTTTTCCTATTTAGTAAAATGTCAGCTGGGCATTTGTTATATATGACCTTTATGATTGTGAAGTATATTTTCTACACCAAGTTTTTTGAGAGCTTTAATAATGAAGCCATGTTGAATTTTATCAAATGCTTTTTCTGCATCTATTTAAATGATCATATGGTTTTTGTTCATTCTGTTGATGTGATGTTTCATATTCATTGATATGCCTATGTTGAACCATCCTTGCACCCACAGTATAAGTCCCACTTGATTATAGTGTCTTATCTTTTTGATGTGCTGTTGGATTGAGTTTGCCAGTATTTTGTTGAGGATTTTTGAGTTTATGTTCATCAGGCATATAGACCTGTAGTTTCCCCCTTCCCCTTCCTCTTCCCTTCCCCTTCCTTTCCTTTTTCTTTTCTTTTTTTTGCCTCCCTCCCTCCCTTCCCTCCCTCCCCCCTTCCTTCCTTCCTTCCTCTCTCTCTCTCCTTCCTTCCTTTCTTTTTCTTTCTTTCGTTCTTTCATTCTTTTGTTCTTTTGTTCTTTCATTCTTTTGTTCTTTCGTTCCTTCTTTCTTTCTTCTCTCCCCCTCCCCTCTCCTCCCCTTCCCTCTTTTCTTTTCTTTTCTTTTTTTGCCTGGTTTTGGTGCCAGGGTAATGCTTGCATTGTAGAATAACTTAGGGAGAATTTCCTTCCTTTCGACTTTTTGTAAGGCTTGTTATTAGTTCTTCTGCATACATTTGGTAGAATTCAGCAGTTAATCCATCCAGTCCTCAGCTTTTTCTGTGTTGGGAGACTTCTTATTGTAAACGCACCAATCAGCGCCCTGTCAAAACAGACCACTTGGCTCTACCAGCCAGCAGGATGTAGGTGGGGCCAGATAAGAGAATAAAAGCAGGCTGCCTGAGCCAGCAGGGGGAACCCGCTCGGGTCCCCTTCCACACTGTGGAAGCTTTTTTCTTTCACTTTTTGCAATAAATCTTGCTACTGCTCACTCTTTGGGTCCACACTGCTTTTATGAGCTGTAACACTCACCGTGAAGGTCTGAAGCTTCACTCCTGAAGCCAGAGAGACCACGAGCCCACCGGGAGGAATGAACAACTCCAGATGCACCACCTTAAGAGCTGTAACACTCACCGCGAGGGTCCGTGGCTTCATTCTGGAAGTCAGTGAGACCAAGAACCCACCAATTCCGGACACATGTTGGTGACCACGAAGGGACTTTCGCCTACCGCCATGTGGTGAGACAATCGCCAAGCAGTGAGACCATTGCCTATTGCTGAGCGATGAGACCATCACCTATCACCAAGCAGTGAGTACCATCGGACCCCTTTCGATTGCTCTTCTGTCCTGTCTTTCCTTAGAATTCAGGGGCTAAATACCGGGCACCTGTCGGCCAGTGGAAAGCGACTAGCGCGGCCGCTGGACTAAAGACATGGGTGTCAGGCTTTCCAGGAAAGGGCTCTCTAACAACCCCCAACTCTTTGGAGTTGGGACCGTTGATTTGCCTAGAAACAGCTTCCTCTTTTCCTTTACTTCTGGGCTGAGCCGAGGGTTGACAGAGAGGAAAGCCATGCAGCTCTGGGGTCCCAACAACATGTTGGTTGACCCTGCGGCCATGAGCGGAACTCTCAAAGGCATGTCGCCCAAGTGAGACTCGCCCATCTATACTATCTATCCTGACCCTTGCCCCCTGGGTCCCAATGCCTGCCAGACAAACTTCCTCTCACCTCTCTTCTCTGAGGTTAGACCTGCTTCTAAAAATTGCTACCTGTCTCTAGTGCTTTTCTAGTTTCTCCTATAAGAATGATTTCTAATATAAATTCCAGGACTCTGTTACCTTCTTTAGGCACCCAGGCTCACCAATCAGAAAGACACAATTTTTGCCCAAAGCCCTGTCATAGTGGGCACTACCTGGAATTTTAGGATCCCTCCTCAGACTAATAGGCCTAACAAAAGCTATTCCTGAAGCTAGGATATGGGGAGCCTCAGAAATTGTATCCTTCCTATTCATATAAGTGAGGACAAAAGGTGTCACTCTTCCAACCCTGAAGATCCCTTCCCTCCCTCAGGGTATGGCCCTCCACTTCATTTTTGGGGCATAACATCTTTATAGGAAAGGGGTAAAATCCCAATACTAACAGGAGAATGCTTAGGACTCTAACAGGTTTTCAAGAATGCGTCGGTATGGGCCACTAAATCCGATTTTTCTTGGTCAGTCCTCCCTGTGGTCTAGGAGGACAGGCAAGGGTGCAGGTTTTCAAGGATGCATCAGTAAGGGCCACTAAATCTGACCTTCCTCGGTCCTCCATGTGGTCTGGGAGGAAAACTAATGTTTCTGCTGCTGCGTAGGTGAGTGCAGCTATTCCGATCAGCAGGGTCCAGGGACCGTTGTGGGTTCTTGGGCAGGGGTTGTTTCTGCTGCTGCGTTGGTGAGCACAACTATTCCGATCAGCAGGGTCCAGGGACCGTTGTGGATTCTTGGGCAGGGGGAGAAACAAAATAAACCAAAACCACGGGCGGTTTTGTCTTTCAGATGGGAAACACTCAGGCATCAACAGGCTCACGCTTGAAATGTATCCTAAGCCATTGGGACCAATTTGACCCACAAACCCTGAAAAAGAGGTGGCTCATTTTTTTCTGCACTACGGCTTGGCCCCAATATTCTCTCTCTGATAAGGAAAAATGGCTACCTGAGAGAAGTACAAATTACAGTACTATCCTGCAGCTTGATCTTTTCTGTAAGAGGGAAGGCAAATGGAGTGAAATACCTTATGTCCAAGCTTTCTTTTCATTGAGGGAGAATACACAACTATGCAAAGCTTGCAATTTACATCCCAGAGGAGGACCTCTCAGCTTACACCCATATCCTAGCCTCCCTGTAGCTCCCCTTCCTATTAATGATAATCCTCCTCTAATCTCCCCTGCCCAGAAGGAAATAAGCAAAGAAATCTCCAAAAGGACCACAAAACCCCCCGGGCTATCGGTTATGTCCCCTTTAAGCTGTAGGGGGAGGGGAATTTGGCCCAACTCAGGTACCTGTCCCCTTCTCCCTCTCTGATTTAAAACAGATCAAGGCAGACCTGGGGAAGTTTTCAGATGATCCTGATAGGTACATAGATGTCCTACAGGGTCTAGGGCAAACCTTTGACCTCGCTTGGAGGGATGTCATGCTACTGTTAGATCAAACCCTGGCCTTTAATGAAAAGAATGCAGCTTTAGCTGCAGCCCGAGAGTTTGGAGATACATGGTAGCTTAGTCAAGTAAATGACAGAATGACAGCTGAAGAAAGGGACAAATTCCCTACTGGTCAGCAAGCCATCCCCAGTATGGATCCTCACTGGGACCTTGACTCAGATCATGGGGACTGGAGTTGTAAACATCTGTTGACTTGTGTTCTAGAAGGACTAAGGAGAATTAGAAAAAAGCCCATTCAATGATGTCCACCATAACTCAGGGAAAGGAAGAAAATCCTTCTGCCTTCCTCAAGTGGCTATGAGAGGCCTTAAGAAAATATATTCCCCTGTCACCTGAATCACTCGAGGGTCAATTGATTCTAAAAGATAAGTTTATTACCTAATCAGCCGCAGATATCAGGAGAAAGCTCCAAAAGCAAGCCCTGAGCCTTGAACAAAATCTAGAGGCATTATTAAACCTGGCAACCTCAGTGTTCTATAATAGGGACCAAGAGGAACAGGCCCAAAAGGAAAAATGAGATCAGAGAAAGGCTGCAGCCTTAGTCATGTCCCTCAGACAAACAAATCTTGGTGGTTCAGAGAGGACAGAAAATGGAGCAGGCCAATCACTTGGTAGGGCTTATTATCAGTGTGGTTTACTAGGACACTTTAAAAAACATTGTCCAATGAGAAATAAGCTGCACCCTCGTCCATGTCCACTATGCCGAGGCAATCACTGGAAGGTGCACTGCCCCAGAGGATGAAGGTTCCCTGGGTCAGAAGCCCCAACCAGATGATCCAACAACAGGACTGAGGGTGCCTGGGGCAAGCGCCAGCTCATGTCATCACCCTCACTGAGCCCCGGGTATGTTTAACTATTGAGGGCCAGGAAATTGACTTCCTCCTGGACACTAGCGCGGCCTTCTCAGTGTTAATCTCCTGTCCTGGATGACTGTCCTCAAGGTCCATTACCATCTGAGGAATCCTGGGACAGCCTGTAACCAGGTATTTCTCCCACCTTCTCAGTTGTAATTGGGAGACTTTGCTCTTTTCACATGCCTTTCTTGTTATGCCTGAAAGTCCCACACCCTTATTAGGGAGGGATATATTAGCCAAGGCTGGAGCTATTTTCTGCATGAGTATGGGGAAAAAGTTACCCATTTGTTGTCCCCTACTTGAGGAGGAAATCAACCCTGAAGTCTGGGCATTGGAAGGAGAATCTGGAAAGGCAAAAAATGCCCGCCCAGTCCAAATCAGGTTAAAAGATCCCACAACTTTTCCTTATCAAAGGCAATATCCCTTAAGGTCTGAAGCTCATAAAGGATTACAGAATATTGTTAAACATTTGAAGGCTCAAGGCTTAGTAAGGAAATGCAGCAGTCCCTGCAACACCCCAATTCTGGGAGTACAAAAACCGAACGGTCAGTGGAGACTAGTGCAAGATCTTAGACTCATTGAGGCAGTAATTCCACTATATCCAGTTGTACCCAACCCCTATACCCTGCTCTCTCAAATACCAGAGGAAGCAGAATGGTTCATCGTTCTGGACATCAAGGATGCCTTCTTTTGTATTCCCCTGCACTCTGACTCCCAGGATCCCACAGACCACACGTCCCAACTTATGTGGACGGTCTTGCCCCAAGGGTTTAGGGATAGCCCTCATCTGTTTGGTCAGGCACTGGCCCAAGATCTAAGCTACTTCTCAAGTCCAGGCACTCTGGTCCTTCAATATGTGGATGATTTACTTCTGGCTACCAGTTCAGAAGCCTCGTGCCAGCAGGCTATTCTAGATCTGTTGAACTTTCTAGCTAATCAAGGGTACAAGTTGTCTAGGTCGAAGGCCCAGCTTTGCCTACAGCAGGTTAAATATCTAGGTCTAATCTTAGCCAGAGGGACCAGGGCCCTCAGCAAGGAATGAATACAGCCTTTACTGGCTTATCCTTGCCCTAAGACATTAAAACAGTTGAAGGGGTTCCTTGGAATTACCGGCTTTTGCCAACTATGGATCCCTGGATGCAGCGAGATAGCCAGGCTCCTCTATACTCCAATCAAGGAAACCCAGAGGGCAAATACTCATCTAGTAGAATGGGAACCAGAGGCAGAAACAGCCTTCAAAACCTTAAAGCAGGTCCTAGTACAAGCTCCAGCTTTAAGCCTTCCTACAGGACAGAACTTCTCTTTATACGTCACAGAGAGAGCCAGGATAGCTCTTGGAGTCCTTACTCAGACTCGTGGGACAACCCCACAACC
Source organism: Homo sapiens (assembly GCF_000001405.40). NCBI lineage: Eukaryota > Metazoa > Chordata > Mammalia > Primates > Hominidae > Homo > Homo sapiens. Next base: position 63,328,627 of record NC_000006.12, on the reverse strand, counting down.
AGTGGCATACCTAAGTAAGGAAATTGATGTAGTAGCAAAAGGCTGGCCTCACTGTTTAAGGGTAGTTGCAGCAGTGGCCATCTTAGTGTCAGAGGCTATCAAAATAATACAAGGAAAGGATCTCACTGTCTGGAGTACTCATGATGTAAATGGCACACTAGGTGCCAAAGGAAGTTTATGGCTATCAGACAACAACCTACTTAGATACCAGGCACTACTCCTTGAGGGACCAGTGCTTGAAATATGCATGTGCGTGGCCCTCAACCCTGCCCCTTTTCTCCCAGAGGATGGGGAACCAATCGAGCATGACTGCCAACAAATTATAGTCCAGACTTATGCCGCCCAAGATGATCTCTTAGAAGTCCCCTTAACTAATCCTGACCTTAACCTATATACCAATGGAAGTTCATTTGTGGAAAATGGGATATGAAGGGCAGGTTATGCCATAGTTATTGATGTAATCATACTTGAAAGCAAGCCTCTTCCCCCAGGGACCAGTGCCCAGTTAGCAGAACTAGTGGCACTTACCCGAGCCTTAGAACTGGGAAAGGGAAAAAGAATAAATGTGTATACAGATAGCAAGTATGCTTATCTAATCCTACATGCCCATGCTGCGATATGGAAAGAATGGGAGTTCCTAACCTCTGGGAACCCCCACTGGATGCCACAGGGAAGTTATGGAGTTACTGCACACGGTGCAGGAACACAAAGAGGTGGGAGTCTTACACTACCAAAGCCATCAAAATGGGAAGGAGAGGGGAGAACAGCAGCATAAGCGGCTGGCAGAGGTAGGGAAAGACCAGCAAGAAGGAAAGAGAGAAAGAGAAAGAGAAAGAGACAGAGAGAGGAAAAGATAAAGGAGAAGTTGAAGAGAAAGAAAGAGAGATGGAAGTAGTAAAGAAAAAACAGTGTACCCTATTCCTTTAAAAGCCAGGGTAAATGTCCATCTACCCAGCCAAGGCATATCCTACTTATGTGGATCTTCAACCCATATCTGCCTCTCAGACAGTTTGCAAGAAATAATGAAATCTATCCTTACTTTACAATCCCAAATAGACTCTTTGGCAGCAGCGACTCTCCAATACTGCCGAGGCCTAGACCTCCTCACTGCTGAGAAAGGAGGACTCTGCACCTTCTTAGGGGAAGAGTGTTGTTTCTACACTAACCAGTCTGGGATAGCATGAGATGCCGCCCAGCGTTTACAGGAAAAGGCTTCCGAAATCAGACAACACCTTTCAAATTCTTATACCAACCTCTGGAGTTGGGCAACATGGCTTCTCCCCTTTCTAGGTCCCATGGCAGCCATCTTGCTGTTACTTACCTTTGGGGCCTGTATTTTTAACCTTCTTGTCAAATTTGTTTCCTCTAGAATCGAGGCCATCAAGCTACAGATGGTTTTACAAATGGAACCCCAAATGAGTTCAACTAACAACTTCTACTGAGGACCCCTGGACCGACCCACTGGCACTTTACCTGGTCTAGAGAGTTCCCCTCTGAAGGACACTACAACTGCAGGGCCCCTTCTTCACCCCTATCCAGCAGGAAGTAGCTAGAGTGGTCATCAGCCAAATTGCCAACAGCAGTTAGGGTGTCCTGTTTAGAGGGGGGATTGAGAGGTGACAGCGTGCTGGCAGTCCTCACAGCCCTCGCTCGCTCTCGGCGCCTCCTCTGCCTGGGCTCCCACTTTGGTGGCACTTGAGGAGCCCTTTGGCCCACCGCTGCACTATGGGAGCCCCTTTCTGGGCTGGCCAAGGCCAGAGCCCGCTCCCTCAGCTTGCAGGGAGGTGTGGAGGGAGAGGCGTGAGTTGGAACTGGGGCTGCGCACGGCACTTGCGGGCCAGCTGGAGTTCTGGGTGGGCGTGGGCTTGGCAGGCCCTGCACTCAAAGCAGCCGGCAGGCGCTGCTGGCCCTGGGCAATGAGGGGCTTAGCACCCAGGCCAGCAGCTGCAGAGGGTGTACTGGGTCCCCTAGCAGTGCCAGCACACCAGCGCTGTGCTCGATTTCTTGCTGGGCCTTAGCTGCCTTCCTGTGGGGCCTGAGGGCTCAGGACCTGCAGCCCGCCATGCCTGAGCCTCCCACCTCCTCCGTGGGCTCCTGTGCGGCCCAAGCCTCCTCAACAAGCGCCACCCCCTGCTCCACAGTGCCCAGTCCCATCGACCACCCAAGGGCTGAGGAGTGCAGGTGCATGGCACGGGACTGGCAGGCAGCTCCATCTGCAGCCCTGGTGCAGAATCCACTGGGTGAAGCCAGCTGGGCTTCTGAGTCTGGTGGGGATGTGGAGAACCTTTATGTCTAGCTCAGGGATTGTAAATATACCAATCGGCACTCTGTATCTAGCTCAAGGTTTGTAAACACACCAATCAGCACCTTGTATCTAGCTCAGGGATTGTAAATATACCAGTCGGCACTGTATCTAGCTCAAGGTTTGTAACACACCAATCAGCACCTTGTGTCTAGCTCAGGGTTTGTGAACGCACCAATCGACACTCTGTATCTAGCTACTCTGGTGGGGCCTTGGAGAACCTTTGTGTGGACACTCTGTATCTAGCTAATCTGGTGGGGACGTGGAGAACCTTTGTGTCGAGCTCAGGGATTGTAGGGATTGTAAACCCACCAATCAGTGCCCTGTCAAAACAGACCACTCGGCTCTACCAATCAGCGGGATGTGGGTGGGGCCAGATAAGAGAATAAAAGCAGGCTGCCCAAGCCAGCAGTGGCAACCCACTCGGGTCCCCTTCCACACTGTGGAAGCTTTGTTCTTTCGCTCTTTGCAATAAATCTTGCTACTGCTCACTCTTTGGGTCCACACTGCTTTTATGAGCTGTAAAACTCACCGCAAAGGTCTGAAGCTTCACTCCTGAAGCCAGCGAGACCACGAACCCACCAGAAGGAAGAAACTCCGAACACATCTGAACATCAGAAGGAACAAACTCCAGATGCGCCACCTTAAAAGCTGTAACACTCACCGTGAGGGTCTGCGGCTTCATTTTTGAAGTCAGTGAGACCCAGAACCCACCAATTCCGGACACATTATTACTGATTCTACCTTGCTACTCATTATTGGTTTGTTCAGGTTTTCTATTTATTCCTTATTCAATCTTGGTAGGTTCTATGTTTCTAGGAATTTCTCCTTTTCCTCTAGATTTTCCAGTTTGTTAGTGTATAATTGTTTATAACAGTCTCTGATGATCTTTTGTATTTCTGTGATATCAGTTATGTCTCCTTTTCCATTTCTAATTTTGCTTATTTGGATCTTCTCTCTTCCTGGTTAGTCTAGCTAGGGATTTATTAATGTTGTTTATCTTTTCAAAGAACCAATGTGTTTGGTTGAACCTTTGTATTATTTTATTAGTTTCTATCTCATTGAGTTCTGCTCTGATATTTATTATTTCTTTCCTTGCACTAGTTTTGGGTTTGGTTTGTTCTTTTTGTTTGTTTGTTTTGTGTTTTTTAATCAAGTTCCTTAAGGTGCATCATTAGATTATATATTTGAAAATTTTCTCCTTTTTTTTTTTTTTTTTTTTGAGACAGAGTTTCACTCAGTCTTCTAGGCTGGAGTGCAGTGGTGTGATCTCAGCTCACTGCAACCTCTGCCTCCCAGGTTCAAGAGATCCTCCTGCCTGAGTCCCCTGAGTAGCTGGAACTATAGGCGCTCAACCACGCCCAGCTAATTTTTGTGTTTTTAGTAGGGACGGGGTTTCACCATGTTGGCCAGGATAGTCTTGATCTCCTGAATTTGTGATGTGACCGCCTCGGCCTCCCAGAGTGCTGGGATTACAGGCATGAGCCACCATGTGCAGCCTCCTGTTTTTTTTTTTTATGTAGGTGTTTATTGCTATCAACTTCCCTCTTAGCAGAGCTTTTGCTGTACCCCACACATTTTGGTATGTAGTTTTTCTATTTTCATTTGTTTCCAAAAAATTTTTTTTTATTTTCTTCTCAATTTCTTCATTGACCCAGTGACCATTCAGGAGCATGTTGTTTAATTTGCATGTATTTGTAGAGTTTCCAAAGTTCCTCTTGATGTTGATTTTTAGTTTTATTTAATTGGAGTCTGATAAAACACTTGATATAATTTTAATTTTTAAAAGTTTGTTTAGACTTGTTTTGTGTCCTAACATATAGTCTGTCCTGGAGAATATTCCATGTGCTCATGAAGACAATGTGTATTCTCAGTTGTTTTATAAAATTCATTTAATATCTTACACAATCACAGAACAGAGTTAAGAGAAACCTGAGATCATCTTGCCCTAAACCACATTTTGCACAAAAGGAAACTGTTATCAAGAAAACTATGTGATATGTCTTTAAAAAACAGTGTTTCCTATAGAACTCAAGTCTTTAATCTGCTGGTTGTTTCACTACAGCAGCAGTTCTGAAAGTATGGTTCAGGGACCCCTAGGGATTCCAAGAACCTTTGAGGAGACTGTGAGGTCAAAATTATTTTCACAGTAATGGTAAGACTCTATTTGCCTTTTCATTCTCATCTAGCATTAGTGTATAGTGAAGTTTTCCAGAGGTTGCATGACATGGGCTGTATCAAAAGAATAAATGCAAGCCGGAAGCGGTGGCTCACGCCTGTCATCCAGCACTTTGGGAGGCTGAGGCAGGTGGATCACCTGAGGTCAGGAGTTCCAGACCAGCCTGGCCAACATGGCGAAACCCTGTCTCTACTAAAAATACTAAAAGTTATCCAGGTGTGGTGGCGGGTGCCTGTAATCCCAGCTATCTGGGAGGCTGAGGCAGGAGAATTGCTTGAACCCGGGAGGCGGAGGTTGCAGTGAGCCCAGATCGCACCACTGCACTCCAGTCTGGGTGACAGAGCAGACTGTGTTTCAAAAAAAAAAAAAAAAAGAATGCAAAAACATACGAGATTCCAGTGGTTTTTCTCTTAAGCTAGACATTAGAGCAATTTGTGAAAATAAGAAATCAATTTTCTATAAAAAATGCTATTTATGTTAATATGTACAATGCCCATTATTATTATATTTTTAAATATGCTAATATTGATTAACATAACCTGTGTGTGTGTGTGTGTGTGTGTGTGTGTGTGTGTGTGTGTGTGTGTATATGAGGTTTTGGTGCTCTCAAGAATTTGTAGATATTATCACAATAAGTAGAATGATGCCATTAAAAGAAGGAAACAAGGACAACACCAGCTACCAATTTTTTAAAATTAATGGTGTTATAAAAATGTCTTCTGTGAATAGACAGTAGAGACTCAAAAGGGTGGAGTGGGATGAGTGATGAGAAATTACTTAACAGGTACAATGTATACTATTCCGGTGATGGCTACACTAAAAGCCAAGACTTCACCACTATGCACTATATTCATGTAACAAAACTGCACCTGGACTCCATAAATCTTACAAATAAAAAGAAATGTATTCTGTGGCACTCTCCTTCTAAAAATAGCTTGGGCTGTTTTGGAATAATTTTTAACTTATTATATGTGATTGCAAGCTCCTTATGTGCCTTGGAATTCAGAATTTCATGCTTCCACTTTCACAACTGACTTCATTTAACTTTATGAAGCTTGTGCTAAATATATAAATGCTTAAGGATATGTGAAAATCATTGAAAATGCTAAATTAAAATGATTTTAAACTAGTTTTAAATTGTATCAACTTTACAAAATAATTTTTTTCAGGGAGTTACGCTGTTTTCTACTCATTGCTTACTTAGGTTTATCGAAGGGGCAGATGAGAGGAGAAATTCCCTTTCTGAAACAAATGAAAAGGACACACAAAAATATTCTTCAGTTTCCCTGCCAATGTGTGTTTCCGCTCAGCCCTGAATTCACTGATTTTCTACCTGTCCTCACTCCAATATTTTTTAATCATCGGTTTTAAATCTTAATTCTGTAAACAGATCTACCATTTTCTTAGAAAATGAGGTATTTCTGGGAAGAACTGAAAAGAAATGGGGACTGGATTCATGAAAGGAACTTTTGGGGGCCTTTGTGAACAGGAGTTCTAGAACCACTAGGGAAGCTCAAATATTACTCCTTATAATTTTTGTATGATGTTATCTTCAATAAAGGGTGTCAATGTAGTCTTCCTGTTAGGTATGTCATAATTAGATGCATATAAAGGAGGAACAAACCCATGCAGCTTCTAGAACAACAACAAATCGGGAGAAAGGTAGGGTGGAAGTATCCTTCTGTCGTGGTTGTTATGTTCTTATGCTGACCTGAAACCATATTTTTGTGATTCATGAAGGTCATAAGAAAGATTATTTCCTTCACTGAACTTGGCTATTATTCTCACAAGTCAGTTATTCCCTTGGTCTCATTGGGCATGTTTTCACCCTATTTCCTTATCAGTTAGTGCTGGGAAGACAAGAACTTTGTATTTTATACACTGTACTGTAACATATAATATATGTAAACATGAAACAAAAACAGATTCATTGTGATTTCATTTTCTCCCACAGTGAAAGAATAGATTTAATCCTTTACCTAATTTGCATCCTTTGCTCTTCCAATCCTGTTCAATAATTCATCAGAAGGCAGTAACTTAGTGGTAAACAACATATTGTTTCCCCTTGTTGGTACTTAGTAAGCTTTAGCTTCTGCAATCTGTTCTCATGAAATGAATCCCATAATTCCTTTAATCATTTTAGTTACTCTTCTCTGGATCCATTCAATTAGATTACAACTTTTTGGCAGGAGAAGTACTTGAGTTGAACGGTCTTTCCATATGTTGTCTCAGAAGAGTGGTAAGAGAAAGACTTGTATCATTTACATTCATGGCTCAATGACTATATTCATTTTGACTAAGATAGCTTTCTGGATATAGTACAGATTGAACAAATGCTTGTGAATGAAAGTGTTTAATATGGACTTATTGACCATTTATTATTTTTCTAATCTATTTGTTAAGCCCTTTACTGACATTTGGTTTTTCCTTTGGAAAAACTGATTCTAAATAATGGTAATACTTTTAAAATATGTATCATGCTAATACCATAAATTAGGTTATACACCATATGTCCAACCAAGCTTTAGAACACTTTTTACAAAAATGGGCAAATCAAGGTTCAGGAAAGGATATTATAAAAAAATCATGGATACACATTGAGAAGAAGAGATTGTCAAAATAAGGTAAGGAAAAGAAGATGAAATGAATCAAATTGCATATTCAATAACAATAAAACTCCCAGGAGAAAATTTGGGTAAGTAGTACTATAAAGGAATGATTTTTTTAAAACATGTCCCAATATGTAACTGAACATGTAAACCAGCTTGGAGTTCTTTTCTTTGATATAGGAAAGGGAACATTTCTGAAACAAAAACGAAATTTTTCACAAAACATTTTTTTCCATAGCTCAATGGCACCTGTTTTGCATGGAGACAAGCACATGCAAGAAAAAGTTGTAAAAGTGGAAGCAAATGTGGTCTCAGAAGAGGATTGAGAAAAACTTAGGTAAGGCTCTGGTACAAGACATTGTGGGAATTAAACACCCTACTAGAGATCTGGGGGAAAGCACCAAGAGCAAGTCAAATACTAGGATAGGAGATAGAATCCCTTTTCTTGGGGAGGTTCAAGAGTCCAAAACAGCCATATTCAGGATGCAGTTTCAGGCTGGCATCAGCATCAGAACTAGGTCCAAATTCAAGATCTGGTTGTAGATCAGGCTACACAGAGCAGAAGCTTTAGAGTCAGTCATGGAACAAGTACCAATGGAATGGAAATAGGAATAGTTAATCACTGTCTTTAGGAAATGGGGCTTTTGAAATGGGCCAAGAGAGTCAGGCAGGATTGAGTGGTTGTAAGTATTGGCTTGGTCTTCCTCAGGCCCAGAAGACCAGGAAGAAGTGATTAGCCATGGAGACTATACACTTCCACATGGAAAATGCTTAGAGAGAATTTGGTTTGGTTCAGAAGAAACTGCATATCCTCCTTCATCAACAATACTTGAAGTTGAGTTGATAGCAGCAGAAGTGTGATTTCAAACCCCCTTTACTAGTGAAGAGAAAGCATTCCCTATTTCCTCTACTGAGTTAGGATTGTTTATGGGACCATATGGGGCAGCCTGTAGATGATTCTGTGTTCATTGTGCACAGTGGGGATGGTCTGGGATTTGTCACAGACTGACATCGGAGAATTGGAAAAGCTAAAGAAAGATATTTCAGTTTTATAATGAAGGTCCAGAATTAATTTGGAGGCCAGAGGGACCTAGAAAAGAAAATAAAAATGAGAATTACAAATGAGTGGATCTTTGCCATTGGTAAAAATCTGGGTCACTTATAGCTGTATTTTTCCATCTGTGCTTTTGTCTGTGGGCTTTGATAGCATAGTCGTCTAATAAGTGTTTCATCATCTGAATCTGACAATAGATATCATTCCAGAATACAATTGTTATGTAACAAAAATTCTGTATGTTGGAGAAAAAAATCAACCAACACAATTTTAAGCTTTGTATGTCTTTTGTTTGCAGGGAGTCAGGCGTAAACAAGCATTTGTCATTCGATTCTTCTAGTGCATTTCCAGCATACTGTGCCTTGGGCATGACACATCAGAATCTGATGTTTATCTTTTATTACCTGCCAGACCCCTCTGGAAAAGCCTCTATGGAATTCATCATCTGCAGTCTTTGTTGTAGGTACACATATAAATACATGTTGAATGCATTTGTTGAGGATATTGTGGTTTCTAACGCTGAACTTAAAAAGTGTTGAGATGAATAATGAAGAGGACCTTCTGCAGGAGGTATGAAGCTAATCATTAAAATGTTTTTAACCAAAATATTGACAGTAAATCTTTTTAAAAAATGTCAATTATTTGAATGCCAGTAAGAATAAGGGCAGCATAATTATACTTGTTATATGTCCACTCAGGAGAAGTTTATGAAGAATTGCCCTTCTGTACTACACAGTGAATTTATAAAGATAATAAAAACTAAACAATTCAAAATATTCATCTAGGAAAGCTCATTTGGTTTGAATAATCATTTAAGTTCAATAGGCACTGAGTTTCAGAAGCATAAGTATGCTATAAAAAAATTTATTTCTATTTTGGTTGTTATTGAGAGAATAATCTTTGTTTTTCTCAAAGCTTTGGCCTCTTTCTAATAAATATGCTTTGAGATTAAATGACTAAAGGTGGAAACCTGTTTTCAAATTATATTTGAAATGCACAGCATGAATAATGATAGCCACTTATAGGGTCTAGCATATATTAAAATAATCAGTTGTCAACATATAACATTTCTCCTCACTTCTTAATGTGTGTGTACCCAACCTTCACTCTTGTATTTCTGACTGACCATTCTGAAAGACTGAAGTGCAGACTTGGAGGCAAGCTGTGGTAAAATTTGGGAGGATGTGAGTTATCTTTAGTAGGTTAAGAAAATATAATGCAAGAAGCATACCTACTATGTGAAGAGTGCAGTGGAAGACCAGTGCATTATGTATGAAATAGTGGCATATAGAGAACAAACCTGGTCCCCACTTTTGCATGTAGTGGAGAAGATAGCTAACATCTAAGAATGGGTTCACTGATCTGTATAGTGAATACAAGCAGTTGTTTTGAAATAGAGTCAAGAACAAATGCACTTTCCCTAAGGGAAACTGGGCAAGGCTATGTGAAGAAGGCACTCCCTGAGGAGGAGCTGTGGCTTATCCTGTACTGTCATGTCACTGTTGTAGGCATCAAATGGTGGACATGTTTATGTGATTATAATGAATTTAGCTAAAAGTAAATTCATAGCTGCAAAGGAAGGCTTATAGAAAGAAAGTAAAGGTAATTAGCATATACATCATTAGCTTTTTGGGATTTTGATTTCTAACTATGTAACTTCTTGGACTAGTTTTACTTACTACTTCTGATCCCATGGCAGAACTCTGCTTTCTTCCCCAGCTCCCACAATTTTAGTCCAGGATTCCAGGTGATACAGCTCCCATGAAAGTCCTTAAAAGCCATGCCCTCCTCAAGACCAGTCTAGACCAAATGTTGATTGTTTACTCTTAGGAGAGCAGAAAAATGAACAATATGATTTTTAAACTGCACAATTCTCACAGCAAGAGACATTCTCTGTCTTTTGAGGAAAAGTTCCCTCAAAGTTGGAATAGAGCATTGTATTTACTAGATGTAATAAAGGTGAATCTTGGCTGGCCACTTGACCCAACTCCACTGAATAAGCTCTTTTATACTCTCCTGTATAGGTTCGCATTCTCAGGAAGTGAAAGAATATGGAAGGAGGGAGAGAGATGACATGTGACATTCCTTTTCCAGCTAACAGATGTTTGGAAAAGGACAAGACTGTGTTTCATGCTAGATGCTCTGGTAATGTGAGCAAGAGCAGCATGAAGTTAACTACAAAACACAGCAGCTGAACAAAAGCTCAGTGGATTCCGAAGGGCAGATTGTGTATATGGAGAAAATCCCTCAGAATACTTACTTCCCCAGTCTGAAGAAATTCTTTGTCAGAATATTCAGTAAAATGAACAGTTATTAATCTTAGGTTTGGTACTCCCCTAAAGAATATTTTACTGAGATTCTCTATTTAAAACAATGCTGTAAAGTCATGCATTCAGCTACATTCTTAGCAGTGGCAGACAAAAAATAGATTGAAAACACATTCTTACTTCTTAAAGTAGATCCTATGGGTGTATGAAATTGTGAAATTGAGTGAAAGAGTGGCATATCATAACAATTAAAATCTGTTTATCAAGAACCTTGTGTGTGGTGCTGAGCTGGGTAATATGTCAAGTGAGTAAGATCTGTTCCCCACCCTGCAGATATTTATAACTCAATACAGAGAACACTGACACAGGTAGACACAGTTCTGACGTTTCCATATCACAGAAGGAATGAATGCCATCTGGGGTGAAGTCAGAGACTCATCCTGCTCTGCAGCCTGTATCTGTTGGGGGCATGAAGTGCAGCCCCATGGGAGGCTCTACCTGACCTTCTAGAGGCTTGCTTCAAGAGGCTAGAGATTTACCTACCCCAGCTTTCCCTGCTTTATGCTATTGTCTGTGTGACTCTAGAGACCTCCTGATTCTTGTTTTGTATTTTCCATTTGTTTTGTCTCTGAGAATTCAGAAGATTTGTCTTCTGAAGATTTCAAGGTTTATAGTTCATTTTATAATTATTTACCTCAAACTTACCTACTTCCAGTGTATCAACTAGCTCTCCATTTAAGAATTCTCAGTGGAGAGACAAGACAAAAATTAGATTTGAGTTTCAAGGGCAGTGGATTAAGCTCGCACTTCCTGAAATGAGAATGCCTGCATTTTAATCTTGGCTCTGCTACTTACTAGCTGTGTGACATGGGGCAAAGTATTGGACTTCTCTGTACCTCACTGGGACATTAATAGTGCCTACAGGAAGGGATTTTGTGGAGATTAAATGAGTTAATACATGTAAAGTGCTTAGAACTGTGCTTACAATATAGTGAGAACTCATTAAAAAGGAGTCATTCATTACATATACTTTATTATGTTATGTTGACCTCTAATAGCTCTCCTGTTTTCATTTTTACAGCCTTAAAGAGTTTTACATGTTTTCCTTTACATGATAGAATTTGTTTGCTTATGATAGTAATGATAACAATTATATATAATATACCTTTTTACATAAACATATATCCATCCACTTCTAGCCTATTAAGGCTTTCCTAAGGCACAATGACTAGAACTATTTTTAGCAATCAGTTACAGGCATATCATAATTTTTTTAAAGGGTAGAGCACCTTCCCCTCTCACATTTAAAGTATTTTTATATTCATATTTGCAGTATTTTTATATGCTGCAGCAGCCCATTAGCTGATATCTTCACGAACAGTTCCATAACATTCTTGGATCTTTTTTCATACTATATTACAGAGCCCATTATCATAAATATATATTATATATACATGAATATTTAAATTTTTTCTACATGTCTTTTTACCTTTGAAATATTTTTGTTGCTTTTCTGCTCACCCACAAAGCCTTCACAAATTATTTTTGTCCTGTCTACATGGATAAATATATTTTTAGCCATACGATCTTAATTTCTCTAAAAAATATGGAGAATTCTTCTTTGATTTAATTATGAACATACTAAATAAAACAAAACTTTTTGCTTCCTTTATTATTTTAGTGTTCTTTATTATTTAGCTTCATATTATCAAAATCACATGGTGTTAGACCTTTGTAAAATTATGTTTTTCCTTCTCTGAAAATGTTTGGTTAGGTATATTTTTCTTGTGTAGAACTTCTATTGTAGATTTTGCATAACTTGCCCACAGAGGTGAGATTTGTTTATGGGTTGATACACACTGTTGACTATTAGCCAATTTGTTAGAAATAAAAACGAGACTCATAGCTTTTCATATGGGAGCAGCTATATCATTTACATTCTGATACTTCTTTCACACAGAGCTCTCAGTAATGATCGTTGCTCTATCATTCTCGGTCACATATGAATGTTCCACCTAATCTGCCAACTTAGGTCTAGGTTATTATCTTGTAAAAGTGGTGAGGATTAAACAGTTAGAAAGTGAAAATTTGATTGTAGAAGTGGAAATTAACCAGGTTGACCCTGACATTTGGCTAATCTCCCCACAAATGTGCTTGGAGATGAGAAACTCAACACTTTGACAAATAACCCATTCCATTTTGGGCTTATTATATTAAGTAAAATTCTGATTCATTGCAAATTCCAAGCAATTTATCTGGATTTTCCTTCTGTGCTTTGTTTTACTTCAAAAGATAGAGATACTATTGAACTCTCACTTGAAATGTGGAGTTTTTTTTTTTTTTAAGACCTGGATTTCCTTAGTTTTCTGTATTTTGTCACATATAAAGTTTGTAAGTAGCATGAAGAGATGAAATAAGAGTTGTAAACCACACATATTTGAATTCTGCTATGTTCTAGCTATGAAGCCAGTCAAGTTGCTGCATTTATCAGATCCTCAGTTGCCTCACTGAAATATATATCTATATATTTATATAGATATATAGAGAGTGAGAGCATGCATACACACACACACACACACACACACACACACACACACAGAGAGAGAGAGAGAGAACATTTTAGCTATTCTTCAGAAAAGCAAGAGAAATAATGTTTTCTCAGTATCTTAAGTGGGGTAATCATAACCGTGGTGAAAAGGCCTGATATTGAGGGTAACTACTGTGAAAAAACCCTAAAGAAAAGGTAAAATTTATAGAGTAAAGCTACAGAGGCATTGTAGAGCAGGCTTTCACTAGCACAAGCCCATCTAAGTAAAGAAGCACAGGTCTAAGCCCTTCTAGAGAAAACTTTGAAGAAGTCCATGCCATATTTTATCTAGGAAAGCTGTTTTGACTGAATCATCCTAGTGGGTTACCATCAGGTCTTGCTGACATCCAAAGAAGTCTCATTTAGAATCTTTTATAAAGGAGAAGTCTGAGTCAAATGTCCTTTCTGGCCTTATACTTCAACATGGTAGGTCTTGGTTATAATTAATTAATTAGAAATTATTTACTCAATTACTACTTTATGCTAGGCAATATGTTAGGCACAAGGATACATCTAAATGCCACCTTCTAAGAATCTTCAGTCTTTGACATGTTCTTCTTGTCATCCTTTCCTGACTTGACTTCTTATCCCATCTGTCTTGGATTCCATATCCCATTATTTTAGCATCTTCCTTGCCCAAATCCTCAACTTATTTTTGTCATTGTCCTTCTGAGTTTGTGACCTCATGAAACCTTAAACCATGGTGTCTTCACATTTCCAGCTGAGCTTTGCTAGAGAAAATAATTACCTGTGCAGATTGGTGTCACTTTAAACTTTAAAACCTCCAATTCTTTCTGGGCCCTTGATATTTTTCTTTCTTGAGTCGGCTCTTTCTCAGTTTCCACTATAACTATGTGAAACAATTTCCATTCTCCTTAAGCCTTTAGTCTTCCATATTCCTACTCTATCTGAACACTTCTTACCCTAAAGGGAAAATTGGAAGCATCACAACCCTCCACCTTTTCTTATCCAGAATGGATAAGATAGATTAAGGTTTAAAATCAGTTTTAGATTGAAATTCTGCCATTTATTGGGTGAAAATCTTCCTGAGGCTCAGTTATCTCATCTGAAAGGCACTCATGAAATGTTAACAATTCTTTGCTTTCTGTCTTTCTCCTCCTAATAGTCCTCTTCCTCCTCATTTTTTCTCTTCCTTCCTTGTCTCAGTCAGTTTGGGCTAATATAACAAATTGCCGTAGGTTGGCTGGCTTAAATTACAAACATTTATTTCTCACAGTTCTGGAGGCTGTAAGTCCAAGTTAAAGCCTCTGGCAGATCTAGCATGTAGTGAGGCCTCACTTTCTGGCTGGTAGATGTACATATTCTTGTATCCTATATGGTGGAGAGCAGAGACAGAGGAAGTAAGCACTCTTCTATATTTTTTTCCCCATAAGGGCACTAATTGTATCTTGAAGGCTGTAGCCTCATGACCTAATCACCTCTCGAAGGCTCTACCTCCTAACATCATCGCATTAGGTGTTAGGGTTTACTGTATGGTTTGTGGGGGACACAAACATGCCGTTCTTAACTCTGCTCTTTCTTCTAACGATCTACCCCTTTTCCTTCCTCTGATAGAGGAAAATGTATTAAAGTTAATTCCTTTATTTCAATCCCAGATTCCATCTTTTCTGTCCTCCCAGGGACCTCCCTTTATTTTTTTTCTACTCTCTCCTACATCTCCTTTTTTGTTTCCTTTCATTAAGCATGTATTTATATATGTGTATATGTATGTATGCATGTATGTATGTATGTATGTATGTATTTATTTATTTATTTATTTATTTATTTATTTTTGAGACAGGGTCTCACTCTGTTGCCCAGGTTGGAGTGCAGTGGTGCAATCTTGGCTCACTGCAACCTCCACCTCCCGGATTCAAGTGATTCTTGTGCCTCAGTCTCCCGAGTAGCTGGGATTACAGGCGTGCACCACCATGTCCAGCTAATTTTTATATTTTTAGTAGAGATGGGGGTCTTGTTATGTTGGCCAGGCTGGTCTCAAACTCCTGGCCTCAAGTCATTTGCCCACCTTGGCCTCCCAAAGTGCTGAGATTACAGGTGTAAGCCACTGTGCCTGGCTGTCTTAGCATTTAAATATATGCAAGTCTTCTCTACCTAAAAGCAACGTAAACTTTTCTTGAACCTCTATGTACTCCCCTGGTAGACATATTTTCTGTCTTCTTTACTTCATACTTTTGAGTTGTATTTCATATTTTCATTTGATAATATTTCTTGTGTGCCTGCTGGGTGTAGATCCTGGGCTAAACAACTCACATTCCTTTTCAACTCACTGGATCTAGCTGCTGCTCACATGCTTCCACCGTGACTGTCCTTACCAAGGCCTCCAGTGACTTGGGTTGCAAAATACAAAGGGCAAGTATTAATAACAATCTTATTTATCATTTCAGCAGCATGGTCCATTGGTACTTCCTTTTTATGTTTACTCATTAACTATGGTGGGTTTTTAGTTCTATTTATTTATTTATTTATTTTTACTGTGCACCATTTAAATGAACATCTCAGTTCTCTTTTACATCTCTTATTTTCTCAGTCCCTGTTCTTTCCCTTAATAATTCCAACCACTGTCAAGGCTATTTTTTCCTTCCATTTTGTCTTTTACATTTTGACCCTTATGGTCAATGCTTGCTGGACACCTCCAGATGACACAATCACCTTAGATTCCATATGCCCAAAACAGAACTCATAATTTCCTTTCTCAAGTCTTTGCTTTTTGGGTTTCCTAGTCAGAAATGTGGTTGTCATTTTTCATTCCTCTGTCTCTGACACTTCCTATATCCAGCTAGTTACCAAGCTGCGAAATCCACTTCCCAAGTATGTCTGCACTATGCTCATTTCGCCCGCTTCTCCAGAGCTATTCTCCTAGTTCAGATCAATGTAATCTCTACTCCAGATTACCCAAGTGGGTATTAGAGATATAAATAGTTCCTTGTTTTATGGTATCCTGACCTAGCTGTAGTGTTTCTCAATTCTACAAGGGACACTTAAATGTATACTTGGCACTTAAGAGATCATAATGCCTGGGACTAAAGTAATTAATGCCTTTTAGTTTGGAGAAAAAAAACTTATACATGGACGAAAGCTCTACTTTAATGATACTGAAAGTTATTTAATGAAGCATTAGGTGAGATCTCCAAAGGGATACTATATAATTTACCAATTATAATGAAGACAACATAACTATGAGTTATTTGAAGGGACAGAAAGTTTAATAAGGATTCTACTTTCATTGGAGACTTAAGAACATCAATCATCCATTAAAAATAGAGCTACTATATATGATTCAGCAATCCACTACTGGATATATATCCAAAGGGTGTGGAATCAGTATGTTGAAGAGATATCTACACTCCCATGTTTATTACAGCATTATTCACAATAGCTAAGATATAGAATTGACCTAAGCATCTGGCAATAGATGAATGGATAAAGAAAAAGTGATATATATACACAATGGGATAGTATTCAGCCTTTGAAAGGAAGGAAGCCTTAAACAGGCAATAATTAGCTTAGCCCAGGCATTATGATCCCTTAAGTGCCAAATAAAATTTTCTGTCATTTGTTAAAACATGAATGGACCTAGAGGACATTATGTTAAGTGAAATAAGCCAGACACAGAAAGACACATACTTCATGATCTCACTTATATGTGATGTGTAAAAAGGTTGAACTCAGAGAAGCAGAGAGTAGAATGTGGTTAACAGAGGGTGGGTGGTGAAGGGATTGGGGAGATGTTGGTCAAAGAATAAAAAATTTTATTTAGAAAGAAGAGTAGTTTCAAGAGATCTGCTGTACCACATGGTGACTACAGTTAATAATAATATATAAGAGGACCTCAAAAAGTTCATGGAAAATGTGTATTATAAAAACTGTGCGTGGATTTTAAAATATTTTGAACCAAAGTAAATTCATGCTAATTTGTTATGACATGTCTGAACAGGATATAGTTTGAGGCATTAAGCATAGGACATCAGTTTGAATACAGCATGTATCAGAGCAGCATGAATTCTGCTAAAATCAAAGCAAGAATGAACATCAAATTTATGGTGAAGCTGGGGTGGAAGAATGGTGAAATCCTTGATGCTTTATAAAAAGTTTGTGGGGACAATGCTCCAAATAAATCAGCAGTTTGAAATGGGTGACTCTTTTTGAGAAGAGATTAAACAATGTTGAAGATGAAGGCTGAAGTGGCAGATCATCCACATCAATTTGCCCTAATTGTTCATGCCTTGATTGAAGACGGCTGGCGATTAACAGCAGAAACAATAGCCAACACCATAGACATCTCAGTTAGTTAAGTTTACACAATTCTGACTGAAAACTTAAAGTACAGCAAAGTTTCTACTTGATGTGTGCCAAAACCATTGTACCCAGATCAATTGGAGATAAGAGAAGAGCTTTCAGTGGAAATTTTAAACCGGTATGATCAAGATTCTGAAGAATTTCTTCAAAGAATTGTAACAGGAGATAAACATGGCTTTACCAGTATGATCCTGAAGATACTGCACAATTACAGCAATGGCTAGCAAGAGGTAGAAGTGGTCCAGTCAAAGCAAAAGTGGACCAGTCAAGAGCAAACGTCATGGCAATTGTGTTTTTTGAGATGCTCAAGGCATTTTGCTTGTTGACTCTCTAGAGGGCCAAAGAATGAGACCTACTTATTAGGAAAGTGTTTTGAGAAAGTTAGCCAACACTTTAGCAGAAAAATGCCCAGGAAACCTTCACTAGAGAGTTCTACTTCACCACGATGATGCTCCTGCTCATGCCTTGCATCGAACAAGGGTAATTTTGTGAGCATTTTGATGGGAGATCATAAGCATCCAGTTTACAGCACTGATTTGGCTCCTTCTGTCTTCCTTTTGTTTCCTAATCTTACAAAAATCTGTAAAGGGGATTCATTTTTCTTTAGTTAATAATGTAAAAAAGACCGCATTCATATGTTTATCTTCCAGGACCCTCATTTTTAAAGGGATGCACTAAATGGCTGCTATGATTGCTTACAAAAGTATATTAACCTTGATAGAGCTTATGTTGAGAAATAAAGTTTATATTTTATATTTTTATCTTTTAATTCCATTTCCATGAACTTTTTGACATACCTTCATATTGTATATATAAAAATTGCTGAGAGAATAGATTTTCAGTGTTTTCACCACAAAAAATGGGAGATAATATATATCCTAATAGCTTAATTTAGCCATTCCACAATGTATACATATATCAAAAGATTATATTGTATACCATAAATATATATAATTTTTACTTGTCAATTAAAATTAATAAACATTTTAAAAGGAAAGGAGATCTAGGTCACCTTTTGTAGCCCTTCTGTCCCCAAATAAGAACATTAATCATTTTGTAATGGATGGCTACATCAAACCACCCTGCAGGTTAATTTTTGGTTGTGGCCAGAAAAGTAGGTAACTGTCTTATCAGGACAGGCTAGATAATCAACAGGAGCCTAGGAAAGAAGGAAACAGTGTGACCCCAAGAAATGATAAAACTAGTTTTGTACAGATGGAGATAGGGTTTGTATGTGAAAATTCCCAGCTGTGAAGGCTGGAGAGATTGTTGAGAGCCTGGATTATGCAGAGCCTTAGAGAATACCAATTTGAGTTTTCCCTGAAGGTGAAGGGAGAATTGTGGAGGTATTTTCAGCAAAGAAATAACAAAACCAAAATTGTGTTATAGAAAAATAACATGGCAGTAGTATGAAGGATGAATAGAAGAAGGGTAACATTGGATGCACAGAGAATGGCTAGAAATTGTGGAGTTGGTCAAAGAATACAAAATTACAGTTAAATAGGAATAATAAATTCAAGACATCTAATACACAGCATTGTGGCTATAGCTAATAATATACCTTCTTGAAAATTCTAAGAAAGCAGATGTTAAGTGTTCTCATCACCAAGTGATAAGTATGTGAAATAATGCATATTTAATTAGCTAGATGTAACCATTCCATAATGTATACATACTTTAAAACATTTTGTGGTATACATACATACAATTTTATCTGTCAGTTTAAAAAATTAAAGGAAAACGCCAAAAAAACCCCACTAGACAATCTTATAAAAATGGGCAGTTTTAAAAAGACACTTCAAAAAAGAAGATATTGAAAAAAATTGTGTCAATCCAGGTGACAAAAGATGGAAAATGGAAGAGCTTTATTTTTTTCTTTTTGAGATAGAGTCTTGCTCTGTTGCCCAGGCTGGAGTGCAATGACGAGATCTCGGCTCACTGCAACCTCTGCCTCCCAAATTCAAGCAATTCTCCTGCTTCAGCCTCTGGAGTAGCTGGGATTACAGGCACCCGCTACCACACCCGGCTAATTTTTGTATTTTTACTAGAGGCGGGGTTTCACCATGTTGGCCAGGCTGGTCTCAAACTCCTGACCTCAGGTGATCTACCTGCCTCGGCCTCCAAAGTGCTGGGATTACAGACGTGAGCCACCGCGCCCGGCCAGAAGCGCTTATTTTTAAATGGTAAATCACTTGAAAAGAATTGCCACGTGTATTTAACTCTTTCTACTTTCTCGTATGCTACTTTCACATTTTTACTATTATAATGAAGGTGGCACTGAACATACATGACGTATCTTGGATTATTTTCTTAAACCAAGTTGCTAGGAGTAGGAATACAAGGTTAATAGGTACGGATATTTTTAAAGTAATTAATACAAGTTTGTGATGTAGTCTTTGAAATAACACTTCTGTAAATATTTTAAGCACATTTTCTTTCTTTTTTCTTTGAAGAACACACTTAAAGGTAACTGAAGGCACATTCTTTCCTCTTTGACATATTCTTTTAAGTTTGATAATTATCGATCCCTTTTTCCACTATTTCTAACAGAGGTTAAAACTTGATGAAATTTTGATTTGCTTGTTTGCGTTTTCATGCACCTCTCTCATTAACAAAATCAGATGTTTGGTAAATGCATTAATGCCTACACCTCGGACTATAACTATTATATAGGGGTCAAAAAAAGTTTTTTTTTTTTGTATTGACATTAAAAAGGTAACTGTTAGAGAAAATTAAAACTAAATCAATAAAATCATTGATATTTAGAACCTAAATAACTCATTATTATATTGGAAAGAAATTTATTAGGTCAAATTAGGGTCTACATTTAATGCTTGGCAGTATTCCTTTAGGTTAAGCGTTTTTTAGTTAATTTGATCAAGTCACTGAGTTGAAATGCAAAATGATAAACTTATATTAAACCATATAAACACCATTTCAAAAGAATCACCATGGTGAGAAAAACATGAATTATGAAAATGTCTTGTAATGAACTTGAATGTAAGAGGAAACATTTTTTATGGCCATTCCCATGTATGAGACAAAAAGCCATCTGACGAAACGATAGTGGAAACATTTTTGAATTGTGAAAAGCTGCTCTGGTGAAAATATCAAAAGAATGAAAATCAACCTGTTGTAGCAGAAATTTGGGATTGTCCAAATTAAGCATGAATTAAATGTATATATTTATGCCATGCAATCAAAATGAAACTGCATATCTGTACTTACGCTCATGATTCTTCCAGCCTGGTTTACCTCACTCCCTATCTTCAGCTGAAATGCGCCCTCTTCTGTTTAAGGTTAGCCTATCTGAAGACTGAAATACTCTGCCTGTGTAGTAACAGCATTACTGTAGAGTCCAAGCCAGGCTATTTGGATCACACTGCCCCACTCTAAGAATCCTCGGACTGCTTGATATGCCTTCATGATTCTGAGAGGTTCCCCTATTTTATTGTGTTTAGAATCTGGAGCTTCTTAGATAAGGGAATAGTGCCTGACCCAATGAAAGTCACCTCTAGGCTGGCCAGGGCCTGTGAGGTAATCTAGAATGAGTTATCTTTCCACCAGAAATCCTCAGTAATGCATAGTGCCCAGGCAATATTTGTGGCTGACCTCTGTTTAGTACTTACCATGCATCAGGCATTGCTTTTCCAACATAATGGTGCCACCAGGGAGAGCTGCACCACTGAGTACTTGATAAATGGTCAAATATTTCTAAACTGATTGGTAAACAGTGGCTAACAAGAGCCTCTTAATGGTCCACTCTACCCAAACTTTTCTACCTGTCCTAGTATTTCCCTGGGGCTCTTGGACCTGTCCACAGCCCATCAATTAAAGAGTTAAAGAACTAGTACCTGGCCCTACAGGCCCTCCAGGACCTTGCTACAGCTTCCTAGCACCCCAGCAATGGTTGGGAGGATATCCTGGTGACAGTGTTCATTAAGAGTGTGCCAAGTACTTGGTGCTCTGGAGCCAACTGGCTGGGTTCAAATCTGAGCTTTGTCACTTATGAGACTTGTGAGCTTGGGTTAGTTGATTAGTCTTTCTTTGACTCAATTTTTCTCATCTCTGAAATAGGATGGTAATGTATTTATCACATGGGATATTTTTCAGACTAAATAAATTAAGACAAAGCATTTAGAAGAGATCTAGCACATAATAGGCACAATATAAGTGTTGGTTATTTTTATTAGATGTACTAATGGCTAAATATTTTTACCATCACCCTTTAGTACCACACTAGATACCACTGTTGGGGAAAAGACAGGTGGTCACTGCTGATACAGTTGTGCCTCATATCTCTAGAGCTGCTGCATATTCTGAACAGCATTCCGGTAGTTTTGAGACCTAGTTGTGTGGTAGTTGAGAAAGTTTATTTCTTTACTTCTTACCTTACATTTTAAATCAATTGGCAGTATTTAACAATCATGAAATTTCAAATAAAAATCCAGATTTCTGGCATGTTTTGAAAATTTGTAAAACTGGCAACACGAGGGCCACGTTTTAATATGGCAACAATTGTCTGGACTCCTGTGTTGGCTCCTTCCTGGGAAGGGCTATCAACTACTGCGTTCGCCCTCCAGCCCATTGTGTTTTTTTGTAATCTGTCTGCTATTTGAGTTTGCTCTCCTTGAACTAGGCTAACCTGAGCATATCTCTTTCTTTACAACATGGAGGCCCTTAACTGCCACAGCAACACTTTATTGCCTCTACTAGATTGTAATATTCTTTGTGAATCATGTTTTATGTTTTGTTTATTTTTATGTCTTTGATTTTGCCTTATCCATAGTAGGTTACAACTTCACTCTTGGGACTAATGAAGGTTAAACTGGTGGTGATGTGAATTAAGATGGGTTTTGCTTTTATACAGAAAAGAGTTATAAAAATACAATTGAAAAAGAATATATAATTGAAGAAGTTGAACAAGTTTTATGAGTTACACAGATCACACTATATAATAAAAACAGAATTCCATTTAAGTCAATTATCAAGCTATGGTGATGTAGGAAGCACCTCAAATAAAATACTTAGATTTGAATTCCTATTCTTCCTCAGATATGACCTTGAACAAATTACCTAACCCCTGTGGGTTATTTCTGCTTTGGAAAAAATGTAGGTGATAATAAATATTCCCTGTATGTTGTGGGTATTAGATGAAATATAAAATATTGTCTGGATATGGCAATGCTTTTAAAATGTTAATATTTTTATAGGTATTATTTTAAAGACTTTATTTTTTTGTTGTTGAGACAGAGTCTCACTCTGTTGCCCAGGCTGGAGTGCAGTGGTGCGATCTTGGCTCACTGTAACCTCCACCTCCTGGGTTTAAGCGATTCTTATGCCTCAGCCTCCCAAGTAGCTGGGACTACAGACACCAAATTAGCCATCAAATCTGGCTAATTTTTTGTATTTTTTGTAGAGATGGAGTTTTGCCATGTTGCCCAGGCTGGTCTTGAACTCCTGGCCTCAAGTGATCCACCCACCTCAGCCTCCCAAAGTTCTGGGATTACAGGCGTGAGCCACCCCACCTGGCTGGATATTATTTAAAAGACTTTAGGCAAATTAAATTTAACAGAGTTTGATTGAGCAAAGAATGATTTGAGAATTGGGCCTCCCTGAGAACCAAAATAGGTTCAGAGCGACTCTGGAGCTGCCACATTGTTGGATAACATTTATGGACAGAACAAGAAAAGTGATGTACAGAAGACAATAATGAGTCACAGAAACAGCTGAATTAGTTACAGCTGGGAGTTTCCCTTATTTGAACATGGTTTGAACAGTTGGCTGCCTGTGATTGGCAGGCATCTGAAATTCTAATTGGTACAGGAGTAGGTTATAGTCTGTTTATAAAGTTCTAGGCCAAACTTAAGATATGTAAGGAGGTAGCTTTATGTAAACAATTCCTCCCTTTGGGTCAACCTCTTAAGATTGAGAGGTTGACTGAAACCTTAGGCATTGACGTCACTCTCACACCATTGTAAATGGACTTATTTGGTCTCAAATTCCACTGGGAAATAGCAGTACAGTGGATTTTGTAAGGTGGGAATATGGAAACAGAATGAGAGAAAAATAACCTGATTGTTTACTTTAGGTTAATTTTTTGTAAGGGTTAGAGCAGAGGGGACCTCTTTATTATGCTGGGATCTCCTGTTTTCAGAAGAAAAAAAAACTGTACTGTTTTGGAATCTATCTTCTTCCTTAAAGTTTCACTGTGATTATGTTGTATTAGCATGAGTGATTTTGTTTTGATTTGGTCTGTTCTGTTGGGGTCTAATGCAAGAGTTCAGTCCAGAACAATGGTCTTCCATAATTTTGTTTAACAATTCTCTTCTTTTGGTCAGGTTCTCACCTAGATGAGAGTGTGACCAAAACTTAGGGCTTTGGTGCTACTTCCTATTACCATTATTTTGGGTTTTCTGTCTTAGCACATTATTGATAGGTTATAGTGTCTTCACGATCAGGCATTTCTTTGAGATTTTGTCATTCCAGTCAAAGATACCATCTGACATTCTACACATGGCTGTCTGCAAACATTTAAAACTTTGGAGAGAATATAGCATACCAGGGAGAATACTATTGTGACTGTCAGAATGATAATGATAATGACTACTATAGTGACTGGCAGGAGCATACCAAGAATTTGGAGTATGCTCCTTAGCCAAGGTTCCTATTAGTTCCTATTAATCAACTAAAGTTAAATAGATCAAAGAATAAGCCAGATGAAAAGTCTACATGTTTTAATTAAGCAGCCTGTTCATTAATCTCTTGTAACTGAATCTCTACAAAACCCAGTGTATTTATTCATGTACAATAAGAAGTGTAAGCCACTGCACAGATTTCTCCCTGTTCAGCCTGTAGGTAATCTAGAGCAATTTTATTATCTAGCACAACTTTAGCAAGAGAATTTAAAGAAGTCTGCTGCACAGCCACAGGTTTTGCAGTAAAATCTGCTGTACAGACTACTGTAAGGGATACATTTCTAATCATTACCTCATTTACTC
Source organism: Homo sapiens (assembly GCF_000001405.40). Taxonomy (NCBI): domain Eukaryota; kingdom Metazoa; phylum Chordata; class Mammalia; order Primates; family Hominidae; genus Homo; species Homo sapiens. Next base: position 63,304,311 of record NC_000006.12, on the reverse strand, counting down.
CAAGCCATAGAAAAAGGGAACTAACAAATGATGCCCATCTAGAAAGGTGAAGGCCTCTTGGCAATGTTTTATTTAACCTAGGATGTACGTTAAAAGAAGTGGACTGATGTTCTGTTTCTGACTGATTATGGAGTAACAAAGGTGTCATTAAAATTCCTAGCCTACACTGGCCCTTCATCTTGCATCCATCAAGAGATAAGGTTGCTCATGTATAAGGTTGTCTGTGAAATCTAACACAAATAAAAATATACTTCACACACATAGGCCCCTTTTCCCACTGTGTTGTTCCAAGAGGCATAAGCAAGGCAAAAGTTAAGAAAGGTTAAGAATCTCACGATGGAAGAGAAGTCTTGTTCCATGATCTTGGGAAAGCTTTCTATGTCTAGGATGCCATCTGCTTCAAGGGAGAAAGTTCTCTGGTTAGCTTTACCTTAAGGTCTCTAACAAGTGTTTGGTTTCAAGAGGCTGGATGGGCCAGACTCAAGGTTCAAGGTCCCAGTATTTTACTGCAGTGTGAGTGGCAAGGGAAGTCTTTCTCTGATGGTGTTTCCAGAAGGCCCAGTCTCTAAGTTTTAGACCATGAAGGGTTTGACTGTACCCAGTCAGTGGATCATAAAAAGCTCCTTTTACCTAATGAAAATACACTTTGGCACAATGCATTGAAGCCTGCATTGTAGCATTTAGTCATATAAGAATTTAGGTGCAGAAGATACATAAGGTTCTATTATTAGAGGCCTTACAGTGACTATTTCATAAATGGTCAACTCATGTTTTGATTGGAAGAGGAACTGATTGTTATCAGTCTGCAGTACCTTTGACCAAGACAATTCAGTCCATTCAGTTAGACTTGCCTAATGCTATTATAGCTGTAACACCTTATGTTTTACAACTTGTCCAGTGAAACAAGTACCTTTATTGTTGGAGATTTCTCTAGGAATGTTCCATGAGAGAAACACATTTCTTGATAACCGTTAAGCTATTTTAGCTATTGTTATTGCATTAGCCTTCTTGCATGAGAAAGCTTGTATATAACTAGAAAACATGCATTACAAATGACAATTGAATAGAAGCCATCTGTAAATGTTCAAATGGCCCATCAAGTAGCAAAAATGTACCTGAAGTTTTTTTTGTCTTCCTAGGATTATGGATTTGACAAAGCAAAATAAACCACTTTGGCAACTTAGAATAGTCATGACACCAGTATATTTTTAAAAATATAATTTGGATGCAATCTCGGCTCACTTCAACCTCTGCCTCCTGGGTTCAAGCGATTCTCCTGCCTCAGCTTCCCGAGTAGCTGGGATTACAGGTGTTCACCACCATGCCTGAATAATTTTTGCATTTTTAGTAGAGATGGGGGTCTCACTATATTGGCCAGGCTGGACTCGAACTCCTGACCTCGAGTGATCCACCTACCTCGGCATCCCAAAGTGCTGAGATTACAGGCGAAAGCCACCATGCCTGGCTGAGTGTAGAGCTTTCAATGATGGCAGTTTTAATTACTTGAGAAGGACCAGGCAGCTCTCCAGACTCTCCATGAGTCCACACTCGACAATGAATTCATATTATCTTAAATACAAATTTCGTTTCTTCAATTTAGGTGCATAGCACTGCTTATCAAATGGGTTATTGTAGGCAATTTGACTTGAACCATGAACCTCATTCAAATTGCATATTTTAACAACATCAGTACTGGCTGATCTAGCATGGAAATCTGCTAAAGTATTTCCTTGGTATTCAATTAGTTCTTGTGCTACTTAAGTTGGCAATTTTATAAACTGGTCAACTTCTTCATTAGAGCTTTTAGTATTCCTATCCCGTCCAAATGTATATCATTCTAGAGTTATCAGAAACCTGTGTTCAAGAGTGTTTATGAGCATTCTTTCAAACCTTTCCATGAACCTCCTTGAGGACACAACATTTTAGGATTTTACTTGATTGTAATGAGCTTTAAGAAAGTTCATCAGAATTAATAAACTGTGAATAAGACTTAAAATGGTTATGGTTAAAGATGCAATTGACAAGGAAATTTGGCTCTTTCTGTATCCTATAATAATTTAACATAAATAAACATAATTATTGCTGATAACATATACTAAGACATATCAGAATATTAGGAGTCACATATAATTTTGAAATACATATTCATAATATATTCATAAAATATAACTCAGAGAATGTTAAGTACCATTTATTTTATGATGCTTTCCATTTTATTTAACATATCAAATAAGCCTATTTATTGTCTCTTTTTTGGATGCTTCAGGGACCTTTTGGAACATCCTAAAGTTAGTTTGAAGGAAAAAAGAGTTAATTTTAGAATTTGAAATTTGATTTTAGGAAGCCTATCAAATATGCCAAAGGTTTTAAACACTATCAAAATAGAATCACAGATTACGGCAAAATAATAGTAATTAATTTAGCCTAACTGATAATTAAAAGGTTTTCAAAAGCAAAAATCCTTATTCGTTGATGAAGAGGAGATTCAGTTTTCCAAATAATCAAAAGACATAATAAAGACAGCACAAAACAAAATCTGTCTCTCCTCTATTTTTCTTTGCATTTTACTCAAAAGGTGGACGAACATCTTTCACTCTTATTAATACTACAATAAATTCTTATTCAAAGGAGAAAACAGAATTTTACTTTTTTCCCCTGTGAACTCTGCAGAGAATTATGAATTTTACTTTTGTGTTAGTATATAATCAATACTACTGCTAATTTTAAGAAAACCTTATAAACAAATACATTCACCTTCAATCAGCTTTTGAACACACAAGATTTCCATAATCCTTTTTATAGCCTCTTGCATTTTTTTCTATTTTCCCCCAACCTTGAATATCCATTTAATTTTATTTATATAATTTTTTCATTTTGAAAGAACCTTTAAATAACCTCTAAACTAGACAAAATTATTTTTTCTCAACAAATACACATTTTAATTTTCTCATCAAAAACAATCTTGCTTTTCTTGTACACTTTACATATAGAATTATTTATTTTATTGTATTTATTTTTTTTAAGACAGAGTCTCATTCTGTCACCCAGGCTGAAGTGCAGTGGCGCAATCTTGGCTCACTGCAACCTCCACCTCCCAGGTTCAAGCCATTCTCCTGCCTCAGTCTCCCTACTAACTGTGGTTACAGATGTGTGCCACAATGCCTGGCTAATTTTTGCATTTTTAGTAGAGATGGGGTTTCACTGTGTTGGCCAGGCTGGTCTCCAACTCCTGACCTCAAGTGATCCTCCCAGCTTGGCCTCCCAAAGTGCTAGGATTACAGGCATGAGACATCGTGGCCAGCTAAATTATTTACTTTAGTAGTTATAATTACATATATTAACTTAAATTTTAACTCTTAGTAATTCTAACTTCCAGTGTAAAACCTAGGAAGTTAATGATTTTGAAGTGTTTTATATCAGTATCTGCAGATAAAAACCATTTCATAATTGTTTAGAAAGATGTTTCCTCAATTATTTTTAATAGATCTAAATATATTTACATTTTCAATATCATATACAAATAAGATGCTAAGGCATAAATTTATGTTAATAATTAATACTTCAATATTTTAACTTCTTAGAAATGACTCAGATATTTAATGAGTATTTATTTCTGAATTTATTCTTATTTTTTATTTTTATTTTTTGAGATAGATCTTGCTTTGTCACCCAGATTGGAGTACAGTGGCATGATCTTGGCTCACTGCAATTTTTGCCTCCCATGCTCAAGTCATTCTCCCACCTCAGCCTCCCGAGTAGCTGGGACTACAGGCACACACCACCGTGCCTAGCTAATTTTTATATATTTTGTAGAGTTGCATCTCACCATGTTGCCTAGGCTGGTCTCAAATTCCTGGGGTCAAGTGATGCTCCCACCTCAGTCTCCCAAAGTGCTTGGATTATAGGAATGAGCCATTGCTCCTTTCCCTATTTCTGAATTTAACGCAGCTTTAAGATTTTAAGTTTCTGAAAATAATTTTGAAAAAATAACGTAGGTATTCTCCCTAATGTCCTGAGTGGCACCTAGGATGGCTAGGAAGGCCAGGGCCCATCTGGGTCCCTAATTTACACACCAGGTGTAGAGTCAAGGACTGAGGACAGAGCTATGAAAAGGATGTCTGGAGGATCCAACCCCTCTCAGCATGGCCAGCAGGCAAAGCTGGAGGAGGAAGGGCAGGGCCATAGTGGGCTTGGCTGTGTCCTGCTGCTAGTGGCCCAGGTACAGTGGACATACACGTCTCCAGGCCTCACCATGACCACCTCTCCAGGCCTCAGAATTCAAAGGCTCAAAATCAAAGATATAAGCTCACAGTAAGATGTGTGAAAGGCTTCAGGGGAACCCAGTAGCCAGCCTTTTCAGTGTCAGCTTACAGACAATCAAGCACGTATCAAAATTTGACAGAAGCAGCAATTTTATGACCCTAAAACATATAGCAAAAACAGCATAAACCTTTCTGACCAGTAGACCCAGAAAAAAAAGTCTGAATTATATTTAGTATTGACAATTCTGAAGACATTCCTATTTTATTTTGCCAACAATGTAAAAACTTGCTTCATTTGACAAATATTATATAAGATCAGAAAGAAATATCTGATACACATAACACTTACAGACATATAGACAGACACGGACAAGGGCAGAAGTTAAAATTTTCAGAAAAATTTTTCATTTACTAGTTTCCAAATAGTTTTTCTTTCCCCCAATTCAGACTATCAATATTCCAATTACCTGTTTCATTGTTCTAAGCAATTGTTAGCTAGAAAACCCTAAAATTTCACTTCTAAAAGGATGACTTTTAGGTAAAACAAGGTAGAAATTTTATCTCTCAAATGCATACAGCTGAGACTTTAGACCTAAATATTGTACCATCTTTTGCTCAAATCAAGGAGGGAGGATGTGGATAAATGCCCAGTTAAGACAGGATGGATAGGAAAAGGTACTTTAGAGGAGACTTGTTACATAAATGTAAGTCAATGATAAGAGTCTCTAGTAACTTAGTCTTTCCTCTCTTCCTGCTGCACAGAGGCAGACACCCTTAAAAATGGAGGTTTCCTTTATAGATGTAAATTTCCTTTACAGATATGTTTCAAAATAGCCAGCTAAATGCCAGAAAGGTGAATTTGGAGACCAATTTAGTTCAATAGGCAGTCTTTTTAAGTTAGCCACTATTTTTTAGCTAAAATTACTGAGTTCAGGTTGGAGCCCATTAATTAATAAGGCGAGGAAATAATTCTCTATGTGTGGACTCGGTATGGATAGCTCTGAAAAAGAAAAAAGCCTACTTTACTTGAGGGCCTACCTTTCATGAACACTTTATATAATTCTCTTTTTATCTTTGGGGCAGGATAGTAACTAAGCCAAAAGATTAGCAGATTCAATTTTTCTTATCAATTAGTTGCTTAAGCTTTTTGTTTGCCTTTTGAAAGGCTTTTAAAAGAGGCAATAGAAATATTAACATTTTTAAGAATGTTCTGCACATCAATAGGTGTCCCTGGATATGCCTAATTTGGGAGCCTTCATTTTTAAATGCAGTTCTTAAAGTGTGGTGTTGGTGTTGTTTATTTGGAGCATTCCACTATAATTTTAAATTATCTTTATAAGATTTTGCCATTTTTGTAAGTACTTGCAGCTTGTGGGACCTAATAATTATACATGTAGAGGTATGGGATAGACAAAAGTGGAGCACTCAGTTCATCAGAAATTAAGGATTCCATTTTTATATTGAAAATTGGTTTTGGCTCTCACATCTTGATCAACTAAGCCGAAGATTTTTCCCTACCTCATGCATTAGAAAAAGAAACAAAAGGGATAGAACACAAAATCCTGGTGAATTTCTGAAAGCCAGAGTTCACACCTTCTGCAGTATTGCCATTTACTGCCAGTTTGTCTAACCAGTCAGCCATCTAAGAATTCTAACTGGATATAATCCAATTAGTTATTGAGTCTAACCCAGTCCAGTGTCTGTCATGACTTCTGTACCCAGTTAAGATAAAAAATGTGCCCATACAAATTCAGATAGTCAAAACACAAACGCATGGGGATCTCCATAATCTGAGAGACAACTTACCCATGATCCCCAGTTGATTCGAGAGAGCAACAGATACAATGGAGCTGGTGTACCTTGCTTAATCACTCAGTGCTCCTGGGGGTTGCTGGAAGCTCTACTTCAAATCCCACTTCTGAGGCCATCTGTTAAAAGAAAACCTGTAGAAAAATTAAATTTTAAACTCAGTTAAAGAACAATTCAAGAGTCAGGCAGCCCTCAGAACAAGAATATGTTCAGAGCGACTCTTAGGCTGTCGCATGGTCAGATGACATTTATGGACAGGAAAAGAAAAGTGATGTACAGAAGATTTCCATCTTGGTACAGAAGATGGGAATGAGATACAGAAACAGTGTTTGAACATGTTTTGAACAATTGGCCACCTGTGATTGGCTGAAACACTGTGATTGGTAGAAGAGTAGTTTCTAGTCTGCTTAGAAATTTTTAAGTCAAACTTAAAATATATAAGGAGGTAGCCCTAGGCTCAATTTAATTTGACAATATGATTTTATTTATATTAGTGTTTACAGATGAGAATGTCAAGGCCCTAGAAGGACTTGCTACTTTGTGGAAAGGTCAGAATTACAACCCAAACCTCAATCATCTGGGCTAGTAAGTTTTTTACTGAAGCATCATTCACATTGCACCTAAGTGTAATTAAAAGATCAAGGATTAAGGAGAATAAAAATACTCGAATGGAGGTGGGATAAATGAAGGATCCAATAAATTTGTTTTATTATAGCTATGTTTATATGCTGATCACCCTAGTATGTAAAAGAAAACCAAAGGACTGAAAAGGACTGAATGAAATGTATTCTTCATTTGAAACCCCTACTCCCTTTTTTGAGCATTTTTATGGAGTAAAAGGTATGTACTGTGCCTTAGTTTTTGGGCTTTTTTTTTTTTTTTTTTTGATACCGAGGCTCACTCTTCTCTCACTCTTCTTGCCCAGGCTAGAATGCAATGGTGCCATCTCGGCTCACTGCAACCTCGGCTGCCTCTTGGGTTCAAGCAATTCTCCTGCCTCAGCCTCCCAAACAGCTGGGATTACAGGCACGTGCAACCACGCCTGGCTAATTTTTGTATTTTTAGTAGAGATGGGGTTTCACCATGTTGACCAGGCTGGTCTCGATCTTCTGACCTCGTGATCCACCCGCCTTGGCCTCTCAAAGTGCTGGGATTACATGTGTGAGCCACCGCGCCTGGTCAGTTTTTGGGCTCTTATTGGTGAAATTCTCAGTTAGTAACTAGGTAAATTTTTTTTTTTTCTTAAGAAACTTTCTCTTTTGATCGGGTTTATATGAGGGCAGGTGAATGTTTTTAAAATGACCTTTCTTTTGTCTTGGATCTCTGGCTTTTAGGAAGCAGAATGGCATGTTGAAAAACAAGGTATTTTTAGAAACTGCATCTTTCATTCACTCTTGTGGCCTGGGGCAAGTTATTCTGAGTCTCATTTTTCTTATTTGTAAAATGGTGAGATTTTATTAACTTAAGGGGTACCATGAGAAAACATGCTTGACAATGTGCTTAATTTTAACACATTGTTATTTAATTGTTTATTCAGTTGCAGGTTAGAGTTTAAAACTGAAAGAGATGTTAAAGTTTATGTCACCCAATTCCTTCAATTTATATATGAAAATATTATATATGAGCAAAGGGTCAAGCTAAGACAAATTTAGTCTGCTCATATTGCATTGATAATTATATACCTGGCTAAGTATTTCATTTTCTAAACAATACTTCTTTAAAAGACTATATAAATAAATAAATAAATAAAAATAAATATATACATATGCATTTAACAAAAGTAAAATTATAGACTATGCATTTCTAGCAAAACAATTTTAGACATGGTGAACATGTACAATAAAGCTTTATATTTCTGCCAGATTCTATCAGAAGTGTGTTGGGAAAATTTATGCAAGTATTGAAATTAAATCCTAAATTACTTACAAAATTAATTATTATATATTAAGTATCATATTATCCAAATATAAGGTTATTTGGAGTGAAAAAGACCACAATTTTCTAATAAGTGAAACTTTAAAGTTACAGAAAAGCCTTTGTTCTAGGAAATATAACTTTGTTAATATAACAATAATAACAATGCATCATAATTACATATAAGCAAGCAAAAAATGAAAATCTTTCTTTTTCTATTTTAGCCTTGGGAGAATGAATTGGTTTTATAGATGAAGTGATACAGCTGCTCCCCAGCAGTTACTCAACATATATTCATATAACTTGCCCACAGATGTGAAACCTCTCGGAGCCTGCTTTTCAAAAAGATACTAAGCTCAAAGTGTTTACAGCATACTTTTTGACCCTGACCCTGTCACTTTCCTCTCTCCTCAAACCACTATGAGGGGTTTGTAAAAAACCTTAAAAATACCAGTGTCAGCTTTTTCAAAATTTTTCATATTTTTTTTCAGTGACAGCTTTTGTGTCTTGGGACTGCAGGGGTGACTCTGTGCACTGTTAGTGCTGAGATTCCTGAGCTCCCCAGCACCAGCCTGTGCCTCACTGCCTAGCTCCCTGCTGGGCATATCCTGTCATGTCAAGGATTATAACTAGATTGTGAAAGTTAGGTTATTTTGTTTTGAATGCATTTCCTTAGATTTTCTTAAGCTATAAAATGGTTTGGATATGATGTTTGTTTTACACATATAAAATACAGTCACAAAATAGCACTTTATGAATTCAAGTACTTTTTTGAAGTGAAGTAAATATTGATGCAATTATTAATTGCATTATTAATTTTTTCCTTTTTCATAAGGAAAAAGAGAGCAGAGAATACAATTCTTCAGATGCTTATGCCTTCAGACAAAAAGGTTAGAAATCCTAAAAAATAGAAATCATAAAAAGTAAACTTTTTAGTTAAAATAGGTTTTGCAAAATTATTGAGGAATAAATAATATAAAATTCCCAAAGTAAAAAATAAACATAGAAATCTTGAGTAATTAGACACGATTTTAATTTACTTAATGATATTTTCTGTATCACATATAAAAGGAGATAGAGACTATCTGGCCTATCAGCACAACGCTGGGCTTTTAAATTGTGAGTTATTCAGGTGAGTGTGGAAGTGACAAAATTTTCATCATTATAAAAGTCTTCTATGCTCATTAAAAAATTGAGCTATTCAAATATACTCTTTCGACATCCAAATATCATTGTTTGAATAATCTGTTATTTGGCTTTTTGTTTATTAATTATCAACAGGACTCAACAAGAGATGAAGGCAATGAGACTGAAGCCAACAGCATGAACACATTAAGAAGGACAAGGAAGAAAGTCACTAAACCATATGTTTGTTCAACTGAAGTGGGAGAAACGGATATGTCCAATTCAAATGGTATCTAACTACTCTGAGTCCTCAAAAATGGTGTGGTCAGAGGCAATCTCCATTTGGTCTTTCTTTTCATAAAACATCTTCATTTCTTTTTTGGGAGAAGCAAAAGGACAAATAAAAGTTATTCCTACATAAGTGTCATAAAAGATGGCAAATATAAGCTTACAACGTAAATATATAAAAATAACCAATCAAAATATTTACAATGTAAAGAGGGTTAGAATTAGGATGACAGTAGTAGAAAAAAAAAAGAACAAACAGAGGAATGTATGAGTAGGAAGAGAGACAGTTTTCTGCTCTGAAAATGAATACAAAAATCATTACAGAGGATTTGAGGGGCCATAAGAAAGGTATGGAAGGTGTTTTCATAACACATTTTGGAACTCCAACTAGATTTCAACAGATGTGAGACACTGCTAAAACTAGAAGTTAATTTGGGCAACAGGCTCAATCCTAGGAATCATTGTGTCCTAAGGCAGGACAGTAGGAATTCCCAGCATATGGTTACAATAAAAAGCAGTCAGATTTTAGTAGATTTTATTATTTATTTATTTATTTTTAATTAATTAATTTATTTTTTTGAGACAGAGTCTCACTCTGTCACCCAGGCTGGAGTGCAGTGGCATGATCTTGGCTCACTGCAATCTCTGCCTCCTGGGCTCAAGTGATCCTCCTGCCTCAGCCTCCTGAGTAGCTGGGTTTACAGGGCATGCCACCATGCCACGCTAATTTTTTATATTTCTAGTAGAGATGGGGTTTCACCATGTTAGCCGGTCTGGTCTCAAACTCCTGACCTCAAATGATCCACCTGCCTCAGCCTTCCAAAGTGCTGGGATTACAGGCTACAGACATGAGCCACCTCACCTGGCCTGTTTTTAAATTCTCTATAAACAATGCACTTTCTTGGCCAGTGACTAGGGTAGACCACTCCCATTGCCCCTCATTTAATATGTCACTGCTAGAAATATACTATTTTCTCAAGTATTCCTCTCCATATTATATTAAGAGACAGTTGAAAACAGTGGAAACATATTTTAACATTTTTCCTTATTACTACAGAGAGGATCAGAAACCAAATGGTGTGCCACAAATTAGGGAACACAAGCAAACCTATCATGGGACCTGGCTCTGCTGAGTCTCATCTGTCATATGATGACAAGGACTCTCAGGATGAGACAACAGTGATAAAACCTTTGCCCCCCAGAACAACAACCAATGTTCCTGGAGGTGAATTTAACCCAAACTCTGGTAAGGATTTACTGGTAAGGATTCTGGAACAAACTGGTATGTGGTTCTAGCCACTAACCCTAAGTCTGTATTTGAATTAGAGAGAATGTAATGTTGGTTGAGGAATACTAGCCCGGGAGTCAGAACACTTACAAAGATTTTTATACCTATCTTTTATAAAATACTTTGTAGTTTTCTTTACCCTTTAGGCTGTTCATCTGGAAAATAGAGGGGTTGCAATGGAAGATGTCTTGCCTTTTCTAAAAGTAAAATCCTATTATTCTAAGTTTCTGGCTTATTAATAGTGATGTAACTATTTTGGTACATGAGTGTATTGGTTAAAACTCACTTGAATTAAAATGCTGGAAATTAGTTACAAAAGCAAATCTAAAAGCCAGGCACAGTGGCTTACACCTGTAATCCCAGCACTTTGGGAGGCTGAGGAGGGGAGATCACTTGAGGCCTGGAATTCGAGACCAGCCTGGGCAACATAGGCAGACCCTGTTTCTACACAATAAAAAAATTAGCTGGTATGGTGGCAGATGCCTGTGGTCCTAGCTACTCAGGGGAATGAGGTGGGAGGATCACTTGAGCCCAGGAGGTTGAGGTGAGTTGTGATTGTGCTACTGCATTCCAGCCAGGGTAACAGAGAGAGACCTTACCCCCCTACCCCACTCTGAAAAAAGGAAATCTATAATGACAGGGTTAAACATACAAGATTTGGAAAGATGAGAATATACCAGAGTGGGACGTTAGAGGGATAGTGTCTACCACATTACCCTCATTTCTGACACCAATTACAAGTTTTGGAATCCCCCAAGTTAATCTTAGTTTTGGTAATTTGCTGGAAAGACTTACTGAACTCACTGAAAGCTGTTATATTCAAGGTTATGGTTTATTACACTAAAAGGATACAGATTAAAAATCAGCCATGGGCAGTCCAGGCAAGTTCTAAGCACAGAATGTTCACTTGTCCTTTCTTAGTGGAGTTATGGACAGACAGCACTATTCTCTTGGCAATAACGTGAGGAATATTGCCAACCAAGGAAGCTCACTTGAGTCTTGGTGTCCAGAGTCTTTACTGGGGCTTCATGGTTAACTGGGCATTTGGCTGACTTCACTCTCCAGCCGCTTTGGGGATCAAGCAGTTACTGCATGACTTGAAGTCACCACTATAAGTAACATTGTTAGAGTTTCTGGCGTGGCCTAGAACCCCTTGGTAAACAAAGACACTCTTGTCAGGCAAGACATTCTAAATGCTTGGAGATTATCTCCCAGGGACCAAGGGCAAAGACCAGAGCTCTCTTTGGGCAAGGTTAAATCCTTTAGTACACACAGGGCCTAAGGAAGAGCTAGAGCCTGGAAAGTAAACACAAACTTATTATCTTTTTAAAAATACAAGTGTACTATCTCACAGTTTTGTATGTTAGAAGTCTAGGTTGGCTCATCTGGTTTCCTTGTTTCAGGTTTTCCAAGGCTGAAGTCAAGGTATTGCCATCTGGTTTCTTATCTAGAGACTCCAGGCAACAGTACATTTACAAGTTCATTCAGATTGTTGAGAGAATCCAGTTCTTTGTGACTGTAGAAGTGAGGTTCTTGTGTCCTGGCTGGTTGTCAGCTGGGGTGGCCCTTATCTCCCAGAATCCTTTCTGTGGTTTTATATCTCAGAGATAGCAATGCCTCAAATCCTTCTCATATTTAGAGCTTTTCTGAATTCCCCTTCTTCCACATCCCTTTTCTGCCTTCAGCTGGAGAAAGCCATCTAATTTCAAGGGCTTAGATGGATAATCCAAGATAATATCCCTATTTTAAGGTCCATAACCTTAATTACATTTGCAAAGTCCCTTTTGCCATGCAATTTAACATATTCACATATTCCAGAGATTAGGTATGGAAGAAATTTTCGAGGGGTTATTCTGCCTACTGATACCGAAAAGAGGCAGGGAAATACTGCATAGAAGAGGGCAGTCCCCTGGCAAAGGCCCCACCCTCAAGCCTGGAAACCCATGGCCCTGAATAGGAACAGACATTTCTGTTTTTGTTCCAAAATGTTGCCTTTTCCAAGACCACTCTGGCCCACCATGTCCCTATCCTATGCCCATATAAACCCCAAGCTCCACTGACAGAGCAGGAGAACAGAATGGCAGAGAGGGAAGGAGCATCTGAAGGTGGGGAGGAGTTCAGCTGGGGACGGTCGGAGAGGAGATCCGTCGCGGGACAGCCGAACTCCAGGGGAAAGTCATATTCCCACTCCATCCCATTTCCTGCTCCCCAACCATCCCACTGAGAGCCACCTCCATCACTCAGTAAAATCCCCACATTCACCATCCTTCTAGTCCATGTGACCTGTTTCTTCCTGGACTCCGGACAAGGAGCCAGGTACCTAGAGAATAGGGTGTAAAAGGCCGTTACCCGGAATTTCCACTGAGCTGGTTAACAGCCGTCCGTGGATGGCAAAACTAAAAGAGCATGGTAACACCCCTAAACACTGCTGTAGGGCCGCAACCCAAAAGCGCTCACCTTGGCTCACCTGCATGTTCCCCCTCCCATAAGTGGTTTGAGTGCAGTGGCCGAGTAAATGAGTCATGTCCCTGTTGCATGCTCCGCGAGGAGGTCAGGGAACTCTCCCATCTCACTACCACACCGTCTCTCATAAGTGAATTTCTCTCTACTTTGGCTTTATGAATTTCTCCAAAGTGAAGAGCATGAGCACTAACAACCTCTGAACATCAGGCGGCTGTTGATACAAATACCCACAGGGGCCAGACGGTTAATACAAAAGATGGGCTGGTGTAAGAACATAGGGAGTGGTTCTGGTCATGAGAAAACTGGAGCAGAGAGCAACAGACTATGGCCCAAAGGCTAAATTCAGCTTGCTGGTCAGTTTTTCTAAGTAATGTTTACAAATTGTTTATAGCTGCTTTTGTGCTAAAATGACATTGTGCTAAATGAGTAGCTGCAACGAATACCATATGGCCTACACGGTTGCAAATATTTACTATCTGGTCCTTTACAGAAAATGCTTGCCACCCCGTGAAGTAGAGGTTGCCTGCCCATCTAGACTACCTCAGAGTTCCAACCAGTTGTTGCTATGGAGAAATACCTACCCAGGGTTGCCAGATCTAGTTTCAAAATAAATTTGAACTCAAGATTTTTACATAAAATTTTCTAATAGTGAAGTGCTGTCCACTATTTCAAAAAAGTTTCTAAACACTGGGAAGACTAATCAGATAACATCTGCTGGCCACATTGACTCCTCCACAGTTTGTGGTCATTGTTTTATATATTCTAGTTTTAGCTACAAAAGAGAGAGGGATTTACCATTTCTTTGTCTTAAGCCAGAAATCTGGAGAAAGATCTTGTATCATGAGCTCTCTTTGCACTGTCAATTGTGACTTACAGCATGGGTACCATTACTAACTCAACTTCTTTAGCTCAGAAGCTCCCTTTTTGGCTCAGGGTGTATTAAGTTCTCTATAGGCCTTCAGTACTAAAAATTTAAACTGCAAACCAATACATATACATAATTTAAAAATAAACTCCCAAAATAAGTGTAAGGAATTTTGATATGGTATTTCTTCTTTGGAATAACTTCTCTAAGTTTTTCCAAAACTAATACTTTTTTTTTTTCAAAGAAAAGCCCCCTTTCCCTCCCACTTTTTATTGTATTGCTTTTTTTCCCTGCTTTGTACCTGGTTATTCTGCCACCTGGGCTTTCCAACAATGTCTGCGCTAATATGATGTGGCCAGAAGGTAGCACAAACAGGGTGGCTCTCACCATAGCCACAATGATGAAAGATGGCTGGACCTTGAAAGAGCATGGTACATTATGCTAGGTGTGCAATAAGCTGAATGTATTCCAGAGTTTTCTCGCAAGTGCACTTTTCCCTTTCTTTGAATTGGTATTTCTGAAAGCCCAAACATCTCTTCAATCTCCCTTTTATATGTGACCATGGCTTGCTCTCTATATATAACTGATATATGTCCTCATTGTCACTGAACACAAACAAAATTTCTCCAAGGCCTCCTAGTTGCTATAGAGCTTTAAGGTTTTTTTTTTTTAATATTTTCTTATTTTTTCCCTAAACATTCACAGCATTAAAACATCTTCTATAAAAACACATTGATTTAATTTATTAATCCTCTGAGGGAATAGAAAAGAAGAAAATCTCCTAGGAACCACACTGTAGGAAAAACAAATGAGCTCCTGAACTGGCAATTATCTGCCTGCTATTCATCATGTGCAACTGGGAAAGGCTGACCAAAAGGTTTAATTGTAAATAACAAGTATGATTTATTGAAGAAAATAAATTCCGACAATGATGCAGCAAGATCAGTTGATGCCTTGAAAATGAAATGGGATTGGATAGCGTTCTCATATTTGGTGAAAGAATTGAACTTTTAAATGAAAAATCGATGCTTAGGATATGTACTAAAATATATGATGACAACTTTTACTTATTAATTAGACAAAGTCAAATCACACAGGATGTATTCATTCATTCACTCACTCACTTATTTAAAAAATATTTGTTGAGTGACTATGAGATGCCTATACTGCTACAAGTACCAAGAAAACAGCAGCAGGTAAAACTAAGCCTTGGCGCTCAAGGAGCTGATAGGCAATGGAGAATGACAGGAACATGTGAGTATACAGTGTGGCAGGTGCCAATTTGGACACTGAAGAAAACAGAAACAGAATGATACACTGTTATGTGTTGAATGGTGTTCCTCCAAAATTGTTAAAATGAAATCCTAACCTTCAGTACCTGATAGTGTGGCTGAATTTGGAGATACGTTCTTTAAAGAGGTAATTAAGGTTAACTTAGGTCAGTAGGGTGGCCCCTAATCCATTATGATTCATGTCCTCATATGAAGAAGAGTTTAGGCCACAGACATGCACAGAGAAAAGAACATGTGAAGGTGCTGGAAGAAGATGGCTGTCTAGAAGCCAAGGGGAGAGAGAGTTTAGAAGAAACAATCCTGCTGACACCTTTGGTTTCGGACCTCTAGCCTTCAGAACTATGAGAAAATAAATTTCTGTGTAAGCCGCCTGTCTGGGGCATTTGTCATAGTAGCTTTAGCAAACTAATACACGTACCCTACTCACTGTCCAGTCACAGGGCAACTTGGAGACTTCAAAATTAATCAAGGGTTAGAGCTGTCCATGTTGTGATCAAGTTTCATACAATTAATACTTCAGGTGATTATGGTTTTTTTTTTTTCCAGCCCTTTCACTGTGTGAATTTATCCCACCCTTGTATTTGATGGCATGTTTATTATCTATACTTGCCCCACATCATAATATAAAGTTCTATGAGGGTAGGGCTCTTTCTGGCTGATTCCTAGGTACACGTTCAGTATGAATAGTATGTGATGATGAAAAATATCTATGATGAGTGAATGAATATTATTATTATTTATTTATTTATTTATTTATTTATTTATTTATTTATTTTTTTGAGATGGAGTCTCACTCTGTCACCCAGGCTGGAGTACAATGGCACCATCTCAGCTCCTTGGTGGAGCTGCAACTTCCACCTCCCAGGCTCAAGAGATTCTCCTGCCTCAGCCTCCTGAGTAGCTGGGATTACAGGTGAATGCCACCATGCCTGGCTAGTTTTTTTAAAAACATTTTGTAGAGACGGGGTTTCACCATGTAGGTCAGGCTGGTCTTGAACTCCTGACCTCGTGATCCACCTGCCTCGGCCTCCCAAAGTGATGAGATTACAGGCTTGAGCCACTGCACCCAGCCAAATATTATTCTTATTTTAAAATAATATGTATTCATTGTAGAAAGTTTAGGAGACACAGATAAAGCAAAAAACTAGTAAGACTACCTGTTATCCTATTACTAGTGAACCAATAAAATTACCCTTTCTCCTTTTATAGGAGATGTCTTCTTTATAGCCTATGTATAATTGCTTATTATGTTTAGAATACTCATTATCTAAAAATTTCCATATTATTATTATTATTGGTTAAGACAGTCCCTCTTTGTTGCATAGGCTGGAGTGCAGTGGCGCGATCTTTGCTCACTGCAACCTCTACCTCCCAGGCTCAAGCGATTCTTGTGTTTCAGCCTCCTTAGTAGCTGGGACTACAGGCGCATGACACCACACCCAGCAAATTTTTGTATTTTTAGTAGAAATGGGGTTTTGCTATGTTGCCCAGGCTGGTCTTGAACTGGCCCAGGCTGGTCTTGAACTCCTGGCCCCAAGTGATCTGCCCACCTCACTCCTGCTGGTATTACAGGAGTGAGCCACCATGCCTGACCCAAATTTCCATATTTTAAAATGCCTATACATTTTGTTTTAAGGAGCATTCTTCATCTTGGGCTGAACACCCAATATTTCAGTGTAGGTTGGGAATACAGCAAGGTTAATTTAGCATGAAATACTTTAATTGCTACAGTTTAATTGTTTGTTTTAAATGGAAGGTAGTTATAAAGCCTCCGGAGTTTCAGAGTAGCCAAATGTATCAGTGATAGCACATTATCACTAATATATTTGCATATGTGGAAACAGTAATTTGTTTTTCCCATGCTTCATACTTAAAATCTACTTAATCTATGTTTCTAAACTGTCAATCTTTATGCTTAGTTTTAAAGCCTAATTATATCTTGCAAAAGAATACTCAGGTATCACTTTAAAATTATAGCTGCTCAACATCAATGATGTGAGAGATTGATGGGTGTTTGGATGCAGACTTGATCATGATAACATTTACTTGGGCTAGAGTAATTGTACTCACTTTATGCATTTAAGTAGCACTTACATGGTGCTTACTGTCTGCCAATAACTGTTAATAACTTGTTAATCCTCATAACAAGCCTATGAAGTAGGTCATATGTTATTGATGAGAAAGTCAAGTCATAAAAAGGATAAGATTGTTGCTAGGGCAAAGGCAGGATTGGAAGGGAGGTAGATGGACTTCAGTGTTTTGTGCTAACCCAAACTACACTCTGCTGCCTCTCCTAAAAGTTCTGACAGCAACTAACATTTATAATGTGTACTATTTGCCTGACCATTCTATGTGCTCTAGACATATTAATTTAATTTGTGGTAATAAGCCACCCAGCATGAATCAAAAGTCTGCATTCTAGTTTCAATTCTGCAGTGGACTGATGGTGCGGTTTGGAGTAACTCATTGTACCACTTTGGGACTCAAGCTAACGAGTTGGTTAGATTAGATGATTTATCTCCAAAGTTCTCTTCTAGCTCTACAGTTAGAATTTTCAAACTATCTTAAAAGTCTCGAAAAGAATGTTTTTTATGTTTCTAATTTTAAATTGAGTATGCAGTCCAGACTTTTCATCTCCTACACTCTCATTCTTAAAAAAAACCCACACTTTTGTTTGCTTATTTAAGCAAGTTTTAAATTTGACAGAAATATGTATATTTCTTAGAGTTAGATGCCATTAAAAAGATATAAAGCCCTTTGGGCAAAAAACTCCCAGAATGAGACAAAACCCCTGAAAATAAAACCAAATTCACTTTTAATCATATAGAAATTTAAATTTAGAAATTAACAGTTAGTTCAAGAAGCCCAAATATGTTTAATAATAGTCACCTACAGACAGGCTTTTATGGTCCCTTTTTGCTGTGAACTTATGCAAATATGTTCTAATTTCCATAAGCAAAGGGATTTTCAGTAAGTATCTACGTATGATATCGCTATATCCTTATGCAAATAATGTCAATTTTGACCTCGTCCTAACTGATAAATGATCTCTCAGGTTGTTTAGACACAGTGTTCTTGGGAAGACGGTAAAGGCAGAATAAGAAAGGTAAGATATCCAACTCTAAGCCAGTGACATGATGAATATATAATGTTTTTGTTAATAATATTGACTAATTCACTAGTCTCCAGTCTCCTTTTGCTTCTCAGTCCATCATGATCTCGTGAGTTAGAACCTATTTTTTTATTTTGCAGATTGCATGAGGGACAGCAGTCAAATTTTGACCCCACCTCAACTCTCTTCTAGAATGAAACACATTAGACAAGCCATGGCCAAAAATCGCCTCCAGTTTGTACGATTTGAAGCAACAGACCTCCACGGCGTGTCCAGGTCTAAGACTATCCCTGCACACTTTTTTCAAGTGAGTTTTACACAGTTGTGACTAAATGTAATTTCATGACCATTAGCAAGCAAACAGTTCTTATTACTCTTTCTTATTTTCTTGTAATCTTATACAGCAATTCAAGCTGAAAATCAATAACTTATTTTGTTTCTTCCCTTGTTCCTCCCAAACACATTATTGCTCCCCAAGGAGCTAAACATGTACTCTCAGCTCTCAAACAGCAATTTCTTTACCCAATAGAAATACAAAACTAATTGAGACTGGTAATTTTAGTCCTGCCTTGAATAATTTTGCTCTACAGAATTATTTTTTCTCCCTTACTGCAATTATGAAGATTATATTTTATTTGACATGAGAAAATTGCAACAGAAGACCCAAAAGCAAACATAAAAAGGAAAAAATGATTAAATAGAAAATATTTGCTAGATAAAAAATGTATTCCTTTCAGCTCCAAATTCTGATAAGAAAATATTCCATTGTTGTTGGATGACTTAATGAATATTATTAAATTCCCAAAAATGATGATATCAAGAAATATTGTGTTTTTGTTGTTTTGAGACTTCCTTAATTTTTTGTATCAGTTTTTGTCATGTGTTTATTTTGATGACTGAGTTGTTGTGTTAATTAAATATCAAATTTCTTAGCAAGGGACATCAGGTCGGTACTATTTAAGAAAGTGTGAAAGTTAAGCATCCTCTAGGTTTAACTGTTTAAAAATATTACACTTTTATCACATTAACATCAGATTCTAATTTTTAAATTTGTTTCATGTTGGGGAAAACTGGACATCTTCAAAAACTCTTTTTAAATAATTCTAACAGATTCAAACTTGTTTCTTAAGGAATTATTTGGACCTGCTTGCAGATATTGTTTCCTTGTCATTCAGGCAAGAATACATGTTGTTTAATTTTTATAAAAAATGAGGATTTTCTTGTGGACAAGCCCAGAATGTAATTCAAATGAGTCTCTTTCAATCATAAGGAAAAGTAACTGGCACTTTAACTACTTGCCAGAGCTCAATGTAAAACTGTTTGCTGTTCAGTTTTTGTCAAATTTTAATCATTTATTTTACTAATGGCACCTAAAAGTCCATATATAGGACATTACTCTAGTTTCTCAGTGGAATCCTTTTACAAAAATAAAACAGTATGCTGCTTATACTTGCTAAGGATTGATATAATTGACATAAAGAGAAAAATTCTGCATACTTTTTTTTATCCAACTGCTACTGAAAATATTTTTCATTATTTTGTTCAATATCCCACATACAAAAAACACTTTTATTCCTTGAGTTTAGCTAGAGAAAAAGTTTATCATGAGAATTTTAATGTAACTCATTATACACCTTCTCAATGGCTATATTTATTCTTAGTCCCAGTTTCCTAATAACTAACTTCCCTATTTCATTACCTAGTTATTATTATTTTGTTCTCATTTAATGATCATAGAGTATCTATATTTTTTTAAGAAGCCACTTTAAATTTATTTTTGAAACTTGTGAAGGTATAAATAATGAGTATTAGCACAATTAATATTTGTAATTTAAGAGAAAATAATTTATTTTGGAAAATTTGCTGTGAATAGACATTAAAAATAGGTTTAAGAGGCCGGGCACAGTGGCTCATGCCTGTAATCCCAGCACTTTGGGACGCTGAGGCCGACGGATCACCTGAGGTCAGGAATTTGAGACCAGCCTGGCCAACATGGTGAAACCCCATCTCTACTAAAAATACAAAAATTAGCTGGGCCTGGTGGCAGGGGCCTGTAATCCAGCTACTTGGGAAGCTGAGGCAGGAGAATCGCTTGAACCCGGAAGGCGGAGGTTGCAGTGAGCCGAGATCGCGCCATTGCACTCCAGCCTGGGCAAAA
This sequence comes from Homo sapiens, assembly GCF_000001405.40. NCBI lineage: Eukaryota > Metazoa > Chordata > Mammalia > Primates > Hominidae > Homo > Homo sapiens. Next base: position 63,283,735 of record NC_000006.12, on the reverse strand, counting down.
AGAGTGAAACTCCATCTCAAAAAATAAAAAATAAAAAAAAGATTCATCTGTGCAAAGTAACCTAAATATCGTGTGTGTGTGTGTGTACCTTATTCCATCTCAAAAAAAAAAAAAAAAGATTCATTTGTGCAAAGTAACCTAAACATTGCATGTGTGTGTGGTGTTTTAAGGTTTAAGTCTTACAACCAACTTATATTATCTCTGTTCTATCAATCAAAAGGGCAGATTTTTATTTAAATTATATGCAATAATGTAGGCTTTTTCTGTATCTGATCTAGCCAAATTATGATATATTGCTACAGGACTCATAACTAATTCTTGGCTTATTTCAAAAGATGACCTTTACTATGGTCCAAGTTTCATTTGTGATAAGGATTTAAGTTATTCTGCAAAAATTTTATTGGGTCCATAGTGATCTATATTGAAGATGAAGTTGTTCCAGTGCTTTATATCTATAAACACTACTTAAGACAATATATTATCATGAATATATTAACATATATTCATATACTTCCCGTAACTAATAGAGAGTAGTTTGCATTCTCTATGTCCAAGAAAAGAATAAAGCAAATTACAGTGCCAGAAAAGAGTGTTCAAAAAAATATGAATTAAATAATCAAAAGAATAAAGTGTGACTTTTTACTATGGTTTGAGTTCATATAGGACTATTGGAGTGAAATGGCAACCAGCTGTTCTCTACTACTCACAGCCAAGTGAATACAAACACAGATTTAAATTGTAGGAATTCATAGAAGTCTCATGAATAAAATATATTATTTCTCATTTTAGATATGTAAAGAACTAATATACAGAATTTCAAACTAAAAAACTGACAAGCAGGGAAATGACATTATTGCTTATAGTGAAAATATGAATTAAAGGATTCCATGCTATAATATTCTAATATCCCACAGTAAGCGTGTGTGTGTGTGTGCGTGTGTATAAAGTTTACATGTACAGGTCCATGAGTGAGCTGGAAAATTAGGCAGACACCAAATGGTGTTTGGCTCACTCAACTTTATTATTGGTTAAAGTGGAGTTGGATCAGTTCAGTCAAATAGCATTCAAAAATATGTGTAGAGATGGTGGAAAGTGGAGGCAGTGGTTCATGGGCAAATGCGGAAGAGTGAACCAGTAAATTACTTTGGCTAATACCAGCCCCTCTTTGATAGCCATGCTTCTTGGGGTCTGGAGGTAGCATAAGAAATAGTCTGGCTTCCTTCCACCATGTAAGGATACACAAGAAGAAGCCATATACGAAGCAGAAAGCAGCCCTCACCAGACACCAAATCTGCTGTTGCCTTTATCTCGCACTTCTCAGTCTCCAGAACTAAAGAGGAATGAGTTTCTGTTGTTTATAAGGGGAAAAAAAGAGAAAGAAAGAGAAAGAAAGAAAAGGAAAGTGTCTGGCTTGCAGATTGTTAGAGTGTTTTATTAACCTCATGATCTTCACTGACTTCATGGGAACCAACCTTTTATACTCAGTGATTTTTCTCCATCTATTAATGTAACCTTCAACCTTGTTGATATTTCTAATACATAATTTCCAGAAATTGTTTTATGTGTCTGTTCAACTTAATAACCTTATCACTTCCCTGTTGCCTGGCACAGAGCAAAAGTTAAATAAATGACCAAATTCACTGAACCCTAGAGATAGATGGCTAGAAAGTACCTTAGCAGTCATCTAGTCTAACACTTGTTTTACTGATGTGGAAGCTGAGGGCACATAATCCAATGACTTGCCGAAATTCACCAAAGCAATTAACGAAAGAGCTAGGATGAGAAGGCAGATCTGTTGACACCCAGTTCATGCTGACTTGAAGGCTACAACATTTTGGAAGCTATAACTTTGGAGTTATAGGTCCACATTCATGGACAAGGGTTCTGGGACTCTGAGACAGTGAGGTTTTTAATTCTTAAATGGGTTGTAAAAGTGAATAAAGAGAGGAATGCAGCTGTCAGCGTCCTGGCTCCCCTGGTGTTAGGACAAATGTGCTGTGTGCCACAGTACTGACCATAGTCTGCAATTTGAGAAGGATTGAGAATTGTTTACTGTAGACTTTTGAGGGTCAGTTAACTCAGGATTACAATAAAATAAGCAAAAAGAAAGCCTTATCTGAAGAATTAACAACTGTACTTCAGGAAGCACTTTTGATGATGATAATTTCAAATAATTCCATAAGGCTTTTCCTTTGTTTTTTGCTGTAACGGATTTTCTTTATCATTATACCTTTCATTTATAACTGCTATTTTCAGATCTAAGAGCATATAAGGCCTTCAAGGCTTAAAACAATGCATTGTTTATAAAGTTGCCTTTGGGGGTTTTATTTTAAAATGTTTAACATTTATCTGATATCAAGTTAGTGTTAACCAACAAGTGTTAAACATATATATATATATTTATTATATATATATATATATATATATATATTTTCATTAGCAAGGCTTTCCCGCCGCCCCCCGACCCTTTTGTTTGTTTTCAAAACCTAATTTCTTCATTTTTTTCCTTCTTTAGGAGAAAGTGAGCCATGGTGTTTGCATGCCCCGAGGTTATCTTGAAGTGATACCAAATCCAAAGGACAATGAAATGAATAACATAAGAGCCACATGTTTTAATAGCGACATAGTCCTAATGCCAGAGTTATCAACCTTTAGAGTTTTGCCATGGGCTGACAGAACTGCAAGAGTGATATGTGATACCTTCACTGTGACTGGTGAGCCTCTTTTGACTTCCCCAAGGTACATTGCAAAGAGGCAGCTGAGCCATCTGCAGGCCTCTGGCTTTTCCCTGCTTTCTGCTTTCATCTATGATTTTTGCATTTTTGGTGTGCCCGAAATTTTAAATTCAAAGATTATATCTTTTCCTGCTTTAACATTTTTAAATAACCATGATCAGCCCTTCATGCAGGAACTTGTTGATGGCTTGTATCACACTGGAGCCAATGTCGAGAGTTTTTCCTCCTCTACCAGGCCTGGTCAGATGGAAATCTCTTTCCTGCCTGAATTTGGCATTAGCTCAGCTGATAATGCATTTACCCTCAGAACAGGTGTCAAAGAAGTGGCAAGGAAATATAATTACATTGCCAGCTTCTTCATTGAGACTGGATTTTGTGATTCAGGGATTTTGTCTCATAGTCTCTGGGATGTCGATAGGAAGAAAAACATGTTCTGCAGCACTTCTGGAACTGAGCAGCTCACGATCACTGGGAAAAAATGGTTGGCAGGACTCTTGAAGCACTCTGCTGCGCTCAGCTGCCTGATGGCGCCTTCTGTTAGCTGCCGAAAGCGTTATTCCAAGGACAGGAAAGACCTGAAGAAGAGTGTGCCTACAACATGGGGATACAATGACAACAGCTGTATATTTAATATCAAATGTCATGGAGAGAAAGGCACCCGGATAGAAAATAAACTAGGCTCAGCAACAGCAAACCCTTACTTGGTGCTGGCTGCAACTGTTGCTGCCGGCTTAGATGGACTTCATAGCAGTAATGAGGTCTTGGCTGGTCCAGATGAGAGCACAGACTTTTACCAAGTGGAACCTTCTGAGATCCCTTTAAAACTAGAAGATGCCCTTGTGGCACTGGAAGAAGATCAATGCCTGAGACAGGCTCTAGGAGAAACCTTTATTCGATATTTTGTTGCCATGAAGAAATATGAGTTGGAGAATGAAGAAATAGCTGCAGAGAGAAATAAATTCTTAGAGTATTTTATTTAGAATAGAGCTCACAACTACTCCTTTAGACATGTAATTGTTACTTAAAGCTAATCTACCAAAACAAAAAGACTGAACTTTTGTAATTAACAACAGCAACAATAACAAGATTACGAATGCTTTTGACTTTTTTTTTTGTCCATGGAATATTTGACAGATGAAGTAGGACTGCTGAGAAGATTCTGATAACAGAAACAAACAACAAAGTTGTGGTGAAGCTATAATATGCAAACTTACCAGATCTTGTCAGTCATTTCCTATGTGTATGTTGACCTGGATAAGAATATCCAATTTTGGGTGGCAATAAATATATTCGCACATTAAGAAAAAAAAGACTTAAGCATTAGAAAGCAAAATTTAAATGACTAAAAAAGAAAAAAAAGAAAAGGAGAAAAAATTTTAATGGTACACATAGGTTATGATTTCCAGGGAGACAAATATACTAATATAGTCTCGCTAATCAAATAATATTGTGAATCCAGGTTGTATGCACCATTATGGTCTTTCTAAACAAGTTAAATAAACTTTTGCCAAAATATAATGACAGGTAGGCAGTTTTCCCCTAAGTCTCTTCTCTTTTCACCCTTCTCCACTAGCTCCTGAAAAGCTTATGAACTTCAAGGTTATAATGTCCTCAAGAAACAAATCCCTAAGGAATAGAATTGGAGCTGAGAACAACGAGGTCAGATTTTAAAAGTAGTTAAAGCCTTTCTTTTAACAATGCCTCATATAGAAGTTCAATACACAAAGTATAGATAGAAAGATGTTTGTGTGTGAGGGTAGGTGGGCTCTGTCTACTCTGCTTCATTCTTTGAAACTAGATGTTCCTCTGAAACCTCTAGTGCTCTGTGGAGTGTGAGAACAACTGCCTGGCTAGCCAGGGCTATGTTTGGAGTTTAAGTTTGTTATTCAAATTACTGAATCTGCTGCTCACAGAGGTTGGTACCTCCCCAGAGAATATTACCTGTTCCAGGCCTTTGTTTGAATGAGATAATATTGTAACTATCACAAAAGTTTAGCTGCTTTTGGGAAGAAGTCCAAAATCCACTTACTAGCAAATGAAACATTATTCTACTGCTTAGGATCAAACAGCAGATTTTATGTTCAATTAAAACTGACTGTAGTCTCAATTTAGATAGCAATTGCACAAGCAGAGGATTAGAATTTGGCTCAGATCCTCTTATTAAAATTCATATTACTCAGTAGCTTAAATAGTGAAAGTCAGTCTATCCTTCACTAATTACTCCCTTCTTTTTTCCTTTGAGCAGGAGAAGTGTGTTTGGATACATAAGAAGAAAGTTCCCAGCACTTTGGGAGGCCAAGGCAGGAGGATTGCTTGAGGCCAGGAGTTTGAGTCCAGCCTGGACCACATAGTGAGACCCCTGTTTCTACAAAAAAAAAAAAAAAAATGCCTCGCATGGTGGCACATGCCTGTAGTCCCAGCTACGTGGGAGGCTGAGAAGGGAGGATCGCTTGAGCCTGGGAGTTTCAGGCTGCAGTGAGCCATAATCACACCACTGCACTCCAGCTTGGGTGACAGAGTGAGACACTGTCTTAAAAAAAAGAGAAGAATAAAATTCATGGATGCATATGGGGTAGAGAGAAAGATAGTGTAGGGTAGCTGGGGGAAGGAAGGGAACCTGTCCTGAAACCTCCAGAATGAAATCCCACACATTACATCATGGGAGGGATAAGGAAGACTCTCATGCCAATTTTCTAGCTGTCTGCTAGAAAATTCCCCTCTGTTCATTTTCCCCTCTGTTCTCAGTAATAAAACCTCAATATGTTCTTTGAAAGCAATGAAAAATGAAATGATATTTCTGAGCCTTCATTAAGGTTGGATGTGGTCATGTTATTAGGTTCAGTGCAAAGAGGTGAAAGTAGAAGTGTTGCATATAAGTTCTTTAGGACATTTTCTTTTCTTTTCTTGTATTTTTTTTTTTTTTCCGAGATGGAGTCTCGCTTTGTCACCCAGGCTGAAGTGCAATGTGGGGGGGTCTTGGCTCACTGCAACCTCTGCCCCCTGGGTTCAAGTAATTCTCCTGCCTCAGCCTCCCAAGTAGCTGGGATCCCAGGTGCCTGCTACCATGCCTGGCCTTTTAGTAGAGATGGGGTTTCACCATATTGGCCAGTCTGGTCTTGAACTCCTGAACTCAGGTGATCAGCCTGCCTTGGCCTCCCAAAGTGCTAGGATTACAGGCATGAGCCACCATGCCCTACCACACTTTAGAACATTTTTTTAAATGACGGATGCTGTGTGCTCTGCCCTTTCTTTCTCTTGCTGCCTTCACCCTTCCTGCTGAGTGGCCTACAGATAATGTGGCTAGGATTATGTCCTTGGGAAGGGAGGTTTGCTCCACAGGGTACAGTAATAAGGTGGAATCTCTGCTTTGTAGAGCAGTTTGACTTGCCTACATCCAGATGTTTACCTGAGAGAGAACCAAACTTCTATCTTCTTTAAGCCACAATGATTTTGATTCTTTGTTAGTTGCAATGAAATTTATTTTCTCTTTTCCATGTGTGTGTTGTATGTGTGTTTGTGTGTGAGTGTGTGCATATGAGTGGGGAATTTGAGGGATTTGGGGATGAAAGAACAAAGGTATAAGAACCAGTGAAAGACGACTTCCTCAATATTCCCACTTCTAGAGAGGATAATCTGAGTTAATCAAAGGGATCCACACATCCAAAAAATGGGATTGGCTCTAACCCATCCCTATAAAGTGGCATATCCCTTTATAGTCCACGGGCCTTAATGAAACATGTCTAATGCATTGACTTCATTTTACCATAATGAGTAAAGATGCTGTAAAAAGTCTGATAATCACAGTGTTTGAAGCCGTTTTTTCCCCTTTCGCATTATTAGCATAACTTAAAAACACAGTACTCAGGATGCCATGTGAAGGAATTATATAACTAGGAATATTATCTTCAGTATTAAGTGTACAGTCGTGAGTCAAAGAAAATATTCAGCCATAGATTACAAATCAGTTGATAACGTAAGTTGGTGTGGCAGTTTCCACCAAGATTTCAGTTAGGTGTGTGCTGATGTATATTCTTGTTCTTTAAGGCAACCCAAAAAGAGGCATTGGCCAGCAGAGTTCAGGGCCAAAGACAAATTGGGGTAGGTACATGTAAAAATCAGTTATCTATTTTTCTATTTCTTTCATCTGTTCATAGGCTTTCTATTGTTGAAAGGACTTTCTGCTGATGCTTCTACCTTCTTGGTCTGGGTTAAGAGGGTCAGACATTCATTCAGCAGCACTTATTGAGCACCATTTGTGTGCTAAGCCTTCAGCTGGGAGCCATCATACTAGGGGAGACCAAAACAAAGATGAGCAGACAATGAAAGAGTTTTGGATCTGTGTATCTTAAGCAGAACATAAATAATTTTTTTTGTAGACCTAATGCTGAAAAAAGCTATTTGGAAAGCTTCTTTATGGCTCGAAAAGGGTGCCTTATAAATAGCTTTACAAAAATTGCTTTCTTATTTTCATTTACTATAATTGTTCTAATCAAAGCTTAGGGGAAAAATGTGATTACTGAATTTAAAGTTGGTAATTAAATGAGTATACATAAGAAATGTAAATTAAAAGCGATAATATTTTAAGACTAGAAATTAAAACATTAGTATTGTAGTAACAAGTTTCTATTTTCAAGGACATTCTATAATCTAAAATTTCATTTTACAGTGTGTGAATAACAACAACGCTTGAAATGATTATTTGAAGGCAATGAAAGATCAAAAAACTTTAATCTGAATAAAAATTGAAAGCATACAGTGAAGTCTGAGCTTATCAGTAAAACAGAACAGTCTATTGACATATCTCCAGTCACCTGTTTGACAAAATACACTCACCAATATGTTTATGATATAGGTATGACTGGACAATACCTTTAACCTTGGGTTTTCTATGACAGGGGTAAGAATTTGTGTCTTTAAACATTACCTATGTGCACAGTGCCTTCCCTGTTAAAGCTCTTCTCATGCTGCCTATAATTAGGGGTTTACATGATACTTCCTAATTGCTAATTAGGATGTGAATTCTCAGAATAAAAGGTACAGATCTTACTTACATTTGCATTAATACTTCTTGTTCCTTGCATATGTTCTGGAATTCAATTAATGTTTAATCAATCAATGCATATGTTATTAGCATAGTACAATACTATGCTTGTCCAGTATAAAACACACAAATTCACCTACCCAGAGAGAGGGAGGAATAGAGACAGTGGAGAAGTCCAACAGTTTGTGTTTTTTTATTGATCCTGCAATTTCTGCCATTAGAACTTCTTCAGGTTTTCTGCTTCTAGAAACTCCTGAGTAAACACCATTTGATTAGCTTGATGGGGATCAAAAGAACAACAACAATAAAAACAAAAACAAAAAAGAGCAAGGTGAAGTTGTCATGCTTTTTAGCCATGTGGAACCTTTCAATAGCTCTCTTAGATTTGTGGAATCCCTCTTCTTTGGGCTCTTGTCTCAGAAAGTAGAAGTCAGAACCTCACCTTCCCAATTTCTCTTGCTGCCATTGAGAGGTGACAGCGTGCTGGCAGTCCTCACAGCCCTCGCTTGCTCTCGGCGCCTCCTCTGCCTGGGCTCCCACTTTGGCGGCACTTGAGGAGCCCTTCAGCCCGCCGCTGCACTGTGGGAGTCCCTTTCCGGGCTGGCCAAGGCCGGAGCCGGCTCCCTCAGCTTGCTGGGAGGTGTGGAGGGAGAGGCGCGGGCGGGAACCCGGGCTGCGCGCGGTGCTTGAGGGCCAGCGCGAGTTCTGGGTGGGAGTGGGCTCGGAGGACCCTGCACTCGGAGCGACCGATCGGCCGGGGTAGTGAGGGGCTTAGCACCTGGGCCAGCAGTTGCTGTGCTCAATTTCTTGCCTGGCCTTAGCTGCCTTGCCTCGGGGCAGGGCTCCGGATCTGCAGCCCACCATGCCCGAGCCTCCCCCTACTCCGTGGGCTCCTGTGCGGCCCCAGCCTCCCAGACGAGGGCCGCCCCCTGCTCCAAGGCGCCCAGTCCCATGGACCACCCAAGGGCTGAGGAGTGCCCGCTGGTGGCACAGGACTGGCAGGCAGCTCCACCTGCAGCCCCTGGTGCGGGATCCGCTGGGTGAAACCAGCTGGGCTCCTGAGTCTGGTGGGGACGTGGAGAACCTTTATATCTAGCTAAGGGATTGTAAATACACGAATCGGCACTTTGTATCTAGCTCAAGGTTTGTAAACACAGCAATCAGCACCCTGTGTCTAGCTCAGGGTTTGTGAATACACCAATCGACACTCTGGATCTAGTTACTCTGGTGGGGACTTGGAGAACCTTTGTGTGGACACTCTGTATCTAGCTAATCTGGTAGGGAGGTGGAGAACCTTTGTGTCTAGCTCAGGGATTGTAAATACACCAATTGGCACTCTGTATCTAGCTCAAGGTTTGTAAACACACCAATCAGCACCCTGTGTCTCGCTCAGGGTTTGTGAATGCACCAATTGGCACTCTGTATCTAGCTAATCTGGTGGGGAGGTGGAGAACCTTTGTGTCTAGCTCAGGGATTATAAACGCACCAGTCAGCGCCCTGTCAAAACAGACCACTGTGCTCTACCAATCATTAAGATGTGGGTGGGGCCAGATAAGAGAATAAAAGCAGGTTGCCTGAGGCAGCACTGGCAACCCGCTGGGGTCTCCCTCCACACCGTGGAAGGTTTGTTCCTTCGCTCTTTGCAATAAATCTTGCTGCCCTCACTCTTTGGGTCCACACTGCCTTTATGAGCTGTAACACTCACCGCGAAGGTCTGCAGCTTCACTTCTGAAGCCAACGAGACCACGAACCCACTGGGAGGAACGAACATCTCCAGACGTGCCACCTTAAGAGCTGTAACACTCACCGCGAAGGTCCGCAGCTTCACTCGTGAGACCACGAACCCACCAGAAGAAAGAAACTCCGAACATCAGAAGGAACCAAGTCCGGACACGCCGCCTTTAAGAACTGTTAACACTCACCGCGAGGGTCCGGGGCTTCATTCTTGAAGTCAGTGAGACCAAGAACCCACCAATTCCGGACACACCATGGTACAAGGACTCTGCCAATCAGATGCAGTCATAAAACATGGACTCCACTCTGCTGAGCTTGAGGGAGGCAGCAGCGACAGGCATCCATGGGTGCCATCCTGGGGTGGCATTGTGGGGGGGCATTGGTGGTGCTATTGCCAGTGCCAGTGGCTGTCGGGTCTCTGGAACAGTCAAGCCTGTTCTTCTGAACCTGATTTTCTGGCCCTCCGAGATTCTATTAAATATCTAATATTTTTTAAATAAATTTCTTTTTTTCTTAAAGTAGCTAGAATTTTTAAAAAGAAGCCTGACTGAAAAACAGTATATAAAAAGACACGCGAAGAGCAAGAAAACTTTGATAAAAGAGAAGAAGAAAGAAAGGCAGAGAATTACTCTTAATCAGAAGACTAGGAACAATTGAATGTTTATACTAGATACGGATTAAACAAAGGTTTATTAAGCTCTTAGTACATAACATACATCGTGTGGGCACTTTCTCATTCATTTCCTTATTTCATGCTGTCTACAATTTTATGAGAAAGGTAGACTTATTATTTTTAAAAACAAGAGATTTAAGACCCTAAAAAGTTGTTGTGTTGAACGAACTAGGAATCAAATCCAGGTTTCTACTTTCAGTCTCATGGTCTCTGTGCTACACCAGAATGCCCTTCACTACAGTCTCAGCTAAGTACAATACTGAAAATTTTGCTGAATATTACATTTTAGTTTTAAGGCTTCTAGGCATTAAAATGAACAGAAGTAGGTAGTAGATACATGCTTGATAACTCTATCCAGGCCAGAAGGTCTTATGACAAAGAAGTATGATGCCATAACATTATTTCAGAACTTTGGTCAGATAACAGTAATTCAAGCCTTAAGTAGTTTCTTAATTTGTTTGAACACAAAAAACACCTGGCTGAAATTTCTGACCATCCTTAGAATTTGAAATAGTGCCAATCAATTTATTTTGTTTCATTTTTAGAAATATTCTTTGACAAGAACTCTGCATTCATTGAGAGCATAAAAGAGTTGATACTTCTCTCTGGCTGCTTAAGAAATAAAAGATAAGAAAACACACTGATTTTTGAAAATAGCCAACCTATATGGAGGCGAAATGTGTAAATTAAGGGAAAAAGAAATTGGCTGAGAACCTGCTACACAATGACATAACAAAGGTTTTCTTGTCTCTTCAAGATGTTTCCTAAGATTAATAAGATCAGTTTTACCTGGAAAGAAAAATAACACTTTAATTAATAACTATAAAAATTTAATGTTTATAAAACTGCTAATATAGGATTCATTAAATACAAATGAATATCAATGTATTGGGCATATCCAAGAGACTACTGGATAAATTGTTACATTATAGAAAACTTTTCAAACATAAGCTAGAGGGCAGCAACGTACCATTAAACAGTGTTGGCTCAGAATTCAGAGCAAAGCTGAATATTAAACATAAAAGTAATTGGATTTTCAATCTAGTTACTTTGAATAAATGAAAATTGAAAAAATGTATTAGAAATACTAACAGCAGAAAGGCATTCCCAATCACATGACTTGCATTTGAATATTTTTAGGTTAATAGATATTAAATACAGGCTCAATATCAGAGGGGGGGGGAAAGGAGTGTTGACAGGATACGATATTACCAATATTTAAGGGTACATTCAAGAGACGTAGAAATATGAAACCATAGAAACATTAGCTGCATTCTGTAATGCCTAAAATTAATCTAAATGTCTTAAATTTTGGATGACTCTACAATAGATTTGAAATAAATAAGTCTGAAAAGAACTAAAGAAGAAATCTTTAATAAACTATGAAAAAAAGAAAATCCAGTAATTTGTTACTTATTTGGAGGTTCATTAAAATGAATCACATTATAAGAGCTTCTACAATATCTACAAATTAAATAAATGCTACAAAGTGTCTTCTTTCTGTGATCACTAGAAAACATATATATCAATTCACTTTTTATGAGGTAAACAGAAATGATACTTCAGTGTTTGAAGTGAAAAAGGATTGTTAGATAATGAATTGTTGTTTAAGTTAGACACTAGGTAGCATTTTTATTCAATTTTTGAAATAATTGCTTTTGAGAGCCATTTGTATGTAAGTTACGAAGGGGAAGATACAAAACTGGACAATACATGTTTTTCTCCCACAAAGAGCTTTTAACTTTAAGTGAGAGAACAAATGTTTCTAAATGTCTATGGATGGAGGATAGAATTTATGTGGTGAGGAGAGAACAAAACAGCATAGAGGAGGATGCCATTGATCAAGCAATGCGAAGTCTTGGGCTGGATCACAGACTTCTTTGGCTCCAACTACCTTTCTCACTGGATGGCAAGGGTTATAAGGTCCCATGTCCCCAGCACTTGAAGAAGGAAAAGAAATGTGGCTAGCAAAGGGCAGATACAACTAACTCTAATAGTGCTGTGTCCCGTGGCCACACTTCCTTAATTCCCTGACAAAGAACAGGCGTCTTATCTCAGACTTAGCACTTTTCTTCCTTCTCTTAACTTTCAGTGCAAGGGGTGCCTCTCATTGTTGGCAGGATCCCACCCCTGTGGCCTTCTCATGCGAGTACCCAATCTCTACTGTATCTCCAGTATGTTCCTCTCCTGGTGTTTCTTTCCCATCAGAATTTAAGCACATTGACATGGTTGCAAGGTGCATAATGCACACGCGCGCGCACATACACACACACATACACACGGAAAAAAATCTATTAATCCGAAGTACCCTTCTCACTTCTGTCCTTGTCTTTAAAATCAAATTTATTGATTAAGTTACATGTCCTTGCTCTTTCTACTTCCTCTATTTACTCCTCATAGCTTCCCATCACTGCCCCCAAATATTTTCGTTTCTACCTCCACCAGTCCCCTTCAACTGTTCTCACCAAGGTTAATCATAACCTTCCACTTGTTAAATACAGGGGACATTTCTCATTCATGTTTTATGACGAGTAAACAGAATTTGAAATTGCTGACCTCTACCTCTTTGTCAAAATGGTTTTCTTTTGACTTGAAAGGCACTAGAGGTTCTAGATGTTCTTTCTCTGGCCACTTCTCAGCTTTTCAATGTCTTGTGAATTCCTCTTTTCTGCCTGAAATTCGATGTTGAATATTATTCAAGATCCTTCCATTCTTGGTCCTTTCTTCCCTCTAAAAATTGTCTCCACAACATCTTATTTATTATTACTATTATTTTCCATGGATTAAGACATTTATTTATTTATTTGTTTATTTATTTATTTTTGAGACACAGTCTCATTCTGTCACCCAGGCTGACACGATCTTGGCTCACTGCAATCTCTGCCTCCCAGGTTCAAATGAATCTCCTGCCTCAGTCTACCAAGTAGCTGGGATGGCAGGCACGCACCACCATGCCTGGCTAATTTTTGTATTTTTAGTAGAGACAGGGTTTCATCATGTTGGCCAGTCTGGTCTTGAACTCCTGGCCTCAAGTGATCCACCCGCCTCAGCCTCCCAAAGTGCTGGGATTACAGGCATGAGCCACTGTGCCTGGCCAAGACTCTTGGTTTAAAGTAATGGAAATCAAACTGAACCTGATTAAACAAAATAAGGAATTTTTTTGGTTGAGATAGAAGAGTGCCTCATGGACTCTAAGACCTTCAATGTGTCTAGGTGTTAGGAATGAATCTAACCTGAAACTGAAGCACTGTAGATAACCCAGGACATCTTTTCTATCTGTTCTTACCTCTGTTGTGTTTCTCCTCATGCCAGCATCATCCTTTCACTCCTGCTTTAGACTGGCTTTCTCTGTTTCTTTCTCGACATGATGGCAAATGGCTGCTGAAACAACTTCCCAAATTTACATCTTTTATGTTGAACAAGCAACCTGTTTGAAGCTAGTCTATTCTAGTCCAAACTCTAAATTCATTAGTTTAATGTGGGCAATGCACTGACTCCTCATCCAGTGAACTGTGGCCTGGAAGGGACATGTCACATTGTGTGAACATGGCTTTTCTCTCTATTATAACACGGATGGGTCAGGCAAAGGAAGTCCTGGTGGGATGGCATAAAAACCCAATGATGCTGACAGTAAAGCCTATACCTTCAATTTTTACTTATAAGCGAATGATTGTCAAGTTAGTTTCTCAAAGTGTACATCCACTCAAATGTCCCACAGGTATTTCAAAGTCAACACATCGGTGTTTAATTTATCACCTCTTCCTCACTCTGTTGGCCTAAAAATCTACATATTGGTTCTTTACTATTTTTAGAGTCTTCACTGGCCTCCCTCTAGAAGAAGTCCCTTCTCACACCTGGTAATTAGTCATCTGCTGCCGCCTATTGTTTCAGGCTAGGAGGGCTAGTGAGACATGCAGTCTCTTCTCTTCACATGGTGAGGGCATCCTCGAGTTCCCTCTCTTCTGCCATCTCAGTGCTACTTCAATTCTTTCTGGCACTGTAGGTGTTCTAGCCTCAGTTGTGTCCTTTATCCAATGATGGACCTAGGAGGCCCGCTTGGCAGCTTGCTTCAGCTACAGCTTCACATCATTCCACATACTGTGGCACACAGCAGGCCTGCTGTCTGTCTCTCAATGTTCTTGACACACGTTCTTGAAAAAGTATTCTAATTTTTAGAGCCACAATTCCCCCATCCATTAAATGAGCATGTCCTTTTTACCTATAACAACAAATCTGTTACACTAATTGTTTTCCTTTTTTTTTTTTACATAAAAATACTACATACAAAGTCAGATCCTATTGCTAAGAAGCTTCACAAATGTATTATATTAAGCTTCTTTGGACATCCCTCTTAAGATGTGACACTGAGTGATTGTATGATTTAACTACTCAACACTTCAACTGAAAACTATGCTATGGGTTAGATTAACAGAAGCCTAAAGCCAAGTGGAGAATAAAGAAATGTCTTGACTGAAATCTGCAAAGAGCATTTGAATTAGACCCTACATGTACTACAAATCCTCATGGCTTCTCTTCATAGAATGAAACAACAACCAAGAATTCAATTGGCAAGGCCACCTGCCTCATTGAAGCTCATGGAGAAGGTGGGATAGAATGGTTCCCCCGTTTCAGAAATACTTGATATTCATGCTCACGTTCCCAGTTAGAGAAGCCCTATGCTGCACAGTGACCTTATGGTTGCCAGAGCTGTTTCTCTGTCTCACTGGTATGAGAGAAAAGAATAGAATAGTGAAAAAAGTGAGGCAGTTTCAGGATTCACAGTGGTTACAGGATGCCCTGAAATAGCACTGTTCAAAGTGACTTAAACTGGGGTCCTTGTAGCAGCAGAAGCATTAGCTCTGAGCTTTTTAGAAATGCAAACTGACAGGCTCAGAAATGTGTATTTTCACAAGGGCTCTAGGCATATTCTCTGAATGCTTAAGTTTGAGAAGCACTGTTCTGCAAGATCAAGACCTGTCCAGTAGTTCACAGAGGTTTCCATAAGCCCTGAATCTGAGGGGAAAAAAAATCCACAGAGGTTTTTGCTGCTTTCAAGATGCCACTTCTATGCTTATAGTTTCGTGTGCCCTTGGAGCTAACATTTGCTATTCTAAACTGCTACAGAAGCCAAACAGCTGTTCTCATACCTAGAATATCTTCTTAATATCTGAGGAAGGCTTTTACATGCTTAAAAAAGTATGTTATCCACTGTGCTATTAGGTCCAATGTGATGACTATTAATCAAGATTGCAGCTAAGACAGTTAATACCTTCTTGACATGTGAATGATCTCATTTCACTTCATCACTTATTTCTTTTAGGAAGGAGAGAGATTCCATACAGAATAGTTTCTGATTGAATGGCTTCTGTCTTATATGGTTTGGGATATTTTTAAGAATATAATTTTGGCAGCACGTTTAACCTTTTTGAGCTATCTGATATTCCCAAGAGGGAAAATTCTTGCAATGTCAAGAGATCACATGGTTTTTGTTTGATACTAGTTGGAGTTATGCAACACCTCTTTATTCTTGTTAATAATAAGTGCAGATTTTCATAGGACAGAAACAGCTATTTCAGGATATGTACTTACAACAGGAAAGGACATTTTACACATTGCATTTGCCCACAGTACTGTAAAGAATTCTGAAATGCATTATTCACATCAGATTCACACACACACACACACACACACACACAGAGAGAGTAATGGGATAGAAGGAAATAATGTATTTATCTGTAATAGATCTAAATCTCTACAAAGAAACACAAACAACTGTACAACCTGAAAAAGTATAGTCACTAGGCTTATTGGGGAAGTTGAGTGTGGAGTCTTACATGGTGTAGTCTCTGGAATTAGACTATCTGAGTTTGAGGCTCAGCTCTACCACTTATTATCTCTTGAGTCTTTGGGTAGTTTTGTTGGAGGCTCAGCTCTACCACTTACTATCTCTTGAGTCTTTGGGTAGTTTTTTTTTTTTTTTTTTTAACCTTCTGTGCTCAGCTTCTGCATTGGTAAAATGAGGGTCGCAATAAAACTTCGAAAGTCAACGTGAGGATTAAATCAGTTAATGCATGCAGAACTACTAAAATAGTACCTGATATTTGTTAAGCATGCATTTAAATTAAAAAAAAATTTTTTTTGTTTGTTTTTTTAACTATTCCAGTTGGAGAAGGAAGCAGGAATTAAGTATTTGCAAATGACCTTCAGAATTTTTAATCTTTTGTGACGAGAGAAGACATGTATTTCTCTTTACCACGCCCACACAGTTTGAGACCTCTTTAGTTGGGGGCTACAGCTTAAAAAAAGGAATTCCCTTGGGGGCAGACATGCTGTGCGCGCTGGGGGGAGAGGAGGAAGCAAATGTGGGACTAGTTTCAGGCTTTTAATCTCAATGTGTTTTGGCCTCTTGGCTTGTTTCCTTCTCTCCATTCTCAATAATTCTCATTGCTTTGGATAGGATAAAGGAGCACTATTTTTTTTGAGTGTGTGTGATTTTTTAAAAATAATTTACTTCATTACTTTTAATAGACTGCCGAGGTATTTAGTTTTTGACTGACAGAAAATATAATGATATATCAGATTCAAGCAGTCCCTCAAACATCATTCTTCACAGTTAAATTCTATATACATTTAAGAAAAAGAGGACATTCAAAAATGAAACTTTCTGGAAGATATCTTACAGATTTGTATCTGTCTATAAAGTTCAAAAGAATCTTTCTAGCACACTAAATCACAATGTATTTCTTGAATAGAGAGGACTGAAATACAGGGTTATTCACTCATTTTCTTACTGCTAAGCACACATTTACAAGTTAGAGAAGAAATATGCAGAGTTAAGAAAAAGACAGATTTGAATACTTTATAAAAAGGACAAAACCCCAACATACATAAAAAAAGTTTGACACTGAGTTTCTTCTGAAAAGAGCTTATTTTATTAAATTTCAAGAAAAGTAAGCCTATTCTAATGAGTAACAGATTTATAATCTTTTAAACAATAACTCTTTCCCAATGAAAAATATCTATAAATTTAGGAAACATATTATAAATTAGTTATGGTATTTAGACCAATAAATAGCATAAAATTTTATACACTTTATGGCTTCTTTTATATAATTTTCAAATTTGACAATCTTCCCACAGTATACTTTTTTCCTGAATATTTAAAATATCACTCCTCAAATAATAATCTATTTTATGCTATCTTATTTAGTTTTGTAGTTCAAATAATGATGAATAGACTTTTCTAAATAGGAAATAAAATGTGGGCAAATGAAGATAGTCACTAGCAGTCTCAAAGTATTTATAAAATATAGTTAATCTTAAAGTGAATTAACACTAAAGATGATCACATTGTTATTTCCTCTCTCAGATTTGGGCATATTTGTACTATGAACTTTGTTATTAATAATTTCGCTATGGAAGGGCTTCTACTGAGAAATTCACAATGAATTAACAAAATTTCAAGTTTTATTACCATAGAGAGACATAATACAATCCTTTGGGATCCATATTAAATCAGAGTTTCACCGTAAAGTGACTCAGTTGGTTTGATGCTACTGCACAGTGAATAGGAGTCTCACAATAAAGCTACAGTATGAGCTTCTATATCGTACAGTAAATCCATAGTGTTTTACAACAGAATTACATGGTAAGCTTCTCTGTACTTTAAATCAATGTAGATTCACAATGGGTTTCACCTTTTAGCTTCTATGAATTGCATGGTAAATCTGAAGTCTTTATTCATTTTAAAACTGGATGGTTGCCATCACATTAGACAATAAAGCTAAAGGCAGACCATTTCTGATAAGAATGAAGTCCTATTAGCAAAACTTGCCTCAAAATAGCTAATGAATTTCTCAAGGAAAAAGGTAGTTACCTCTATTATGTCAAATGTTGGAATCACTTGGAGGGAAGAAGTAAAATCTTCTGGAAATGACAAGACAGTTTTTTGAACCACAAACTCATGAAGAAACTGAAAACTAAGAGAAGTATTTCTGTTGTTGGGAGGTAAGATGATGGTGGAAAAAAGGATTCAGCAAGAAAAACTTGCAAGAGGGAAGAGGATGGTATGCTGGTCAAACATTGAAAAATCCCATCCATGAATAGTAAAATCTATTCTTTCTTTCCAGAGATAGTTACTTGACTTCATGGTCTTCTTTTATTTCTTTTTTCTTTTTTCTTTTTTTTTTTGAGACGGAGTCTTGCTCTGTCGCCTAGGCTGGAGTGCAGTGGTGCAATCTTGGCTCACTGCAACCTCCGCCTCCTGGGTTCGAGCAATTCTCCTGCCTCAGCCTCTCGAGTAGCTGAGATTGCAGGTGGCTGCCACCACACCCAGCTAATTTTTGTATTTTTAGTAAAGATAAGGTTTCACCATAATGGCCATGCTGGTTTTGAACTCCTGATCCTCAAGTGATCTGCCCACCTCATCCTCCCAAAGTGCTAGGATTACAGGCGTAAGCCATCGCACCTGGCCCCATGGTCTTCTTTAATTAAAACAGTTTTGGGATGTAGAATTAAAGGGAAACAATTTTTTTTTTTTTTAGATGGAGTCTCAGTCCATCGCCAGGCTGGAGTGCGGTGGCACAATCTCAAGGGGAAACAATTTCTATAAAGATGTTTTACCTTGAAACGTTTTCTGCATTATGGAAAATGCCTGCATTTTAGTAGAGCATTGTTAATTTTCTATAGACTAAATTGAAGTAGGGTGAATTCAGGTGGTTTTAGTTTTTTAAAGGGGGAGGGAATTGTAAGTACCAAATTCAATTTTAAAGCAATTTTCTTTATAAAACAAACATGTGGATCTTTTAGACAATCCGAAGTTTGAAGTTTCCAAGTACATACAGAACTAAACGTTTTGGAGATGTGGAAGATACTAATTACGCCTTACCTTTCTTTTAAGTATGAAGAACCTAAGGTTTTGAAAACTGTATATGACTTCCTCAGGGCTCGTAGTTACTGACAGAGTTAAAACAATATCAGGATCAGCCTGGTACTTTTTTGTTGTTGTTGTTGTACAATGTCAGCTTCCCGCTATCCCATATTTAAATAGGATTTTGTGTGTGTGTGTGTGTGTGTGTGGTTACTGGAACTTGTAAAATATTTTTACCCTTGAATTTGCCCTTTTATGTGCATTTTGCTGTGTTTTATTTTATTATATTTATTTATTTTATTTTTTTGAGACGGAGCCTTTCTCTGTCGCCCAGGCTGGAGTGCAGTGGCGCGGTCTCGGCTAACTGCAAGCTCTGCCTCCCGGGTTCACGCCATTCTCCTGCCTCAGCCTCCCGAGTAGCTGGGACTACAGGGGCCTGCCATCATGCCCAGCTAATTTTTTGTATTTTTTAGTAGAGACGGGGTTTCACCGTATTAGCCAGATGCTCTCGATCTCCTGACCTCGTGATCCACCCGCCTCGGCCTCCCAAAATGCTGGGATTACAGGCGTGAGCCACCGTGCCTGGCCACATTTTGCTGTGTTTTAAAATCTTTTTTTTTTTTCCCTAGAGGAATTTTGAATCAAATTGTATTTTAGGTTCTAAACTTGTTTTCAAACTCATTTACAATTGACTCATAAAATTCTGAGCTTGCCCTGCTGGAGTTTGGGCCCATCCCATCCCCTGATTTAAATGGACTTAGATATAAACTGGAGGTCATTTTAAAATTTTCTCTACTTCCCCGTCACCAGTCAGAGTGTTGCTATTTTATTTCACGTTCTTATGACAGACACTGAGCAAAGCATCCCAACCCTTGAGGTGATTTAAGAGCACGCTGGACCAGATTCAAACACATTAGGGGAAAAAAAGGAGTGGAGGTAGATTTTAGATAAAAAGTATACTCAAACGTGTTCCAGAAAAAAATTCCAGCAGGTGTCAATGACTCATAGCCTTCCAGTCCTTTATCACCTCATTAGCTTTGATTGCCTGACCCTGGATGCTCACCCTGGCTTCCTGTTTTCTCTGAGGAATCTGAATCATCCCCCACTCAATTTAAAGTTTTACCAACAATGCCCTTTGGGAATTGGAATAGCAGAGAAATGCTGTGTATAAAATGTTGTATCTGTTTTTGACACCTTTACTGCTAAACGTCAATAATCTTTGAGATTTTAATTTTATCTTCTGTGTGTCCAGTCTTACACAGACAAAACAGGCAGTTATAGGGAGCCTAGAGTGCCTAACAATTCTGCCTGCCTTTCTTCCCATCACAGTTCTGAAATACACAAAGCGACAAAGTTTTAAGCAAAAATTTTCAATAGAGATTATATAACTCTCTGTGTGTGTGTGTTTGTGTCAGAATTTGTGCAAGCAAGTTAGAAATAGAGTATAACCTACATTTCTTTTAGTGAGTGAGAGGTAATGTTTACATTCAGCTTAAATAACTGTTGGATAAATAAATGAAATTAGGATACATTGTTCTTTCACATTTCAGTTTTCAACACTTAAATATTTTGATCCAGTGGAAGACAAGCCACCTAGAAGCTGCAAACCCAGTTCCCTGCTCCCTGTTGGAGCTATAGTCAAGATGGAGAGGGATGTTCACATGTCATCACATTCAGGGTGACAACTCTGCAACTCTAGCCCAGAGAGTGGAACACTGAAAAGAGAGAGGAGAACTGCAGGACAACCAACCAAAATAGACTGTAATGGTAGGTAGCTAGTCACACAGGAGCAGGGCAGGAGAGAGCCCCCTATCCCAAAGGAATGTCAGGTAACCATCAGGTGATGGTCAGGCAGTTGTTACACAGTCTCTCTAAAATAATAATTGGTTGCAGCAGCACCAGGGAAAGGCAGTCTTCCAATAGACAGAAACACCTGAAACTGGCGATCAGCAGCTTCCTGATAAGATCTCAGGAGTTGGGTGAGTGCGCGCAAGCATGTGCACTAAGACGCAAAAGAGCGGATGACCTTCCTTTAGGAACACTGGACTGGTAAGGAAAAAACACCTCAAGTGAGCATGTATACAATTCCAGTAAACACACTGCACATGCTCCCTCCCAAGTGCTAGCAGACCACTGCACATGTGGACAGCCCACTGCAAAGGAAGAATCAGGGGATAAGGAACACAAGACCCTGGAATCATGCTAATGTATAAAACCCTAAGTCAATGGTTAAACTGTACACTTACTCTCTCAAGTCGCCTGCTTGACCCTCTTCCAAGTGTACCTTACTTCCTTTTATTCCTGGTTTAAAGTTGTTTAATCAACTTTCACTCCTGCTCTAAAACTTGCCTCAGTCTCTCCTTCTGCCTTATGCTCCTCAGTCAAATTCATTCCTCTGAGGAGGCAAGAACTTAGGTTGCTGCAGACCTGTAGATTTGCTTCTGATAACAAAACTCGGACTGGTTATTTCCACCCTTAGAGATTCTCGATATTGGCTGCATATTGTAGTTACCTGGGGAGCTTTAAAAATACTTTAAAAATATCCCACCTCCAGACATCCTGATGTGATTGATCCGGGCCAGGGCCTGAACATCAGGATTTCAAAGATGTCAAAAGGTGATTCTAATATGCAGCCGAGTCATTCTTAAGCTTGGCCTTAATGAAGTATTAACTGTCAGTTCTGCTTTTGATTTATCCAGTGGTTCTCAAACCTGCCTGTGAATGAGAATCACCTTAGAAGGTTTCACAGAGATTTCCTAGGCTTCTTCCCAGTTCACCTAAACAGAATTACTTGAAGGAGGTGCCCCCAAAATTTGCATTTAAGAAAATACCTTTTCAATGATATTTTAGCAGCCAGACATTGAGAAACAGAATTATTTGTCTGCTCTGACAATTACTAAATTAATTTCTACTGGTTTATGTCTGTTGCACTCATAGGAACTTCAGTTGTTAGTACTACTCATAGCTGATAACGGGGAGGAGAGTGTGCAGGAAAGTGGAAGTTATGCTGGAAAATACCTTCCAAGAGTGAAGAAGAATAGGGGGAATATAAAAAAGGAAGAGAAAATTTTTGTGTAAATTCAGTACTATTTAGTAATAAACCTATCTTTTGACTTATGTAGAAATCAATCCAGTAACTTTCTAATGTTGCAGAAAGAGCTGGATTTGCATCCCAGAGATGCCAGTTACCAATATGTAAACTTGAGAGATCTGTGTTTCTAGCTATGAAATGGATATAGCACCACCTCTTCTCTGGGGTTGTTGTGAGATAACATATGGAATGTTCCTAGTACAATCTTCATGTGGCTGATAGTAAGAGGCAGCCATTATTTTCATAATATACATATTATAAAAATATATATGTATAAATGTGTATATATGTATTATACATTGACTGATAATACATATAGAGAGGATTATAAGGAGAGAAGGAAAATTAGGCAGAAGTATACCAACCCTGGAATAATCGTAAACCTTGTCATCCAATAAAGAAAAACAAAAATTTCAAGATTGTTTTTAATTTTAGTGTTTTTATTACATTGTTTTAAAAATGTAGTTGGTCTCAAAAATGCAATTTTATTTTGAAATATTTTCTTTAAAAAATCACTAGCGTCTTCTATCTAATTATCTAAAAACCTTTGCGATTATCACCAGTATTATAATCATCCACAGAATTATTATTTTTCCATCTTAGATATGCAAAAATAGCCCAAAATATCAATTTTGGCTTAATTATACTGTATTTTACTTTCTGTTTTCCAAAACCCTATACATCTCTCAAATTATAGGAAAATAAGTGAAATTTGACTCTGATATGTATTAACTATGGTATTTATTTGACATGATACGTCAATTTTAATATATTTAGGTCTCTGAACAGTCCATGTGAACAGCAGACTGGCTGTATTTCTATGATTATAAACAGCAAAAAGACTTAAAATATCTCCTGATCTGTCAATAGAAAATAATCTCATCTACTATCTTCATTGCCTAGTTTCAGATAGAGGAAAGAGAGGGATAGAGAAAGAGAGAAAGAGCAAGGAAGGTATGCTACTGCAGACGTATCACTTAATGATGGGAATACAGTTGGAGAAATTATTTGTTAGGTGATTTTATCATTGTGTAAGTATTTACATAAACCTAGGTCATATAGCCTACTACACACCTAGGGGGTATATACCAATATAGTTGGTATTCAACCAGGATCTTGTGAATATATGGTTGGGTGTATATACCAATATAGCTATGTGGCAAAGCCATACACTTTGTTACCGTACTGAATACTGTTGCCAATTTTAATGTGCTGGTAAGTATTTGTGTATCTAAACAAAAAAAAAAGTACAGTAAAAATAAGATATTATAATCTTATGGGACCATTGCCAGAATTGCCTTTATATGGCACATGACTGTATAACAGAATTTCCTCCTTTCTTAGTATGACTCCCAACACACAATACCTCCAAGACTTGCAATTCATACTACAACTATCCCTTTTTACAAAATATACACTAGTGACCTATTTTTTAAAGCATCATTAGTTACTACCACAGGCCTAGAAATGCACAGAAGAGGCCGGGCGCGGTGGCTCACTCCTGTAATCCCAGCACTTTGGGAGGCTGAGGCTAGCAGATCACCTGAGGTCGGGAGTTCGAGACCAGCCTGACCAACATGGAGAAACCCTGTGTCTACTAAAAATACAAAAAATTAGCAGGGCGTGGTGGCACATGCCTGTAATCTCAGCTACTCTGGAGGCTGAGGCAGGAGAATCGCTTGAACCTGGGAGGCGAAGGTTGTGGTGAGCCAAGATCATGCCATTGCACTCTAGCCTGGGCAACAAGAGTGAAACTCTGCCTCGGAAGAAAAAATAAATAAATAAATAAATAAATAAATAAATAAATAAATAAATAAAAGGAACGCACAGCAGAAGAGTTCATAAGGGAAAGAAGACCACCAAGGCCTCAGTGGTAATAGGGATGTGAGAACCACAGGCCTATGTTCTCTAGGTGAGTAACTCCAGGGGGATAAAGAACAGAAGCAGTGAATTTCATAAAATAACTTAAAATAATTTTCATAAAATAACTTACGGTGTGAGGACTTCAAGCTTTAAGCCACACTGCAAAACAAACATAAGAAATTAACTGGTTTTAAAGATAAGAGGAGAAAAGAAGACTCCAAGTTGACTTCAATAATAAAGGTCATTTATAGTGTTGTGTAACATTATAATGTTTGATATAGTTTCAGTGTAAGTTCCTGCCAAATCTCATGTTGAATTATAATCTCCAGTATTGGAGGTGGGGCCTGGCAGGAGGTGTTTGAATCATAGGGCAGATCTCTCATGAATGGTTTGAGTGATAAATCACTTGGCAATAAGTGAGCTCTCTGAGTTCACATGAGATCTGGTGGCTTAAAGTGTATGGCACCTCCTCCCCCACTCTCTCTCATCTGCTCCTGCTTTTGCCATGTGATGTGTCTTCTCCACCTTCCCCTTCTGCCATGATTAAAGGCTCTCTGAGGCTTTACCAGAAGCCAAGCAGATGTTAACACCATGCTTCCTGTAAAGCCTGAAGAACCATGAGCCAATTAAAACTCTTGTCTTTATAAATTACCCAGTCTTAGGTATTTCTTTTTTTTTTTTTTTTTTGAGACGGCGTCTCGCTCTGTCGCCCAGGCTGGAGTGCAATGACGTGATCTCAGTTCACTGCAACTTCCGCCTCCCGGGTTCAAGAGATTCTCCCGCCTCAGCCTCCTGAGTAGCTGGGACCACAAGCGCCCGCCACCGCGCCCAGCGAATTTTTATGTTTTTAGTAGAGACGGGGTTTCACCATGTTGGCCAGGAAAGTATTTTTTACAGCACTGCAAGAATGGCCTAATACAATGTTGATGGCGAATAGCTTATTAAAAGTAGTTTGTATTTTATTAGCATTGTAGACTAATTAGCTTCAATGTGTGGTTCATTCTCTAATGACTCTCACAGTATTTCTGAATGACAACCAGGGTGGAATGGACCAGAGCAATTATGCATTAGGATATGCTAAGAATGCTAGGCATTTTTCACAATAGCCAAGTAGCATTTGTTGGGTGGGAGATTACTATGCCTTCCATTATTTGTGCAAAAGAATATAGCTCTGAGATTGGACTCACATCATAAACAAAAGGACAGATTCTTCCAGGCTGGAGGATTTAGGTCTTTACAGTGCATGTGCTCTCCAAAGAATTTTTCAGTCAGAATAACGAGTAATCTAAGAGCCTAGTAACAGTTGAGGCCTCCCAGGGCAGCGTACACCTGGTCATTTTTGATAGGGAAGTAACTTAGGTAACCAATGCCCGAGTCTTGTCCTGTGTTTCCTATTTTGGATCTTGGATGCCAAAATAAGTGCATGCCTCCTTATAAGTTTTCTTGTGTTTGTGCAGTGACATCTTATACACATATGTTTTCTCACTGTTAATATATCCACAAATAATATGGATATTAATCCTTCTTAAATACAGATTAATCTTTTTGAAGTATAGTTCAGATACTGTCACATCCTGAACAAGAACAACCATGACTCACAGCTGCCTATAGCACAATATTTACATTCCTTCACATTTAATTCAGTGTGCATTTTCCTTGAAGACACCATAGCCCAGCAAAATGCAACTATTTAAAGTCCTGTTTTCAATTGGCATTTCTCACCTCTGTACCTGCTTTTGCTCTTGGTATTCCTTTCACTTGAACTATGCTTTATCCACATCTCTATCTGTCCAGATCTTCTGTCCTTCTAAAGCTAGCTACAATGTTTTCGTCACCATTCTATCCTTTAGTCCTTTCATGCACACATTCCATTTAAAGTGTGTGTGTGTGTGTGTGTGTGTGTGTGTGTTTTCTTGGAATTTCTGGTCTAGCTTGCACATTAGGAGGAGATTTTGTGAATATCACAAACTCAACCAGGATCTTGTGAATAATCGATGTAACATCCTAAGTCAGACTCAAATCAGTGAACATTTTCTCACATCTAACATAGACAATTTCCATGTCAATGTTACAATGTCTTCTTCAAAGTCTTATTAGTTCAGCACCCTTGCCATATGCTGAAATAGAAAATTTCTAATTTTGGTTTTGATGAGGTCCATTATTAAGAGACCCAGAGGGAGATGCAGTCGGAGGAAACTTGATATTTCTCTTCAGGTATTTCATCTAGTGCACTTACTGTTTAATGTCTTGTCTTAGTATATTTGCACTTGCTAAGTTTCTAGTACAAGATCCTGCTAAGATCTAGTACAGTAAGGCTTTGGTGAACGCCTGAAATCTTTGCCTGAAGTATTCTGATTATTTTTTATTTTCCTCATGTCCAGTCTATAAATCTAAGGAAAACGAGAAACCTGCAGAACAAATAGGATAAGGGCAATGAAAGCATTTCTAACTACCGAACTACACCCTAATTACAAGCTGTAGAATATTTTAAAACAAAACAGGATGGAGATAGTCTTTCATTGTCTCAGAAAATAAAATGTAAGATATTAGAGAAGGTGTTATTTATGCTAAAAACTTAGAACTAGAAACCACAGAAGGAGCTGAGATAGGTTGGTCAAGGCAAAGGACCAGCCTGACCAACATGGAGAAACCTCCTCTCTGCTAAAAATACAAAGTTAGCCGAGCGTGGTGGCACATGCCTGTAATCCCAGCTACTCGGGAAGCTGAGGCAGGAGAATCACTTGAACCCGCGAGGCGGAGGTTGCAGTGAGCCGAGATTGCGCCATTGTACTCCAGCCTGGGCAACAAGAGAGAAACTCTGTCTCAAAAACAAACAAACAAACACAAACTCTGCATGTTTAGCTGCATGACCAGACCGATCCTAGTTCACTCATTGAGTGTTCTCGTTTAAAAACCTATCAAACAGACAGTAAGTGAGCTCCTTGAGAACAAGTTCCATATTTTATTCCTCTTTACTATTCCTTCAATATGATGCTTTGTATAGCATAAGTACTTGAGAAATAATTATTTAATTAAAGAAATAAAACTGATATCGCTGTGTGTTATGTGAAAATGTTTACAGTTTTGAGCTTGAGTGTCAGCTTGGTCATGTACTAACTTTATGATACGAGTAAATCATTTAACTTCTCAAGTTTTTAATTTAACCATCTGTAAAAATAAGTTAGTAATGATATCAAATTTACAGTTTTATTGCAAGGATCAATGAGTATGCTTAAAAATTTCTATCCTGTTTGTATTCATTTATTCAACATGCAGCTAATGAATGCCTGCTCTGTCCCGGGCAGAGTTCTATGATATTTTGGGGTATGTCAGTAAACAGAATAGATAAAAAACTCTTGCTATCATAGAACTTATGTTATAGTTAGGAAGAAACAATTTAAAAATCAATCAATCAATCAGCCAACCAATCAATCAATTGCATAGAATGTTAGAAGGCCACAAGTGCCCTGGAAAGAAGAAAAAGATCAGGGAGAGAGGATGGAAATCACAGGGTGTGACCCAGGGGCCATACTACAGTATTGAATTGAGTATTCAGAGCAGGCTGTGAAGGTGATTTAAGCAATGTTTGAAAGAGGTGAGGGAGTTAGTTAAGCAGGTATCAAGGAGAAAGGCTTCTGGGGTAGGCCAATATCCTTAGGTAGAAGGATTTGTCTGGAGGATTTCAGGGGAGGCTACAGGTGGGTGAGTGGGCAGAGAAAGGAGTTGGAGATTACAGTCAGAGAAGTAAGGATGGGAGTAAGCAGTGGTAGACATTTAGGGCCTAGTAGGGTCTTGTCAATATTTTTGGTTTTCCTTTGGGTCAAACTGGGTACCGTTGCAGAGGTTGAGCAAAAATGATATGACCTGCCTTTTGTTTTACTCATGTTTAGTGTGTGGAACACAGTGGACACCCAGTATACCTCTGGCAATGCTTGTGAATTAAAATTCATATTTTTGATGATTACTCATGATTTTCTTCGATCACAGTAGCATCTACAGCATGCTAAAATGGTCGACAAAATAAAACAAACAAGGAAATTTCCGTCGGCCTATTGCCAGTTGTCTAGGTTGACAGAAGATTATTAATAATGTATTTGAATTTTTATTTTCCAAAGAGTTAGATCTTAGAAAGTGAACAAATTCCAACTTATAAAAAAGTCAGTATGAAATTCCTATCTTTTCTTCTTAAGTGCTCTGGAAACATGACAAATTTTGGGATAATTTAAAGTAATTCAGTTTTCTTAAACATTATACCACTTTTCTACTAAGAGGGATTTTTCTGACTTATGCCTGGTAGAAGTGTTGAGCGAGAACTTCACCCTCTAGTGACTGAGCTGCTTTCACTGATTTCAGTCTGGTTATTGTCCTATTTGGGGTTTAGTTAGTTGCACTGCTTTTCCCTTTTCCTCAGACCCTTATCCAGGTCTCTCTCTTACTCATGCTGCTATGCTGCTTGGCACTACCAGAACTTTAGAACTTGCACAGAATGCCTAATTTTCTTCTTTTCCAACTTGCCACTACTTTCTTCCAGAAATTCCCTTGCTTCTAATCAGAAGAAACAATTTAAGACATCCTTTTCTTACTTTCAAAGAGTCCTGAGGGCACAGTCACAACAACTCTACTAGTTACGATTTAATTAAATGACATTCTTTGCTCAACAAATTACTACATCCACACACATTTATTCTTCAAATTATCTCAGAAGGAAAAAAATTCTCACAAATTTGGCAAATGCTCATAAAACAAATGTTTGAATTCCCTTACCTTTAAAATCATTTCATGCAATTTATTGACAGATATTTGGTCCATAAAATGACAATACTTTCTAAAATTTATTATGTGCCATTCAAACATATTGATGATGCATTTGATACAGTAAAAATAGTTCATTTTTCTCAGTTTTCGATATAGCTATCATCTTATTATATCTCCATAATTTGTTTCAAAGATTTAAAATACTAGTAAGTGATTTTTTTAATACCCTGCTGTACACTGAGGTAGACAGAATAATGGTCTCCCAAGGATGCCCATGTCCTAATCCCTGGAACCTGTGACTATGTTCCTTACATGACAAAAGGGACTTTGAAATGTTATTTGGTTAGGGATTTGAGATAGTGAGAGCATACTGAATTATCTGGATGGATGTAATGTATCATAATTATAAATGTCCTTTTAAGAAGGAGGCTAGATAAGTAGGTAACAGAAAGAAGGTCCCAGGGTAGGCCAAAGAGGGTCAAAGTTAGAGAAGCTGATGTGGCAAGAGCAGAGGCTGGAGTGATATGGCCACGAGTCAAGGAATGGTGGCAGCCTCCAGGATATGTAAGAGGCAAAGCAGGTTCTCGCTAAGAGCCTCCAGGAGGATTTTGTTGGAACCTGAGGACACCTTGATTTTGGCTCAAGGAGACTGATTTTGGACTTCCCATCCCCAGACCTCTAAAGTAATAAATTTTGTTTTAAGCCACCAAATTTGTGGTACTTAACAGCTGCAATAGAAAACAAATAAAGCATGTCTATGTGATGAAAACAAATCCACATTTTAAAAAGTTGATAACAAACAGGTTTATGTAGTCAATATATTTGTTGGTACAAAAATGCAGAGTAAGAAATAGGATTCACTTTTATTTTTATGTAATTCATTATAGATGCAAAACTGAAGCCAAAGAGTGTCTCATAAGTTTTTTTTTTTAATTTTTTTTTATTTTAGTTATTTATTTTTTTTTAGACAGAGTCTCACTCTGTCGCCTAGGCTGGAGTGCAGTGGTGCGATCTCGCCTCACTGTAAGCTCCGCCTCCCGGGTTCACGCCATTCTCCTGCCTCAGCCTCCCGAGTAGCTGGGACTACAGGCGCCCGCCACAACCCCGGGCTAATTTTTTGTATTTGTAGTAGAGACGAGGTTTCACCGTGTTAGCCAGGATGGTCTGGATCTCTGACCTTGTGATCCACCCGTCTCGGCCTCCCAAAGTGTTGGGATTACAGGCGTGAGCCACCGCCCCCGGCCCATAATATCTTTTTGAATACATGATTAGAGGCATAACCAACAGTTCAGCAATTTATGAGATTATCCTGGAGCTAATGTGTTTGAATGAGATGTCAGAGACAGTTGTAGTTAAAATTGGGAAGAAACAAACCTCATTGTTGATTGTTGCCCATCACTACCCCTTTCTGGGGTCTTTCATCACTAGTGTCACCTCCTCCATCTGATTCCTACTTCTGCTCTATGGTAAAGTGAAAAATCTGATAAACTGTTACTGCATTATTATGCTTAGTTTAATTTGTTGAATATAATCAGAGGTATTTATATTTTTGAATAGGTATTTATATATTTTGAAGAAATCCAAAGGAAGAAAACACTGATGGGAAGAACTTTTTTTTTTTTTTAGGTGGAGTTTCGCTCTGTTGCACAGGCTGGAGTGCAGTGGCGTGATCTCGGCTCACTGCGAGCTCTGCCTCCCGGGTTCAAGGCGATTCTCTTGCCTCAGCCTCCTGAGTAGCTGGGACTACAGGCTTCCGTCACCACCGCCGGCTAATTTTTTTTTGTATTTTTAGTAGAGACGGGGTTTCACCGTGTTAGCCAGGATGGTCTCCATCTCCTGACCTCGTGATCCGCCCGCCTCGGCCTCCCAAAGTGCTGGGATTACAGGCGTGAGCCACTGAGCCGGGCCACCGTCAGGAAGATTTTAAGTATCATGAAATGTAAGAGAAACTGGGCAGGGCTAGAAGGCGTGATGGGGGTTCTCAAATTTCAGCATATTGTGGTATGTTACCATACTGTGCATAGTGCAGAAATTTCAACCTAATTGATTTTGAATTTTTAAAACTTTACAATAATAATTTTTGCTCAGTGTAAAAAATTTTGAAAGTATAAATACAATAAAGTGTAATATTACTATAATATGAAGCCATATTAGCAATCACTAATAATACTGTTGGGTACTTCTTTCTGACATTATTTCAGGTTTTTTTTTAAAAAAATTACACTTTACATTTTTCATCTTTTTTCACTTAACATTATGTCATGAGAATTTTTGTTGAAATTTTGTTGATTAATAACATTGTGTTTCTTTGATTTCTTTTGAAAATTAATTATTTTAATAGTTTATTTGAACTTTTGTGACTTTCTGTTCATTATTAGCGTTAGGAGAGAGCAGGATTTTTTTTTGTCACTTAAAATCATCTTACATAGTAAGAACACTAATCATGTATCTATTGTAATTATTGTTTAAATAATATTAAATGTTTTCCCAGTCTCTTATATGTCTTTTATTTCTATTTTAATGGGCTTTGCTATTTTGATATTCAAATTTTATGCAATTCAATCCATCAATCTTTTCTGTTGAAATTTCCTTTATTATTTTTAATCTTAGAAAGTTCCTCCCTCAAGATATTTATATTTTATATATAGATTATTATATTTAATATGATATTATTTTAAATTTTAAAATAATGTCTAAATATGATATTTTAGATTTTAGATTCATTTGTATTTTCTTATGAATTTTAAATCTGGATTTTAAATTACTGGTTTTACTGATTTATTTAATATTAGTTTGAGCTCACTTAGACCTCTTAGGATTTATTTGGAAGTGTGTTGGGAGATAATGCTCTATGGGTCTTTCATGATTTGGCACAATTTATGTTGAAAGGCACTAATTTTTCTTTGTTTCACCCTCTCTTTTCAAGGATATTGGTCTAGCAAGCCGGCTTGGAAGATAGGCATAGTGTCTCCCTTCAGAGCAAAGGGCAGGCATGCTTACTGAACATTATAAAATATTCGGATTTCCTGAACTTAGGGTTCCTCTTTTGTACTGCAACTCACATACATGCAGATATCAATCTGGGCCCATTTCATCCCCACTCTTGGACCTGGCGGCAATAAACACTGATGCAAGTATGCTTGGGCTCAGAAGAGCTGAGGGCAATAAAATTCTTTATCTCTAACATAGCATACATGAAACTGGCATACTAACTTACTGGCTTTCGAGTAGTGAATAATCTTAGACATTTTGCTATTCTTGACAAGTAAACTATTTAACTTTAAATAACAGCTGATAAAATACTTGCTCATTAAGCAGGTCTATATCATCATTTTATTATATTTTCTACATGTATTTTAAAATATCCAAGGCATGTGTCTTGGTCAGTTTTGTGCAGCTATAACAGAATACCTGAGAGTGGTTAATTTATTGGCTTATTGTTCTGGAGGCCGGGAAGTCCAACATTGAGAGGCTGGCATCTCGTGATGACCTTTCTGCTGTATCATCTCATGGTGGAAGGGCAAAAGAGGATGAGAGAGTAAGAAAGGGCAGAACTCATTATTTTATAAGGAACCTACTCCCTTGATAATAAACTCATTTTTGAGATTAATTCATTGCATTAATTCATTCCTGAGGGCATTGCCTCCATGACAAACATCGCTTATTAGGCCCCACCTCTCAACAACACTTCATAGAGAACAAGTTTCCAACACATGAACTTTTGGGGACACATTCAAACCATAGTAGCATGGTTTGTATCTTTAGTGCTACAATAGTGTGAATGTTGTATTAAAAGAAATAAGGGACTTTTCTCCAATAGTTGGGTCTTTAAAATGAGTTAGTATTTTGAGATTCATTTGATTGCATTTATAAAAAATTTATTAATGAAAATCAGTGTTTCACAGTTTTGAGACTTATTCTCACTTTAAATTGCTTGGCTAAGCAATAGGTCATACTTAATCAGGGAAGCTAAACTAATATTTTTTGGATAATGAACCAAAAGCATAAAAAATTCATATAGGAGATCATGCATCAGATATTTGCAGATGAAGAAAAAATTAATAAATATTTAGAACCCCACAAATTAATATAACACACCACAGTCTTCCATGCTAGTGCATATATATAGTTTTATATATATATAATGTATGTATAATATATATGTACATTCAATACCAACACAGAAATTATGCTATGATATAAAACAATAGAAAGAAACTGCAAATTTCAACTGATCTTTTTAATATTAAGTGCAAACAAATGCTACTTGAATATTTTTTCAGTATTAAAAAAGGTGAAAATAACTATTTTGTTGTTATTATGTTTAGAAACATCTGGTCATTCTCTTTTTTTTAATAAGGAAATACAAAAAAAATACAAAATGTAATTTTAACTGTCAGTTTCTGCTGCAGTAACATAATTTCAATACTCCTGTGGCTTAAAACAATACTTTTGTTTGTTATTATTCACATTACATGTGGGCTTGGGCTAACTATGGGTTGTACTGAGCTGGAATCAGGTCTAGGTTGTAGGTCAGGTTTGTGTATCTTCCAAAATATTTTCATTTTATGACTCAGAAGGAAGGAACAGCTTCTATTGGAGACAGTTCTTTTTCCTGTTAGAAGGCATATATGAAAGAAAGACCAAGCCAAATACTGCAATAGCATGGGAAGCTTCTGCGCAGATATGTTCAATATTATGTCCACTCACATCTTACTGGCCAAAGGCTGTCGCATGACAAGCCCCAGATCTGTAGGCTGGGGAACTAAACTAGGCATGGCTAAATTGGCAAGAGAGCAAATAATTATGAGCAAATAAAATCTACTGCAGGAAAGCGTTCATGGTGCATGGAATAAAGATAGTAAAACTCTTAGCTAAAAATTGTGTAACAATTGATTGGACTAACAGTACACTGATTAACTTTGAGCATCAAAGGTCACTGTCCTCTTTTCTCACCTACATTACCATATTTCTGTCATATTAATCTCACTGTTACTCTCTTCATGAAATGTCTCCTAAAAAATTTCTCAGAAAAACAATCAGATTTTGCATTGCTTTATACTATGGATAGTTTAATGCAGATAAGAACTATATTTATATTGTGCCACTATTTGAATTATATTGAGATTTTTAATCCTCTTTCCAAAACACGTGCAAGGCATTTGTAGAAATCAATCAGTCTATTTGGAGAGCAGGGTTTTTGCGGATCATGGAAAAGTTAGGTTGGAAAAATGGGTCTGAGCCTGATTGTGCAGGCTTTTTAGTATTAGTTTAGCTATTAATTTGCAAATAGCAAAACTAAAATAATCCCATTTCATCCTCATTCTAATAGTTTACTGGGTTTTAATTCAGAAAGTGAAATAAAAGTTAACCTAGCCAAAAGCCTTTTCTGTTATTCAAATCCTACCGTATTCCTTTCTCAAGGCTCTGTTAAAATTCTACCTAGATCATGAAAGCTGCCTCCAGGCCTCAGTCATCTCTTTATTATTTTATTTTATTATATTATTATTATTTTTCGAGACGGAGTCTTGCTCTTTCGCCCAGGCTGGAATGCAGGGGCGCGATCTCGGCTCACTGCGAGCTCCGCCTCCCGTGTTCACGCCATTCTCCTGCCTCAGTCTCCCAAGTAGCTGGGACTACAGGCGCCTGCCACCACGCCCAGCTAATTTTTTTGTATTTTTAGTAGAAACGGGGTTTCACCGCGTTAGCCAGGGTGGTCACGATCTCCTGACCTCGCGATCCCCCTGCCTCGGCCTCCCATAGTGCTGGGATTACAGGCGTGAGCCACCATGCCGGGCCCCAATCTCTTTATTTTTCTAGAATCCAAGACATTAGGCTTTTTAGTCCAAAAATTATGCTTTAGTCATTAAATGGATAAAAGAAAAACAGTTTGAAAGGCTAAGAAAAATTATGAAGTTATGTGTCTGAAGCCATGCTTGACCTTCGGTTCACCTACTCTGAGTACATTTAGGAAAAAAAAATTTCCATTTTAACTTGCTCATTGTTTTGGATGCCAATATTTTAGTAGTTTCACCAAAATATTAGGTGACATAATTATATTTATTTATATATGTTTATATATATTTCATATGTGTGTGATGTATACATATATATACACATGAAATATATGCTATATACACACACATATGCCATATATGTAATGTATACAAATATATGGCATATATACAAACATGTTATATATTAATTTCATTTGGAATGGTAAAGGGGAGTTATGAAATATTTACAAAATACGTCATTGAATCTGATAAGGCTGGATACTATCGTACTAAAAATGGCACATTTGTACATAGGGGGATAAATTTAGAAACATCATTGTGGCATCAAGATCGAGGATGGGCTGCAAGATACTGAGACCTGAGACAAAAAGCAAAAATAATGAGAGCCTGAGGTAGGTAACTTTTATACATTTTAGAAATTGAAAATCATGTAAAGTTTTATTTGAAAGGAATGCCACTGCTAAGAAGGTTGAAAATCGTATTTAAAAATAAGTTTTAACAAATGGTTAAAGTTTCTAAGAAAATTTTAAAAAGTAGAAAAATGAAAAAAGTCATTTATGATACCTCACACCTGGTAAACTTTTACTATAAATATTTTTGTTAAATTTCATTTCTGTAAAATGTGTAGGCATTTAACACTATCTTCAGAAATGACTTTTGAAGTAAGATACATACCTCCACGTGGCGCCTCCTCCAACAAAATCAAATGAAGCAGAAGATTCTAATATAAAGCATAAAGTCTTCCCATCCCCTGTCCCAATGCCTAGAGACAATTACTTTTTACTGTTTTTATTCTTGTTGACAGGATAGCATCAAATATTTTTAATTCCAATTGATACGGGATCTCTTGGTCTATTCACCACATAATGGAAGTGTGTATGTGTGTGTAGGTAAAATTGACATACAATAAATTACACATTTTTGAAAGTACAATTTGATGTTTTCATATATGAGTAGAGCCATGAAACTACCACCACAACCAAGATGAACAATTTCATCACCCAGGAACTTTTCTTTTTCATCTCTTTTCCCTCCCTTCCTGCTCTTCCTCATCCTGTACCTCTCCTTAAGCAATCATTGATCTGCTTTCTGTTGCTATAGGTTAATTTACACTTTCTAGAATTTTATATTAATGGAATCACACAGTGTGCACTCTTTTTATTTGCCTTCTTTCATTCAGCATAATTATTTTGATATTTAACAGATTGCTGTGTATACCAATAGTGGATTCCTTGTTATTGCTCGGGAGTGTTTTGTAGTCTGGATAGCCTACAATTTATTTATCCACTTACTTACTAACGGACATTTAGGTTATATAAAGTTTTTGGCTATTACTTATAAAACAGCTATGAAAATTTGTAGTTAATTCTTTGTATAGATGTGTGCTGATTTAATTTCTCTTTTATAAATAGGAGTGGAAGGGTTGTGTTATAAGAAAAATGTATATGTGCATGTACATGCACAGAAAATATCTAGAAGGATACACATCAGATGGTTTATGGAGCTATAGCTAGCAACAAGAAGTGTAAGGAAAGGAAAAAAGGGGGCTTAGACTATGCTTTTTGTTGTTGTTGTTGAGACGGAGTCTCGCTCTGTCGCCCAGGCTGGAGTGCAGTGGCGCAATCTCAGCTCACTGCAAGCCCCGCCTCCCGCGTTCACGGCCATTCTCCTGCCTCAGCCTCCCGAGTAGCTGGGACTACAGGCGCCTGCCACCACGCCCGGCTGATTTTTTGTATTTTTAGTAGAGACGGGGTTTTACCGTGTTAGCCAGGATGGTCTCCATCTCCTGACCTCATTATCTGCCCGCCTCGGCCCTCCAAAGTTCTGGGATTACAGGCGTGAGCCACCGCACCTGGCCTATTTTTTGTTGTTATCTATATTGTTTGAAATGTTTAAGATAATATGTTCATGTATTTCTTTTGGAAAAAATTTTCCCAATATTATTGAATTCTTGTAGAAAAAAATAACTTTTTAATGCAAGACTGAAATTTCTAGTCTTCAGCTCCTTTCCCCTGCATTGAGGTAGCTCTTTAAATTACAAGATTTTAGACAGGATTTTTAATTAAGTTGAGATTTCATAAGAAAACATTTTTAGTGTTAGAGCAGAATGAGCTTCCAGGTTTTGCATATGTAATTTTCTGTATGTGTGTATGTACATGCATATGTATGTGGATTGGAATGCAATTAAAAATTTTTTTTCAAGCATAATTTAGGGAAATCAGTCTGCAAAGATAGAAGCTTGAAGAGCACACTTGCTGTTTAGAGGAATAAGGATAACCCATGTATTTATCTTTAAATTATGCTCATCTCATTAAATTAAACTGCTTTATACATGCCAATAAAATGTCAGGTATGGCTAAAATAAGATAGGACAGATAGAGGAAATAGTCCTATTTTCAAATTGTACACCTGTTTTAATTGGAGAAGGAAAGGACTTTTCAATTATTTAAAGAAAACCTCTGAAAATAGGGATTCACAGCATGGTAGTCATTGAGCATAAATTCTCAAAAAGCCACAGCTCATTCTGACCACCAAGCCTTCTAAAAGCAAAGTGCAAGTAAATGTAACTATAACATATTTCTAGAGCAATTTCCTAGAGGCAGTGGGATATGAGTCTGGGGGGTTTCACTGTTAGTTCTTTTACTTAGTTTGTGACCACTTAATATTAGTTTTATTTTTTAAAGAAGGGATAAATAATAAATTCTGATGGGTCATGAGAATTGTATGCATACAATAACAAGACAAGAACAGAAAACCAAACACTGCATGTTCACACTTATAAGTGGGAGCTGAACAGTGAGAACATATGGACACAGGGAGGGGAACAATACACACTGGGGCCTGTAGGGGGATGTAGGCAGAGGGAGAGCATCAGGATAAATAGTTAATACTGCTGGGCTTAATACCTAGGTGATGGGTTGATAGGTACAGCAAACCACCA
Source organism: Homo sapiens (assembly GCF_000001405.40). Classification (NCBI taxonomy): domain Eukaryota; kingdom Metazoa; phylum Chordata; class Mammalia; order Primates; family Hominidae; genus Homo; species Homo sapiens. Next base: position 63,246,016 of record NC_000006.12, on the reverse strand, counting down.
TGGCACACGTTTACTTATGTAACAAACTTGCAGGTGTCCTGCATGTGTATCCTGGAACTTAAAATAAAATAAAATAATCTCTCTCTCTATATATAAAATAAGTTAAATGAGAAAAAATACATAAAGTATATCTAATGCTTAACATCATAAATAACAGCAAATATTTAGGATTGCCAGATTTCCTGAACTTAAAGTAATCACAAGTATTTCTGGATTCCTAGAATATTCCAGGGAAAAGCTAAATACTCCAAGTCGCCATCTACTGCACCTCTGGCCCCATATGTTTCTGTCCATATTGGATGAGTTCCAAGACGAATTTCAGTATGAGAGGTAGCATGATGCAATAGTTAGGAACCTGATAGTATAGGTCCTAAACCTGAACTTGCCACTAAATAGTGTGTGAGTTGGATCAATATTTACCCTCATGACTAGTTTCCTCATCTACTTCCCCCATTTGAGGATTGTGAAGATTCACTAAGTTAATATGTGCTGTTGATGTTTAGGACAGTGCCAAGCTCATTGTAAGAGCAATACAATGTTTGCTGTTAGCTTGCAGTTTTTACCAAAATTGAACCATGCTATTATTGTTGCAGTGCCTCACTATGGAAGGAGAAAAAAACATTTTTTTTTTTCTGCCTCTACCACATATACTGTGAGCATTACTCTAACATCCTGATCCCCAAATAGAGTACATCGTCCTTTTAAGGATACAGAGAGGACTTTTGCGTGACAGTCCATCTCCAAGTAACTTCATGCATCCCCTTTCTCCCGAGGAATTAGACACGAATCAGCAGGGTCAGTCTTTCCCTTTAAGTAGTGTGTAAGGGACAAACTCAGCTGCCTATTTGTCTCTATCCCAAATGGTATGGGAACTGGGGATGTGTTTTTTTTTTCTTTTTTTTTTAAGACTAGGTCTGGTTTTGTTGCTCAAGATGGAGTGCAGTGGCACAATCTCTGTTCACTGCAACCTCTGCCGCTTGTTTTCAAGTAATCCTCCTACCTCAGCCTCCTGAATAGCTGGGACTACAGGTGCGCATCATCACGCTGGGCTATTTTTTTTTTTTTTAATTTTTTTGTTGAGATGGGCTTTCGCCATGTTGTCCAGGCCGGTCTCGATTCCTGGGCTCAAGCCATCCACCCATCTCAGCCTCCCAAAGTGTTGGGATTACAGGCATGAGCCACAGTGCCCAGCCACATCTTTCATGATAACTATAAAATGTGTACAAGCATGACATATCAAGCATTGGGAAAAAATATTAATTTATGACAACCTTCCAGACTCCCTGCCAGAATATTGCCCATACTTAGTGAGCATGGTTTCCAGATATTGGGAACATAATTATACAAAAAATTATTCCTTGTTTATAGGAAATGCAAATATAGCTGAGCATCTTTCTATTCACTAAATCTGTCAATCCTTTTGGGAGAGTGAGAGATGCAGTTTTATAGGATCACTCAGCCATAGAAGTTTAACTGAATATAAATATACCTTGCGAAATGGGCTCTTCAAGAACTTCAGTGTCCCCAGGTAAACTGTGCTGGATTCCTATTGTATTAGCTTTTGCCAAAACGATATAAAGTGAGCTTGAAATGTTCTTAAATTTGGCAAACTCAACTTTTGGAGGCCTTTTAGGTGTCTATAAAAGAATAGAAGAAAAATTCTTTTAATAGAATCTTTAAGTTTCACCAAAATCTGTCTTGCAAATGCCCCCATTAGCAGCAAAAGCTCTCTTCCCCTTCAGGTGATTAATATCACATTCCCTTTTACTCCTTCATGTGCTCATTCAACACAGGACTTGAATTTTATTTATGACTTTTTGCTTTTTTAATAGTGATGCAGAATATCTAGTTAAGAAAAAAGAATCATATAAGAAAACCAAAAACTTTAAATTAATTTTCTCCAGCCTCTCGACAGAGCGAGATTCCATCGAAAAAAAAAAAAAAAAAAGAGAAGAAGGAGAAAATAGATCTGGGTGGAGAGCTAGTAATCTCTGCCCCATAATCTTAGGTTTCTGACAGTACTAGTTGCCACAGCCTGTACCTTCAGGGAGCCGCCCAGTGGATTAGTTTTACCATTTCCTCTCAATTCTCAAACATCACACAAAATATAAGGAATATATCCATATATTTCTTTAATTCATAGTGTCACTCTTATTCTCAGAATACTGGTTCTTTTGCTACCATCGGCCATTTACTTACTTCTGTTTTCTCTTCCAACAATTCCCACCAAGCCAGGCACAGTAATTATCAATACATATTTTTTTTGTTGTTGAAATAAATAGAGAGAATCTACCTTATGTGATTCCAGTTCCACTATAAACGTATATTCTTTTATCTGTCATTTATTTGCTTTAACTGGAAAGTGGCATTTTCTTGAAGAGACTAATTCTTTGTGGCTCCTTTGAATGGGAGCTACTTATTCTCCATGTTGCAGGTTGGACAGGACAAGGAAGTGTTGTGCTTATTTAATTGTTTCCACTTTGCCTTAGTGAAAATATGGCAGGAGATTTGTGATGGCTCCTTCAAGTCTCATGCCATCTGTGTGTATCTCTGTGAATCATCACTGTCATCTTTTGAACTCAGCATGCCCATATTAACTTAGGAATTTAGCACCTTGTTGATATTCCTTTTCTATTGCTTACCCATGTTTCTTTGCTTTTCATGTTGTGACTGCAAAACAATGGTGTATTTCTTTTAATACACTAAATTATAGTGGCAAGGGGTTCCACCAGCCTGATGGGAAAAATTATCCTGTCATGTTGTCCCACTGTCTATTACTGTGAGTTTCCTAGGCTTTCTCACTTCCATACTGGAAATAATCTCCCACTGGAAATAATGATGGAAATAAAAACTCATCATTCTAGCTTCCCTGACAGCCTACTAGGATGCTGCTGCTACTGTTAGCTCTAGAGAGATAGCCTCTCCTTTGGACACAGATGTCCTCTGCTAAAGATAGCTGCCGACACACATCTGAGGGGGTACCTGATACTCTGATAATGGCGAATTAGGCCCAAGCACCAGACATTCCTACTAATTTTTCCTGCAGTACGACATATAACCAACCTGCAACTTTTAAATAAGACTTTATTAAAGGTTTAAGAATGTTGAAAGGGTAGTATACACAGAAAATAGGTACAACTTACATAACCATTCTGAAGGTCTTGTAAAAGATGGATGACCTGCTTAGCTACATTCCCGTGGTGCATCTCCACTGAATTGGTTGTGAGCTGTTGAAAATGAATTGGCCATATATGTTCTAATCTATCTCTGGACTCTGTTCTATATAGTTGATCTATTTGTCTGTTTTTACACTAATACCAAACTTTCTTGATTACTATAGCTTTAAAATAAATCTGAAAATCAGGTAGTAAAAGTCCTCTCTATTGATGATGAATTTTTTCTGCTTTGGTATGTTGGGAAAAAATCTTTAACTCATCTTTATTCTTGAAAGATATTTTTTACTGTGAACACAATTCTGTTTTCAGATTTTTGCCTTTATTCATTATGTTAAAGATCTTGCTCCATTATCTTTTGGCTTGTATGGTTTGACATGCTAAGTCTGCTTATCTGTGGTCTCTCTACATAATATATGTTTCTTTCCCTGGCTACTTTTTTGTTTTTTTTTTTTTTGAGACTGAATCTCACTCTGTCACCCAGGCTGGAGTGCAGTGGTGCGATCTCGGCTCACTGCAACCTCTGCCTCCTGGGTTCAAGCGATTCTCCTGCCTTAGCCTTCTGAGGAGCTGGGATTACAGGTGCGCACCACTATGCCCGGCTAATTTTTGTATTTTTGGTAATGATGGGGTTTCACCATGTTGGTCAGGCAGGCCTTGAACTCCTGACCTCGTGATCTGCCCACCTTGGCCTCCCAAAGTGCTAGGATTACAGGCGTGAGCCACTGCTCCTGGCCTTCTCTGGCTGCTTTTAAGAAATTCTATTTTCAGTGATTTTAAGCAATTTTATTATTATGTCCCTTAATGTAGTTTTATTTATGTTTCTTGTTCTTGGGGATCAATGAGATTGTTGGGTCTGTGGAATTTCCATAAATTAAAAAAAATTGGCCATTATTTTTTCAACGACGTTCCTTCCCCTTTCCTTTTCAGCAACTCCAATTACATGTATTTTAGCCGCTTGAAGTTGTCTCACAGTTCACTGATGATCTATTCTTTTTTTTTTTTTCAGTCTTCTTTCTTTCTGTGTTTCACTTTGGACAGGTCTATTTTTAGGTCTTTAAGTTCACTGGTTCTTTTCTTTGGTTATGCCTAATTTGATTATATATATACTAGATATATATAATATATACTATTAGTATATTTTTCATATGAGACATAGTAGCTTCCATATCTAGAAGTTTGAGTCTCTTATATCTCCATGGCTCTTCTTGACATGGCCAATCTCTCCAACAGGTTTTTGAACATATGAAATATAGTTATAATAATTGTTTAATGTTGTTTACTATCTCTATCATCTATGTCAATTCTGGATCAATTTCAATTATGTATTTATCTCCTGATTTTGGGGTTTATTTTCCAGCTTCTTTGAATGCTTGGTAATTTTGTTATTGGATGCCTAGTATTGTGAATTTTACCTTGTAGGTTATTGCATATTTTTATATTTCTGAAAATATTCTTGAGATGTGTTCTTCCATTTCATCAAGTTACTTGGTAAGAGATTATATCTTTTGGGTATTCTTTTAATATTTGTCAGATCAGATCAGAGCACTGTTTATTCTAGAGCTAAAGTTTTCCCACGGAGGCCGAATGCTTTAGAAAATCCTAGCCAATGTCCCATGATTTATGAAGTTTTCCACTATGGTTCTTGAGAAGGACTATTCTGTGCCATGTATGCATTCTGGGTATTGGTTTCTCTACATTTTTAGGATGGTTCTCCTCCTGGCCTTGAGTTCTTTGCTCATATGCGTATTCTGATTAATACTCAGCTGAAGACTGGAGGAGGGGCCCTTTAAAGAGGTATTTAGAACTGCTCTGTGCAGCTATGTCCTTTCTGGTAATCTCTCTTAAAAATACTAGCTGCCTTAACCTCTCAATACTCCCAGACCAACTAAATTTAGAGATACCACCAGCCTCCACTTGAATTCTTTATTTGATGAAGCTTAGAAAGTCCCTAAGAAGTAACCTGGGGGCAATCATAGAGCTCATATAATTTCCCTTCTCTCTCTCTTAGGGGTCTCTGTCCTTTGTTGCCTGATATCCATTGTCTTGAAAATAATTGTTTCACATATTTTGTCTGTTTTTTTTTTTTTTTTTTCAGTTAAGGATGAAGAATAAATCCAGTTTTGTTATTCCATCTTGGCTAAAAGTAGAAATCAAGCCTTCTTTCTAAACTCAATCAAGTCTTCTTCAAAATTATTCTTACTAAAATGACTTACAAAGTCCACTTATTCATGTTGGAAAAAATTCACCCTTAGCCATAATGGAGTGGCCTTGCTTTTAAATTCCCAGGAGAAAAATTTAAAAAAATTAAATTTAACTAGGAAATAATGATCAAAATAGTAAAAATTCTAGATTTTTTAGGCTCAGCCTTAATGCACACCTTTAACCAGTCTTGTCTTCATTGGCTGCCAAAAGTTCAATTCAGTTATCTTTCCAAGTCTTTCGTCTAGCTTGACTCCTGGTAAAGACCAGGCCTGCAGATAAGGGGATTTTGAAGGTGTGTGTTCCTAATTTCTAATGAGAACCTGCACAAACAACAGTGAATTCAGAATATTTAAGAATATGTAGCAGTACCAAAAAAGGCAGTCTAAATTCGTAGCAAAACACACGTATTTTTCTAAAGGAAACAATCTGTAGAGCTGAAACTTTTCTCTAAACCACATTTTATAGTGTTCTGTGAAAGAGCTTTGTTCCTTGAAGCCCACTGATATAGTTTCCCCAGATTTAAGAATTCTGCATCAAAGTAAATTCAAACCTTAATTCTTAAGGATTAAATTTGTAACTTTCAGTTTTCAGTGTTCCCTCATGGAGGATTTCATTCAGATCCAATTTGTTATACCCTCATAATCCTGCCTTTATCCTAGGTTACTTAATATCTGCATAGACCACCCACATCTCAGCTTAGCTGTCAGCCTTCCTTGACCATCTTTCCATTTCACACAAATCGTCTCTTTTTCTAACATTAACGTTTTCCAAGTCTTTCTGTCCTAAATTCCTTTCCCAAATTCTCACTCCCTGCCCCAACAGATGACCCTGCTTTCTTCTTAAACTGATAGCAACTGAATCCACTCAACTTCCAACTACAAAGTAAACTGTCTTCTTATCTCCCATCTTTCCTTCTTTCTTTCTTTTCTGTCTGAGAGAAGTAGATGTTCTTCACATCTAAGGCAAATTCCTTCATATAACTGTGGATTCTATCTTCTGCCACCACTACATGAACTTTGCTCCGTCAATTATCAACAACCTTCTTGATTCACATCTTTCTTCAAATGGTTATTGGAATTAAATATTACCTGTTGAGAGGAATGGTTGCCAAAGCTGTAAGTTTGTACTATTTGTACTATTTTGAGTCATGTCAGAATGACCCAGGGCAAAGTAACTTAGAAATAAACACCAAATGGACACTTTTGTTTCTGACTTTGTGTCTGTTGTCACATATAGTAGACTCTAAGTAATTTAGAAGAAAGATAATTTAAAGGACTCTATGGGAGAAATGAGACAGTAATAATAATGACTGCCATTTGTTGAATGACTGCTTGGACCAGATCTTGTTTTGTACATGCTTCACATATATTCCTTCCGTTAATCCTCAGATATTTTTGGTTATAAGTAATGTAATAAGTATGCCACTAGTAAATATGATGAAAATGAGGCTCATAGAAGTTAAACAATTTATCTAGGTTACTGAGGATTTAGTAAAATTATAGACAAAAGTATCGCAACAGGTAGCTTGTTTGGAAAGTGTTGTCAATAACAACAAAGAAGGAGGAATAAGAAAGTTAGGAGGTAAAACAGGAAAGAGAGAAAGGCAATATAAGACATATTATCAAGTTGGCCACCATTGTGGGTAACTGGACTGGATCTCATTGGGACCTTTTGAAAAAGCCTAATGAAGGGTGTCACAAAACTGTTCTCCCAAGGGATGAAAGAGGAAAGCATTTAATTATCTGTTCCTGTCTCTTAGTGGTCAAGGGTGGTCCCACAGGTCTAAACTCTCCTGCACCCTGGATTTATATTCAAAAGAGAAACCTTAGGACAGGAAGTCAAAGGCAAGTATTGTACAGTTGCATCTGCAAGAAGCCATCTGAAGCCTGCATGGAACTGTATGCAGAGCTGGAGTAAGAGGTAGAGCTGGAGGATCTGAAGTGACACTATCAGAGTTGTTCAAGACAATCCAGTTTTGTTTCATGTATTTCTGCCATGCCTTCTATTTAAGTCTGTATTATAGAGTCCCTTTCAAGGTGGTGGCCAGCTGCAATCACTGCAAGGCCTAAATACAAGTCTGCTTCAGCTGGTTTCAAGGCTATAACTGCTATTCATTATTTCCTTTCTCTCTCCCCGTACCAAATTTTCCTCATTTTTGGCCAGCACTTAAGCTGCCAAACAGATGTTCTGGTATTCAGAGCTCTCTTTGAGCTAGTGGGTTCTTATTCCTGAGAGTTCTGAGCCCTTACTTCCTTTGGCCTTTTTGGGTAGTGATTATAACCAGCATTTGTCCATCATTATTGTTCTGCGTGGATGCACCAAGGAATGACTCAGTGAATTTACAATGTTTGAAATTTACTTCTTTCTGACTCCATCATTTTGTAGCCTACATAGTATCTCATAGAAATTAGAGCTAATCACTCCTACCAGTGGAGTGCTCTTTTTGTTGCCTGATGTTCTGCTGGCATGAGGAATCAGGGTTACTGAAAGGTCGTTGCATGTAGATTTAAGTGGAAATATTTTTGAGTAAACTGGGAGAAGTGTTTCTCTCCCTCCATCTCCAATCCACAGTCTTACTCTCTTTCTGCTATATTTGAATGTGTACCCCAAAGTTCATATGTTAGAAACTTAATCCCCAGTGCAACAGTGTTGGGAGGTGGGACTTTTAAGAAGTGATTAGGTAAGGAATTATTGCCCTTATCCTGGGAGTGGGTTCCTGGTAAAAAAATAAATTTGTCCCCCTTCCTACTGTCTCTCTTGTATGCTCTTTTGCCTTTTGCCATGGGATGACACAGCAAGAAGGCCAAAGCCAGATGCTAGGAATTCCCTCAGTCTTGGGCTTCCCAGCTTCCAGAAAAATGGATCAATAAATTTATGTTCATTATACATTACCTAGTCTCAATTATTCTGTTATAGCAGCACAGAATGGATGAAGACACTCTCCCTTACCTTCCCACTTTCCCGTGAAACCCCAACAGGCATCAAGGCCTCTAATATGGCAAAGCCTAAGAGCAAAAGGTTGAGAAATACAACTTCTTCAACTGTGTCATTAGGAATTATATTTAGAAGAGTCAATTCTTTTCCTGCCCATTGTTTCATAGACTGATGCAATTTCGCATTTAGGAACACTGCCTTATATATTAACAGTTGGGTGGCTGAACACCACCCAACAGGGGTGCCCAATCCTGCAGGGTGCTGTCCCTAATCTAGAGCTGTAACTAAGCCTTTTATATGCTCTACCACTGTTTTATTTCACTGGCTGCTTCTGGATGATGAAGTGTATGTTAAGACAAGTGGATATCATAATCCTGTGCCATTTTTTCATACTTTCTTTGCTCTAAATGGGTCTCTAGGTCTGAGGCAATTTTGTGCAGTTTCCCATGCCAATGGATTTAGCATTCTCTAAGTCTTTGATTAGCAGTGCTGATAAAGGTAAACCCACATCTGTAATATGTACAATTTTCATAAAGGACATAAAAGACTGGGTCCTCCAGGAAGGAAGGAGTCTAATGTAATTAGTGACCAAAAGATCTTAACATTCCCCTCTGCTTGAGTAAACTTTACACAGGCTTCTCCTGACTCTTGGTTTTTGAACTCTATTCTTAGAGCCTTTACCTTAGAGAACTGGTAATTGTAATTTCTCTGCCCCTTTGAGATGTAAATCTTTTCAAAAGATTTCTGTTAGTTTTGCAACCAGGAATGTCCTTCTCAAAGACCTGGGTGCCATCCCTTTGAGAGCTAATCATAAATGATAGCACCTATTTCAGAGTCTCTATGGAAAAATAAGAACGTAACTTTGATGGGCACCAGTCAGCAAATACAGATGGCCTAATCACAGAGAAAACTCAGAAGTGACTCAATATGCTCCACACACCTCACTAACCAACATCCTTTCTGACATCCTCCAGTACTTTTCCACTAGCTCACCCCAGCACTTAAAAACCCTCCTGCCCTTTGTTTTAGGGAAGTTGAGTTCAGACTGTTTTCTGTTCTCTCTCTCCTGCTGTGATTGCCTTGAATAAACTCTTCCTTACCTGTGTAACATTGTCAAGGACGATTTTTGCTTTGACATCAGCCTGCCATCAAGTGGCTGACTGGCCTTCTTGATGATAATGGCATACTAAGGCTAAGCAATGATGTCTGATGCTGGCCTGCCAGACCGTCAGCAGTGGCATTAATTACAGCAGTCTTAGTGACAGGGAGTACATGCTGTTGGACCCGTAAATAGCCTCTGTTCCTGTGTGTGTATAAGTATACGTACTCACCCCATAAATATATATGCATACATTTGATTTTTTCTGGATCCGTTCAGAATAAGTTCTGTACATCATGACCTTTTTCTCCTAGATACTCTAATTTTTATTCCCTAAAATAAGGATATTCTTTTCCATAACCAAATTACAGTTATTATCTTCAATAAATTTAACATTGATACAATATATTTTCTAATCTATTATTCATATTCTCATTTAGTCAATTGACACAATAGTGCCATTTATAGTGCTTTTCCCCTGCAAGATTTTAATTTAGATCAGATATTAAAGTTAGTTGCCATGCTTCTTTAGTCTCCTTTAAGAAGTATTTTTCAAAAGCAAAGGAGAAATAAAATCCTCTACAGACAAGCAAATGCTGAGAGATTTTGTCACCACCAGGCCTGCCTTACAAGAGCTCCTGAAGGAAGTACTAAGCATGGAAAGGAAAAACCAGTACTAGCCACTGCAAAAACATATCAAATTGTAAAGACCATCAACGCTATGAAGCAACTGCAACAACTAATGAGAAAAATAGCCAGCTAGCGTCATAATGACAGGATCAAATTCACACATAACAATATTAACCTTAAATGTAAATGGGCTAAATGCTCCAATTAAAAGACACAGGCTGGCAAATTGGATAAAGAGTCAAGACCCATCGGTGTGCTGTAATTAGGAGACCCATCTCAAGTGCAAAGACACACATAGGCTCAAAGAAAAGGGATAGAGGAATATTTACCAAACAAATGGAAAGCAAAAAAGAAAAAATAAAAATAAAAAAAATTAAGGGTTGCAATCCTAGTCTCTGATAAAAAGACTTTAAACCAACAAACATCAAAAAAGACAAAAAGGGCATTACATAATGGTAAAGGGATCAGTGCAAGAAGAAGAGCTAACTACCCTAAATATATATGCACCCAATGCAGGAGCACCCAGATTTATAAAGCAAGTTCTTAGAGACCTACAAAGAGACTTGACTCCCACACAATAATAGTGGGAGACTTTAACATCCCACTGTCAATATTAGACAGATCAATGAGAAAGAAAATTAACAAGGATATTCAGGACTTGAAATCAGCTCTGGACCAAGTGGATGTAATAGTCACCTACAGAACCCCCCACCCCAAATCAACAGAATATACATTCTTCTCAGCACCACATCACAATTATTCTAAAATTGACCACATAATTGGAAGTAAAACACTCCTCAGCAAATGCAAAAGAACAAGAATCATAAGAAACAGTCTTTCAGACCACAGTGCCATCAAATTAGAACTCAGAATTAAGAAACTCACTCAAAATCACACAACTACATAGAAACTGAACAACCTGCTCCTGAATGACTACTGGGTAAATAACAAAATTAAGGCAGAAATAAATAAGTTTTTTGAAACCAATAAGAACAAAGACACAATGTACCAGAATCTCTGGGAAACAGCTAAAGCAGTGTTTAGAGGGAAATTTATAGCACTAAATGTCCAAAGGAGAAAGTAGGAAAGATCTAATCGACACCCTAACATCACAATTAAAAGAACTAGAGAATCAAGAGTAAACACATTCAAAAGCTAGCAAAGATAAGAAATAACTAAGATCAGAGCAGACCCGAAGGAGATAGAGACACAAAAAAGCCCTTCAAAAAAATCAATGAATCCAGGAGCTGGTTTTTTGAAAAGGTTAACAAAATAGATAAACCACTAGCCAGACTAATAAAGAAGAAAAGAGAGAAGAATCAAATAGACACAATAAAAAATGATAAAGGGGATATCACCACTGATCCCACAGAAATACAAACTACCATCAGAGAATACTATAAACACCTTTACACAAATAAACTAGAAAATCTAGAAGAAATTGATAAATTCCTGGACACATACACCCACCCAAGAGTAAACCAGGAAAAAGTCAAATCCCTTACTAGACCAATAACAAGTTCTGAAATTGAGGCAGTAATTAATAGCCTACCAACAAAAAGCCCAGGACCAGATGGATTCACAGCCAAATTCTACCAGAGGTAAAAAAAGGAGCTGGTACTATTACTTCTGAAACTATTCCAAACAATAGAAAAAGAGGGACTCCTCCCTAATACATTTTAGAGGCCAAGATCATCCTGATACCAAAACGCAGCAGAGACACAACAAAAAAAGAAAATTTCAGGCCAATATCCCTGATGAACATTGATGCAAAAATCATCAATAAAATACTGGCAAACTGAATCCAGCAGCACATAAAAAAGCTTATTCACCATGATCAAGTCGGCTTTATCCCTGGGGTGCAAGGCTGGTTCAACATACAGACATCAATAAACATAATCTGTTACATAAACAGAACCAATGGCAAAAACCACATGATTATCTCAATAGATGCAGAAATGGCCTTCGATAAAATTCAACACCCCCTCATGCTAAAAACTCTCAATAAACTAGGTATTGATGGAACGTATCTCAAAATAATAAGAGCTATTTATGACAAACTCGCAGCCAATATCCTATTGAATGGGCAAAAGCTGGAAGCATTGCCTTTGAAAACCAGCACAAGACAAGGATGCCATTTTTCACCACTCTTATTCAACATAGTATTGGAAGTTCTGGCCAGGGCAATCAGGCAAGAGAAAGAAATAGATATTCAAGTAGGAAGACAGGAAGTCAAATTATCTCTGATTGCCATTCACATGATTGTATATTTAGAAAACCCCATCTTCTCAGCCCAAAATCTCCTTAAGTTGATAAGCAACTTCAGCAAAGTATCAGGATAGAAAATCAATGTGCAAAAAATCACAAGCCTCCCTACACACCAATAATAGACAAACAGAGAGCCAAATCATGAGTGAACTCCCATTCATAATTGCTACAAAGAGAATAAAATACCTAGGAATAAAACTTACAAGTGATGTGAAGTACCTCTTCAAGGAGAACTATAAACCACTGTTCAAGGAAATCAAAGAGGACACAAACAAATGGGAAAACATTCCATGCTCATGGATAGGAAAAATCAATATCGTGAAATGGCCATATTGCCTAAAGTAATTTATAGATTCAATGCTATCCCCATCAATCTACCATTTACATTCTTCACAGGATTAGAAAAACTGCTTTAAATTTTATATAGAACCAAAAAAGAGCCCCTATAACCAAGACAATCCTAAGACAATCCTAAGCAAAAAGAACACGCTACCTGACTTCAAACCTTACTACAAGGCTACAGTAACTAAAACAACATGATACTGGTACCAAAACGGTTATATATAGACCAATGGAACAGAACAGAGGCCTCAGAAATAGTGCCACACATCTACAGCCATCTGATCTTTGACAACCCTGACAAAAACAAGCAATGGGAAAAGGATTCCCTATTTAATAAATGGTGCTGGGAAAACTGGCTAGTGATATGTAGAAAGCTGAAACTGGATCTCTTCCTTACACCTTATACAAAAATTAATTCAAGATGGATTAAAGACTTAAACATAAGACCTAAAACCATATAAACCCTAGAAGAAAACCTAGGCATTACCATTCAGGACATAGGCATGGGCAAAGACTTCATGACTAAAACACCAAAAGCAATGGCAACAAAAGCCAAAATTGACAAATGGGATTTAATTAAACTAAAGAGCTTCTGTGCAGCAAAAGAAACTATCATCAGGGTGAACAGGCAATCTACAGAATGGGAGAAAATTTTTGCAATCTATCTGTCTGACAGAGGGCTAATATCCAGAATCTCCAAGGAACTTAAACAAATTTACAAGAAAAAGACAAACAACTCCATCAAAAAGTGGGCAAAGGATATAAGCAGACACTTCTCAAAAGAAGACATTTATGTGGCCAAAAAATGTGAAAAAAAGCTCATCATCACTGGTCATTAGAGAAATGCAAATCAAAACCACAAAGAGATACCATCTCACACCAGTTAGAATGGTGATCATTAAAAAGTCAGGAAACTAGATGCTGGAGAGGATGTGGAGAAATAGGAATGCTTTTATACTGTTGGTGGGAGTGTAGATTGGTTCAACCATTGTGGAAGACAGTGTGGCAATTCCTCAAGGATCTAGAACCAGAAATACCATTTGACACAGCAATCCCATTACTGGGTATATACCCAAAGAATTATAAATCATTCTACTATAAAGACACATGCACACGTATGTTTCTTGCAGCACTATTCACAATAACAAAGACTTGGAACCAACCCAAATGCCCATCAATGATAGACTGGATAAAGAAAATGTGGCACATATACACTATGGAATACCATGCAGCTGTAAAAAGGATGAGTTCATGTCCTTTGCAGGGACATGGATGAAGCTGGAAACCATCATTCTCAGCAAACCCAAACAGGAACAGAAAACCAAACACTGCATGTTCTCACTCATAAGTGGGAGTTAAACAATGAGAACACATGGACACAGGGAGGGGAACATTACACACTGAGGCCTGTTGGGGGTGGGGGACTAGGGAAGGGATAGCATTAGGAGAAATGTTTAATGTAGATGACAGGTTGATGGATGCAGAAAACCACCATGGCACATGTATACCTATGTAACAAACCTGCACGTTCTGCACATGTATCCCAGAACTTAAAGCATAATAATAAAAAAGAAGTATTTTTTCTCAGCCTTTTGACTTTTTTTTTTGACAGAAGTTAACTTCTTGCCTTTTAATAATATCTTTGAATATAGATGGTTTCAATTCTCCAATAACAAGATGTGGAGTGGCCAAATGGTTTTTCATACATATTTCCCTAGTCCAGACACCCAAGAGTATGTCCCTCTCTTGGGCATAAGAAAACCTAGAGTTATATTTAGGGCATCATGTGTGGTGAATAGTTGACTGAGCTGGCATGCTCACAATGACCAAATTATGTTTGTCATATTTTAATCCAATACATTGATCTACTATGAACTTGTAAATAATGTATTTGCTTTCTAGACACATTCCAGGAAGACCAGAGAAACTGACTTTTATCCATATGGAATAAGCCACTGGCAAATTTCTTTTAGGACAGACCAAAGCTTATCTAGAACATAATCTTTACATACTTGGATCCTTCCCATCAGACGAGAAAGAACATCTGGGGTGAAAGGCTCCATTAGAAGAGCAATGTGTCATGGTGCTGTGCTGACAACTGGTAGTTCCTGCCCTACATCTTTGTAGAGGACTGGAGCCCAGAGCATGCCATGGTCAACTTGTATGTTGAAGTGAAGACCTCCTTCAAGGTGTGCATGTGCTTATTACAGATATGCCATGGTGCTAAGTACCCCAGGACTACAGGAAAAAATAAGAATAGATGCTGTATCCATGATCATGAGGCACACAGGCCAGAGCGCCAGCTGTGGAATCGCACAGCCTGGGTTCAAAGCCTGGCTGGGCCATGACCACCTGAATGACCTGAGGAATGGTCTCAGGCAAATTTGTAAAAAGTGGAGACCCTGCCTGCCAGGGAGGCATGTGGTAAGAGGCGCATCCAGTCAGGTCAGGGCACCGCGTCCTCTCTTTGGAAACCTGCGGAGCAAGGCTGGTGGCCCTTGAGGCCACGGCAGCCATGGAGAAGGCGGGCCTGGCTCCAGGCAGCACAGAGGCACTGGAGAGGCCCAGGGGGAGCCTGGCGGGATCTGGCTGGTCCTGCGCTCTGCTTCCAGGTTCTGGCCCTGTAACCCGGGGGACAGGGCCGGCCAAGACAGGGCCACTGGGTGCTAGCCAGGACCTGGACCAGGCACCAGGCAGAAGGGCTCTGGCGGATCAGCCCCACACCTCCAACAGCCCCACAGGGGGGCCCATCCAGGGCCACACACCTGCCCCCAGGAGCAGGACGTCCCTGAGGCTAGAGTCCAGCTGGATCGGTGGAAAGGTCTCACCCTTTGCCCTTTGACTCCTCTTGTAGGCACCCTCGCTGGGCTCCTAAGCACTCCTCCACACCCTGGCTCTGTCACCAGCCCCATGGTGATGTCATAAACTCCCAGATGCCCAGTGTGCACCCGGCCACATAGAAGTGGGTGACTTAGGAGTATCCTCTCCACTTCTGACCCTTAGTTTCGTCTGTGCACAACTTGCTCAAAATGGGCAACTCACTAAGTGTATTTTGTTCCTGGTTCCACCGCAGGTCCTGGCCATGCCATCAGCAACCTGCTCGTCTTGTCCGTGAGGCCTTCCCAGCTGGCCGGGCTCACCCTGCTGCTCCTGCACCTGTGCCTGCCCCGGGAATCTTGGGCCGTTTCCCACTCCTCTTCAACCGTCAGTGACATCTTGGGCCTTCTTTTCCAGTCAGGTGGGACGGCGCCCCTATGAGGCTGAGTCTTATCCCTCGGAACACGGGCACCCCACAGAGGGTCCTGCCTCCTGTGGTCTGGAGCTCCCCCTCAAGGAAGAAACCCTTGCTGTCTGCTTGCAACTCCATGATGTTTGGACACCTCAGCCCCGTGAGGATCCCTTATCTCAGAGGCAAGTTTAACCTTCAACTTCCTTCATTAGTTGAGCAGGTGATCCCAGCCAGGCTCCCGAAGACAGAGGTGAGGGCAGAAGAGCCCAAAGAAGCAACGAAGGTGAAATACCAAGTAGAGACCCAGGGGCAGAAGGACAATAAAAGGGGCCCCTGTAGCAATGGGGAAGCAGCCTTCACCTCTGGGCCCCTGGAGACTCAGGGAAACCTCACTTCCTCCTGGTACAATCCCAGGCCCTTGGAGGGAAATGTCCACCTCAACAGCTTGGCAGAAAAGAACCAGACTGACAAGGCCCAGGTGTATGCAGTGAGTTTCTACTCCAAGGGCCATGGAGTCTCCAGTTCACACAGCCCTGCTGGAGGCATCCTTCCCTTTGGGAAGCCTGACCCACTTCCAACAGTGGTCCCTGCCCCAGTTCCGGGCTGCTCCCTGTGGCCAGAGAAGGCGGCCTTGAAGGTGCTGGGTAAAGACCACCTGCCCAGCTCTCCATGCTTGCTGATGCTGGGGGAGGACATGCAGCCCAAGGATCCTGCAGCTCTTGGATCAAGTAGGTCTTCTCCACCCAGAGCTGTCAGCCACAGGTCCTGCAAAAGAAAACTGTCGGGGCCACCGCTGCAGCTGCAACCGACCCCTCCCCTGCAACTGAGGTGGGATAGAGATGAGGGGCCCCCACCGGCTAAGCTTCCATGTCTATCTCCTGAGGCACTGTTGGTGGGTCAGGCTTCCCAAAGAGAAGGACGCCTCCAGCAGGGCAACATGCATAAGAACAGGAGGGTGTTAAGTAGAACATCAAAATTCAGGAGACTAAGACAGCTGCTTAGGAGGAGAAAGAAGAGACGGCAGGGCAGGCGTGGTGGCTCACGCCTGTAATCCAGCACTTTGGGAGGCCCAGGCAGGTGGATCAGGAGGTCAAGAGATTGAGACCTGAGGAGAATCTCTGCCTGCACCATCTGGGAAGTGAGGAGCGCCTCTGCCTGGCTGCTCCACCATCAGGGAAGTGAGGAGTGCCTCTGCCCAGCTGCCCCACCGTCTTGGAAGTGAGGAGTGCCTCTGCCCAGCTGCTCCACCGTCTGGGAAGTGAGGAGCACCTCTGCCTGGCCACTGCACCTCTGGGCAGTGAGGAGCGCCTCTGCCCGTCCCCCACCCTGTCTGGGAAGTGACGAGCGCCTCTGCCCAGCCGCCTCACAGTCTGGGAAGTGAGGAGCGCCTCTGCCTGGGCCCTGCCCCATCTGGGCAGTGAGGAGTGCCTCTGCCAGGCTGCCGCCCTGTCTGGGAAGTGAGGAGCGCCTCTGCCCAGCTGCCGTCCTGTCTGCGAAGCGAGGAGTGCCTCTGCCCAGCCCCCTTACACTCTGGGAAGTGAGGAGTGTTTCTGCCTGGCCACTGCCCTGTCTGGAAAGTGAGGAGCGCCTCTGCCCAGCTGCCCACCATCTGGGAATTGAGGAGGAGCACCGCCTCTGCCCAGCCTCCACCCCTTCTGGGAAGTGAGGAGCACCTCTGCCTGGCCGCCTCACGGTATGGGAAGTGAGGAGCACCTCTGCCCAGCCGCCACCCTGTCTGGGAAGTAAGGAGCGCCTCTGCCTTGCCGCCGTCCTGTCTGTGAAGTGAGGAGTGCCTCTGCCTGGCCTCCTCACCGTCTGGGAAATGAGGAGCGCCTCTGCCTCATCGCCGTCCTGTCTGTGAAGTGAAGAGTGCCTCTGCCTGGCCTCCTCACTCTCTGGGAAATGAGGAGTGCCTCTGCCTGGCCACCATCCCATCTGGGAAGTGAGGAGTGCTTCTGCCCAGTCGCCGCCCTGTCTGGAAAGTGAGGAGCACCTCTGCCCAGCCCCCTCACCATTTGTAAGGGAGGAGCGTTTCTGCCCAGCCCCCGCACCATCTGGGAAGTGAGGAGCGCCTCTGCCCGCCTGCTTTGCAACCTTCGAAGTGTGAAGTGACAGCCTTGTGTGTTATCTTTCTGCCTTCCCCAAGTTTGCATTTTCAACATTAAAGTTTACTTTTTAATTAAAAAAAAGGAGATCGAGATCATTCTGGCCAACATGGTGAAACTCCGTCTCTACTGAAAATACAAAAATTAGGCGGGCATGGTGGCTTGTGCCTGTAGTCCCAGCTACTCAGGAGGCTGAGGCAGGAGAATGGCTTGAACCTGGGAGGTGGAGATTGCAGTGAGCCGAGATCGCACCACTGCACTCCAGCCTGGTGACAGAGCAAGACTCCGTCCTGAAACGATGTTGTAGTTGACAGCAGGATGGTCTTTTGGGACAGGAGGAACAAGAGGTTGTGGTTGCCACTCTTCAATCAGTTCTTCTTTTTCCTTGACTGTAAGATCAGATCGTTCCTGTAATTTGTAAGTCTTAGAGAAAAGAAGTCTGATTATCCAGAGTAACAGAATCCCTTCCAAAATAAGATGGTAAGCAGGAGCCTCCTAAAGCGCCTGTACCATCCCCACCAGAACCCACTGCTCCGTGGAGGTCGCCATAGTTAACCGCTTCCTTCCGGAAGGTGGGTCACAAGCACCTTGACTTTTATAACAATGATATTTTTTAAGAGTACAGGTCTCTCCATCCACCCTTTATTTTAAAATAGAATATTTCACAATTTAGGTTTGACTAACGTTTCCTCATGAATAGACTCAGATTATGCATTCCCTTTTGAAATATAGCAAAAGTGAGGTTGTATGCTTCCTAAGGCACCACAACTGTGTCCATTTTTGATGTTCATTTGTGATATTCATTCTGATTATCTACTTAGTGCCTTGTGTGATTTCTCAATTATGTAGTTCTTTCTTTTGCAACTAATAAGCAACGTGCAGACAGACATTTTAAGATCATATAAACATCTTGCTCGCCCCTTAGTGATAATTGCATTAGAGTCCCTTCACCCAAACCCACCTTTCTCTGAGATTTTATTCATTTGAAATACACTTGGATTCATTTATTTGTTTTAGTTTCATTTTATTTGCTTTCAGTTTTAGTCCCCTCACCTATTTCTTATTCTTGTTGATTTTTTTTAACATACAGATGATTGATATATTTCTAAAAGTTAAGGCTCTGAAAGGCATTTACAAAAATGTGTCAGTCTCAACTATAACCCTTCTGCCCGCTTCCCACCTGCCCCTTGTAGGAAACAACATTATAGTTTTCTGATTTATCCTTTCAGTGTTTTCTTTTTGTAGAGATGGGCGCATATATTTGTATTTTTATATTTTCCTTTCCTTCTTAAAAGGTAGATAGCATATGCTGTTTTGTACTTTTTTCACTTCACAGTATCTTCTGGAAAACATTTTATATAATATCTTATTTTTTTTGTTAGTGTGCTAAGTGAAATTTAATTGCCAATGAAAATTTTAAGAGTAGCATTATGAGACAGCAAGAAATGACCTTCATTCCAGGTAAAACAGAGGCATCATTTAATTTATTCATTGAGTTCATAGTGCTTAAGAGAGACTCTCGGATTCCTGGTTAGACAGAGCTTGGTACAGCACTTTTTAACCATCTTCTGTTGGGAGGTTACAATGCTTAAAATGAAAACCCAAAACCAAAAAAAAAAAAAAAAACCAGTCCATGTGTTTACCAAGATGATGTTTCAATTATTCAAATAAAATATTCAGTTTCAACATGTCAACACATGTGTGTTCATAAGTTTTCTTTAAAATTATACAATTCATGCTATTTGGATTTATCTTCATTTTTCATTTAAATGCGCTGGTTTCTTCATACTTTTGTCATTTCAAATTGCTTGAGTGTAGCTCTGTGAGTCATTACAAATACATAGTACTTCACCCGTGAAGGGTGAGTATAATGTTTTTGCTCTCATAAACCATGTGGTGTGGGGGGAGGGGGGAGGGATAGCATTAGAAGATATACCTAATGCTAAATGATGAGTTAATGGGTGCAGCACACCAACACGGCACATGTATACATATGTAACAAACCTGCACGTTATGCACCTGTACCATAAAACTTAAAGTATAATAATAATAAAATTTAAAAAAATGTGGTTCAGGTTTTGAAAGCTTTTTTTTTTAAAAGGAAAGTAAAAGGTTCCTTACAAGTAACCTACTCTATTTATTTTATTAGGATTCAATGCAAACAAATAATTCATACATATTATCTTTGGGTTCTTGAAGTAAAATTGAATAATCACCTAAATTATTTAGTTTTTCCAGTCCAGGGAATAAAAAGTTATGTTCAATATAAATGTTAGACTTAAAAATTTTAACACCAATTAATACAATATCAAAATTTATCTTAAACCATTATTTCTCAGAGCTAGAACTGACATGGTTTGCATTACTGACTTTTCAGTTGTAGGTGATGTATTGTAGATTCCTTGAATTCCTCTAGCATGTAATGATAGAAAGAACACTGGACCAAAAGTCTAATAGTTCGGATCATAGTCTTGGCTCTGAATGATTTGACCATTTGATCTTGTTGGAAGATCTGAATATTATCTAGTCTAGTTCTTTAATTTATGGATTTCACTATGAGAATTAAACAAAAATGAGAGTGCTGACTCTCATTTAAAATTAAAAAATGGAGGTTGGTGACTTTCTCTTTTGCCAAAAAGGCATTAAAATATGTTGCTAGTAACTACAACGAGTGTTCCATAAAAGAAAGAGTATTTTAACACACACACACACACACACACACACACACACACACACATGAATTCACTAATACAGAGCAAATAACAGTACAGTACTTCAGGCTGAATAAATATAGTTTTCATGAATCACTAGAGAGTGTGGTGGAAGAAGATAAAATTCTTTTCTTTTTATCCCCATCTTTCCTTCTTGATTTTATTCCCAACAGAAAAGAAAGGCATTTTTAAAGACAGATAATTTATTAACATAATAATACCCTGAACTACTCTAGGAGAGGCAATTGATATAGCCAAAAATTTTTGTTTGTCTTATAAAAACCTCAATTTGAAGACCCTAACTTCCCTCAGAGACATACACTAGGGACCTCACAAAATACCTTCAGTGAGGAACTGGAAAACTGGAAGAAGTGCAGAGAAGAAGAAAAGGTCAAGAAGGTCCTGAGGGACAGGATAATTGAGGAAGCAAGAAGTGCAGAGGAAAGTGAGTACAGAAAGAGGGAAATTTATGGATGCTGAGGCAGACACTAAGTTGACTGAATCTTGGGTCTGGGTGTAGGTAAATAAACCATTTGGAATAAGTACATGGTATTTGTTTCATACTGAGGTATACTTCTGAGAAATGGATTGCACATGATTCATGTCTAGGATGTTATGGGCATAAATTAAGTAGCACAACATTTATTTTTTAACGTTTTTCTTCTAGTTGAAAACTTGTGAAGAACTAGCACTTTGTAAAGTTAGAATTTTATGTTTCCACGTTTTCTCCCCTGCTTCAAATGTCCATCTTTCCTTCTTCATCTAGGTAATTTCTATTTATTTGTCATGATTCATCACAAACAGTAAGTCCTCCAAAATACATCTTAGCTTCTCTTTAGAAATTTGATGCCCTTTGTCTATGTGGTCACAGCACCTTTGTCATTTTTTAGCTTATTATACTGAATAACACCTGTCTTATTTGTTTGTCATCTACTCATCTATAAAGTTCCTGACACTCAGAACTGTATTTTAACTATCTTTCACTTCATTTCTTAGTGTTGAGTAAAAAAGTGCTATTCTACGTTTATGAGTCTTTATCTCGGATTTCCCCTACCTAGAATTCTATTCTACTTGTCTGCTAGGAAATTTTCAATTATTTTCTTTAACTTTCTCTGTGCTAACTTTCTCCATGAAGCCTTTCTTGACCTTTTCTCTCACTGCAGCAGATTTAGTCATTTCACCATCTCTCTTAATTTTGTATCTATACTAAAATATAGTTTTCAAAATGATAAAATTATGTGTCTCAAAAATATAAAATATTTTATTTAACTCATCAACTAATGAGTAAATTAGTAAGATGTTATAACCACTTCAAATGAGAATTTAACTAATGGAGATTTACGTATCTACTCAACAAATTCATTTGCATTACCATAAACAGGAGCCAATTGCATTACTGTGACAAAGAATATCTGTGTCACCATTACTTTTCTGTAGGTTAACTTCCATCTCTACAGAGCTATAGAATATTCTAGTCAAAGACAATGAAAGATGCAGATCCTTATAAAATTAAGACAACCTTCAGCATTCTACTGAAAGAACATCCAATAATTTTTTTTTTTGCCTTATGGAAGTCATTTACTTTTTTTCTTGACACTTATAATAGTCCATTATTAAATTTTCATCCTTTTGAAATTATTTTCATATTTCCCCTATACCTTCCTGCCACATTGTACCCTTCGGAAAGGGACTTGACCATAAACTCTTCTCTGGGCTGCATAAATAATCTCTCATTTTCCCCTTCTATTTAATTGACACCAGCTACAACAAAGAAGGCCAGTTAATTAGCAAGTTAAAAAAAAAGTGTGAGTAACTTTTAGAATCTGTGAGAAAGCACTGGAGAAATGAAACTGGAAGAATTAGTTGATAATTCTTGCCTTCTGTTTTTCCAGTGTTTTATTTAATCCCCAAGTGCTTTCAGATAGTTTAAGCTCATTTCTTTAGATTGAGAGAGAATGGAGGATCCTGAAAGGACTTGGGAACATGAATGAAGATAATTAGAGGTGATGGTGACAAAAGGAATAGTAAATACAGGAACTCACTTTTAGTGATTCCATCAAACGACAGCTTCTTCACAAGGCAGTTTTGTTTTACTTTGGTTTGAGGGTGGACCATTATCAACATCCTATAAGAAGAGAGGTTAAGTGACATGTGAAAGACCATACAGAAATTAAGTGGCAGACTAGGGATTAAATCCAGCACAATCAGATTCTCAGTTCCTAAAAACTAAAAAATTAAAAATTAAAAATTCAGCCTGGGAGCAGCTGTAGCACAGGAAAGTTTGCACCAGGATAGGCTGTGATGTTTTGGTGTTTGAGTCTGTACTCAGCCAGAAGTTCTTAGTAGATATGCAGAGGCTGGATCTGTGAAATATTTTACCAGTCAACTCAGTAAAACTAATCATACAACCCGGAAAATACTCATCCACATGGTAGATGTTGAGTTATAAACAGTCGTCCTCATATTTGGTGAGCTCTATTATTTTCTGTACCAATGGGGATGAGAAAGGGGGTGGGCAGCAACATTCATAATTTAGAATACCAGATCATTTAAACACACTAATGTGTGTTCTTAAATGTTCTTTTGAAATTATTTGAATATATATGTGGCAGGTATTTCAGAGCTCTTTTTTCAATAATAATATTATATAGTGCTTATTCAGTTCTGGGTATATTCTAGGTATTTTTATATTGTGAAGTCATTTTATCCTCTAAACAACCTCGTGTTTGGTATTATACTATTTTATGGATGAGGAAGTTGAGGCACAAATGTTGAAGTTGGGATTCAAACTCATGTAATCAGTTTCCAAGAACACATGCCCATCACTGTAAAGCTACCTCATGGTGAGACTACGCTCAGTAATACCAATTCACAGGTGATGAGAATGCCCTGTTTCCTCCATGAAATTATACTTTTATCCTCACCTTGTAACTCACACTTAGCCTGGAATAAGGTTATTTGTTCTATAGCATATGTAGGTTTTGTTCTTTTTGTACTTTCCCTGGGTAGATAAGAAAACTGGGTTTAGAAGATTCACAGTCAATAGGATTTGAGATGTTAAGATAATGACAGTAAATGGAAGAGAAATTACAAACAGTAAGATCAAATTAGTTTCTTTAGTAAGTGCCAATTCAACTAACTGGAAGCAAATATAAGGAAAATGTAGTTAATAGGATAGCATAGCTGTACAACTGAATATTGGTGATTTTAAAGATGAGCTACACAGTATAAATAATAGAAAGAGGGAGTGAGCTTTAAGAATTTAACAAAATTCTGTATAGCATCACATCTGGGCTATAATTATTACTTGTGTGACCTTGAGCACACTAATTAGCCACTGTAAGCTTCATTTTCCTCACCTGTAAAATGGAGATACTACCAACTTACCTTAAAGGGACAATTGAAATAATGTTTGTTAAAATGCATAGTATAGGTCTGGCATATGACAAATTAAGTGCTCAATCTGTGCTAGTTAGTGATTATAAATTACTCCAAGACGTTCTTTACAGAATGTTTTTAGTGGCAGTGTTTCTCAGCTACTAAAAAATATCTTTGAGGATAGAGGATTTTTTACTTTATAGTCATATAGAAATGTGTATGCAGAAATCTTGAAATTGAAGCAACCCTTGAAGTGAGATCCAACTTGACTGT
Organism: Homo sapiens; assembly: GCF_000001405.40. Taxonomy (NCBI): domain Eukaryota; kingdom Metazoa; phylum Chordata; class Mammalia; order Primates; family Hominidae; genus Homo; species Homo sapiens. The sequence continues at coordinate 63,221,669 of NC_000006.12, read as the reverse complement.
GGTGGAAAAGTAATTCAATAAAGCCAGAATGAGTTGTGATATGGTTCATACAGAGCATTGTTATCTGCTGCTAATCATATGACAGGACACAGTACAGGGCCAGTGGCAAAAGCAGACAAAATTCATATTTAACTTTCCTTTCACATCTCATAAAATTTCCCTTCAATCAATGAAATAAAACATTTATAAGTGCTTTTATTTTTTAAAAAAATACTTCAAATTCTACCAAATAATTCAGAAAAAATATCTGCTTTTATTTTACGAGTGTTTTTTTATTGTCCATGACAATACAGAAATAAATTCCGCAAGTAAGTTTACTCTTTGTTTTCTGTCATTTTTAGGCCTAATATAATTCATGATTGGGGATAAATTATCCATTCAATACTTGATTTAATCCAAAAGCTGAATTTTCAGCTGAATAGTTGGCATGCAAAATAATTGGGGCTACAGCATTTCTAAGCTGATTTCTTTAGTAATTTTAGTGATTCATGTGGATCTTTAGTATTTTGAGACATGGATTCAGTTTAGGATCTATTTTTAAGATTTTATTTAAGCTTCCTGTTTTTGGAGTGTGTTTTCCTTATAGCACAATTATGTTCTTATTTTAGTTCCCACTGGAAAAATTTAAAGTGATGGTTAGTCTTTCCAAGGAAGTATAAATATATATGTAATTGCATTCTGAGGAAACATTTTCTAAGTAGAAGAATTTGGTACTTATTGCTTTCAGGTTTGTGAGGGTCCTGGGCCAATATTGTGGCTATTGTTACTTTTTGTTGTTGTTTTCAAACTAGATTGACTGTGAAGTTCAAAGAAGTAAAAGTAAAGCTTTGATGGAAATTGCATAGTATAATTCTATACTGTTTTATACAGCATTTAAATTATTGCAGTTCATAAAAAAAGATGAAAAATTTCAGAATTTGCTTTGTGAAATAATCTTAAAAACCAAATACGATAAAAATGGGAAAACAAAAATTTTCATAAATATAGCTAGATCATAGACCAAAATTTTCATAAATATAAATCCAAAAAAGGAAGAGAATGCCACAATGTTAGAACTAAAAGCCATTTGAGAGAAAATTACATTCAACTTCAACTTCCAAGTAGCAAATGAGACAAGTGTGGCTCAGTGAAATTAAGTGGCTGGTGGAAAATGATGCAGTCAGTTAACCAACATGATGCATCATCATGAAGAATTAAAAAATTAGCCAGGCACGGTGTCTTGAGTCTGTGATCCTAGTACTTTGGAAGGCCGAGTTGGGCGGATCACTGGAGCTCAGGAGTTCAAGACGAGCCTGGCCACCATGGTGAACCCTGTCTCTAAAAATTAGCTGAGTGTGGTGGTGGGCGCCTGTAGTCCCAACTACTAGGGAGGCCGAGGCAGGAGAATCGCTTGAACCCAGGAGGTGGAGGAGCCGAGATCGTACCACTGTACTCTGGCCTGGGTGATAGAGCAAGACTCTGTCTCAAAAAATAAAAGAATTAAAAAATTAAATATAATGTTATAGAAAATTAATTGCAAAAGAAAATAATTTTATTACAAAGTCAGCTAAAAAAACCCAGCAAACCACTTAAGAAAGCGAGTGATTCTTAAAATGTGGAAAATCGCTGTACTGTATTGCTGCAAATTATCCAGGACTTTAGATCTTGTCCTTTAATTCTCAATTCGTTTCACCACTATGATGTGCAGCCAGATTTTAGTTATTCAGTCAAACTAGGTGTTCTTTGGCCAGTTATTTAACCAAATTGCTACTTATTTTGTTAACCAGTGTTGACCTGATGAATTACATAGGCAGTCTCAGCATATTTTTAAACGAGAGATCTTGAAATAAATGATTTATCTGTATGGATTAAAAAACAAAAGATATCATTATTTTATAACATTTTACAAATTATTGGAGGTTGATATATGTCATATTCCTCAAGCAGTTTGCATAAGATGACAAAAACAATCTCAAAAATTCTATAAAATAGTTGGCTAAGTTTTGAATGAAATTGAATTTTGATGTCATTTTAGACATTACCAAAACCAGAGAATTGTCAAAATGTGAACATAAATATTTGGAGCTTTTAATCTAGGAAGGCTGATATATTTCAAATTTAGAAACATTACATTATTTCTTACAGTTTAAAAAAGCTGGACAGTGACACATCCCTCTTCTTCAGCAATTCAATTATCAGAAAAATGTGAATCAATTGGGAAAAAAGCACTAATTGAAACAATAAAGATATAATTGTAGGAAAATGAATCACACATGACACACAATATATTTAACATTATTCCATCTAATATTTTGGCTAGCTTTCCACAAATGCAGCAATTTAGAGTGTAATTTGAAGATTTGGCCAATTTGGCATATCTCAATCAATTCACAAGGAAATTGAAATATCAGTTTTTGTAACTTAGGGGCAAGTCTTTCAAGCCCTTCCCCGATTGATTCAAATAAAAAATCTTTCCACCACACACGTATGTGAATGTTTTGAAATCCTCTTATTGTCCTTTCTGTACTCATATTTCAGCAGCATTCAAAGTATAACAGCTGGCTGATCATGAGGTTTTTTTTTTCCCTATAGCCATTGGCTGCTATATTTTTCTTTATGTTCTTAATGGCTGTGGATAGCTGCTAGGCTAGCATCTGCTTGAGACACAACTACAGTGAGAAATTCACAACCACAACTCAAGCCTCGGGGTCTTTGTAACTTACAAAATAGCTGGGGCTCAAATTGTTATATGAATCTGAAAAATGAATATCTGTTCACCAGGGAAAGTAGAAGAGAAAGCAGGGAGAGGATATGGAAAACAAATGAGAGTTTAGCAGTCTGTTCATTTTACGTTACTGGACAGAAAATCTTTTTGAAACAGCATAAATATAACATGAATATGGTTGTTTCCGGAGTTTCCAAACTCAGGTAAATTCTCTAGAGAACACGTTGAGCAATTATATTCAATTTCAGGATGTGCTGAAAGTTCTCATTACTTATAGGCTTCTCTGAACAGCAGACCATTAATACTGATTAAAAATTAGTTACATTTACCATAGTTATATAAATTTGCTTTCATGTACAAATCTGCATATAAGATTTTTTTTTACATTTCTGTACTACGTAGTACAAAGGATATAAAGTCTTGGCTTATGATTTTTGCTGTAAATTAATGATATTTGATATTTTATTGGTATTATAGTAATGGATATAATATGCATTTATATGAATAAACTCTATCTTTCTGAAGATTTCTGAAACATAGCAGTTTTATTGTTACTTTGGGGAAATATAAATAATAAGGCTGGCTATAAAATTTTAGCTATTTGAAGTTTTTGATTTTAATTTCTGTGGGCTTGAGCATCTGTCTCTTGTCATGACTAAGTTATATTGCCTGCATTTGCACTAATAATCATTTACTTAAGGATAAGGAATAAAGGTCTGTAGAAAGGTTTAAGCATCACTGAATCCTATTTTATTTGATCAACTTCCATGTGTGATATTTTAGATCACTAAGGTCAGTGGTCAGGAGTTATGTAAGAAAAATGTAAGGAATTAAATTTTCATTTGGTTAATAGTATCTGTAATTCAAATTATTTATATGCAGTAAATTGTAGCTCTAAGATATTAAAAGATCCGAATTAGACCCAGAAGATTACCTGAATAACATTTGGCCAATTAGTAAAATCTTTTTCTAATGACTGAATACACAGTGCTATAAACTAAATATTTGTCTCCCACCCCCAAATTTCTATATGGAAATTCTAACCCTAAATATGACGGTTTAGAAGGAGGGCTTTTGGGAGGTGATTAGATTATGATGGTAAAGCCCTAATAAATGGGATTAGTTCCCTTATTAAAAAGAAGACCTCAAGGCTGAGTGCTGTGGTTCAAGCCTGTAATCTTAGCACTTTGGGTCGCTGAGGTGGGCATACTGCTTAAGCTCAGGAGTTTGATACCAGCCTGGGCAACACGGCAATACTGTGTCTCTACAAAAAATACAAAAATTAGTTGGGTGTGGTGGTACTTGGCTTGTAGTCCCAGCTACTTGAGGGGTCGAGGCAGGAGAAACCCAGGAAGTCAAGGCTACAGTGAGCCAAGGTTGTGCCACTGCACTCTAGCCTGGGTGACAAAGTGACAAAGTGAGACCCTGCCTAAATAAATAAATAAATAAATAAATAAATAAATAAATAAAAGACCCAAGAGAGTTCTCTTGCCCTTTTGCTGCCATGTGAGGACTGTGAGGACACAGGGAAAAGACAACTGTCTATGAGCCAGGCGCTTACCAGACAGCAAACCTATCAGTACCTTGTTCTTGGACTTTACAGCCTTCAGAACTGTAAGAAATAAATGTTTGTGGTTTAAGCCTCCTGTGTATGGTACTTTTGTTATAGCAGCTCAAACAGACAAAGACACATAGATATGTATATTTGTTCATATATACTTGTACATTTAGATACATATATCAATTATATAATATGGGAGTCATATTTCTGAAGTTTCTAGATAGGGTGAATAGAATCCAAACATCCAGATAATTAATGGACATTCCCAAAATAGCAAATATCAAAACAATATATTGAAAAGTAAAATAAATAATTTTATAAAATAATCTTGTAATCAAAAAATAGAAAAATGGAGAAAGACAAAACCTACACACATTAGAAAAAGATTGATAAAAGTGCTTACACAAAATTTAAAAAAAATCTGCAAAGAAAAATAAGAATGACATCTAAAGGCAACTGGCAAAGGTCCATATTCTTTAATATATAAGAAGCTCTTATCTTTCAATAAAAAAGAAGACATGCATAGCTATTTCATTAAAAAATGCAACTATTTTACTAACATAAAAAGATGCTAAGTAAGGCTCACTTGTAATTAAATATTTGCAAATTAAAGCAATAAAATCCATTTGTCATTTTTTTTTTTTTTTCAATGAGCTTAGTAATACCCACATTTGGCAAGAAGATCTGGTATGTTAGGCATACTTCTGCTAACTTTTTGAAGGGCTATTTTGCAATAACTGTGTAATAAAAAAAGTCACATGATTTTTGACCCAGCTGCTGCATGGTTAGAAATTTACCCCAATTGATATATTTGAAACCATATGTCAAGATATACATACATATACACATATACACACATTCACACACATATTTCTGCAGCATTGTCTATAATAATAAAAATATTGGAAACTACATAAATGTCAACACTACATAAATATTGGTAATCTATGTATATATAATAT